>NC_000007.14:65840112-66143142 GCF_000001405.40 Homo sapiens
CCTTTCAGCAGCCTCTACACACCCAGCTCCTGCCACCCAATGGCTCTTTAGGCCAAGCTCATACCTCACGATGATTTTTCCAGGCCCAACTTTTGTCTCATGGCAACCTTCCCTGGCCAAGTTTCCACCTATTTCCTGGCAGCCTGGACAGGCCCAGGTCCTGCCACACACTGGCCTCTCTACGCCCAGCTCATGCCTCACAGTGGCCTCTCCAGGCCCAGCTCCTGTCCCGGGACATCATCTCCAGGCCCAAAACTTCCTCAAGTCGGCCTCTCCAGGCCCAGTTGCTGCCTCCCGGCATTCTCTCCAGGCCTAGCTCTTCCTCCTGGCTGTATCTACAAGACCAACTCCTGCCTCACAACAACCTTTTATGGCTCAGCTCCTGCCCAACTACTGCCGGCCTTTGTAGGCCCAAAACTTCCTCAAGTCAAGCTCTTTAGGCCCACCTTCTGCCTTGCAGTGGCCTGTACAGACCCAGCTCTGGCTTGAGAACAGCCTCTGCAGGCCCTGCTCTTGCCTCTTAGCTCCCTCTCCAGGCCCATCTCTTGCCTCACAGTGGCTTCCGTGGGCCAAGTTCCCGCCTGCCTCCCAGCAGCCTCAACAGGCCTAGCTCCTCCCTCACAATGGCTTGTTTAGGTCCAGTTGATGCCTCTGGCAACCTGTCCAGGCCCAGCTCCTGCCTCACACTGGCCTCTCTAGGCCGAGGTCCTTTCTCATACTGGCCTGTTTAGGCCCAGCTCATTCCTCTTGTCATCTCTCCAGGCCCAGCTTTTGCCTGTTGTTGGCCTCTACCTCACAGTGCACCTTCCAGTCCCACCTCTTGCCTCACCATGGCCTCCTCTGACCAGGTTCCTGCCTTTCGGCAGCCTCTACAGGCCTAGCTGCTGCCTCCCAATGGCCTTTGTAGGCCACGCTCATGCCTCACTGTGGCCTTTCCAGGCCTAGCTTTCGCTTTTTGGCCACTCCAGGCCCAGAACTTCCCCCAGTCAGCCTCTCCAGGCCCAGCTCTTCCTCCCAGCAACCTCTGCAGGCCCAAATCATCCTCAAATTGGCCTCTTCTTTCCCAGCTCCTGCCTCCTGGTGGCCTCTGAAGACCCAAATCGTCCTCCAGTTGGTTTTTCCAGGCCCAGCTCCTGCCTTTTGGTGGCCTCTCCAGGTGCAAAACTTCCTCCCATCAGCCTGTCCAGGCCCAGCTCATGCCTCTTGGTGGCCTTCTCAGGCCCTGCTTTTGACTTGGTGGCCTCTTCAGGCCCAGAACTTGAACTCAAGTCAGCCTCTCCAGGCCCAGCTCCTGCCTTCTTAAGGTCTGTACAGGCCCAGCCTCTACCTCACAGCGGACTCTCCACACCCAGCTCTTGCCTCACTGTAGCCTCCCCAGTCCAAAACTCCTGCCTTTTGGCAGCTTCGACAAGCCCAGCTCCTGCCTTTCAATGACCTCTTTAGGCCCCGCTCATTCCTTACAACGGCCTTTCCAGGCCCAGTTTTTCCCTTTTGGCGGCCTCTCCAGGCCCAGAACTTCCTCAAGTCGGCCTCTTTAGGCCCAGTTGCTGCCTCCTGGCATCCTCTGCAGGCCGAGCTCTTCCTCCCTGCTGTGTCTACAGGCCCAACTCCTGCCTCACAACAACCTCCTTGGACTCAGCTTCTGCCCAGCTCCTGGTGGCCTTTGTAGGCTCAAAATTTTCTCAAATCAAGCTCTCCAGGCCTACTGTCAGCCTCGTGGCAGCCTAAACAGGCCCAGCTCCTGCCTGACAATGGCCTCTCCAGGCTTTTCTCCTGCCTCGCAGCAGGCTTTCCAGGCCCAGCTCTTGCCTCATGGTGGCCTTCCCCGGCCATGTTCCTATCTGACTTCTGGCAGCCTCAACCGGCCCAGCTTCTGCCTCACACTGGCCTCTCTAGGCCCAGCTCCTTTTTCACAGTGGCCTCACTAGGCCCATCTCCTACCTCAGATCTGCCTCCCAAGACCCAGCTCCTGTCTCATGGTGGTCTCTCTTACACCAGCTCCTGCCTCACAATGGCCTCGTCTGGCCCATCTTCTGCCTCACAGTGGCCACTCAAGGCCCATCTTTTGCCTCATGGTAGCCTCTTCTGGTTTTGCTCTTGCCTCACAGTTGCCTCTTCCAGATCCAGCTTTAAGCCTTTGATGGTCAACAGCATCAAGGAGCCTAAAGCTTCCCTGGACTCTCATTTGTTCACTTTACAGCAGAGTGCCTTAGCAAAAACTGTCTCTTAACCTTGAGAGTGGATTTCTGACAAATCGATAGTAAATTCTGCCTGTGTGGTTTCACAGTGATTTCTGTTTTATTTAGTGTCTCATGGTTTTTCTTGTCTACTGGGGGTGAGGAGGGGAATGGGCTTTTGCTTGGGCCCTTTGTCTTTGCCCTGGACATGGTAGCTTCTCACTTCATGTCTTCTTTTTATATTTTTTATAGTTTTCTTTTTCTTTTATAGTTTTCTTAGACAGGGTCTTGCTCTGTCACCCAGGCTGGAGTGTAGTCATGTGATTATGGCTTACTGCAGACTTGGCCTCTTGGCCTCAAGTGATCCTCCCAACTCAGCATCTTGAGTAGCTGAGACTACAGGCATATGCCACCATGCCTGGCTAATTTCTGATTTTTTCTGAGAGGTTGGTTCTCACTAGGTTGCCCAGGCTGGTCCCAAACTTTTAGACACAAGCAATCTTTTTGCCTGGGCCTCCCAAAGTGCTGAGATTACAAACATGAGCCACCATGCCTGGCTTGCCATTTGCTTGTCATGAACTATTAAGAATTTACTTTTTGATTAATACACTATGACTATATACATTTCTATGTAGAGAGAGATTTTAAATTTTTCTTGGATACCAATTTTTTTCTTTTCTTTTCTTTTTTTTTTTTTTTTTTTGAGGCAAGGTACTGCTTTGTCACTTAGGATGGACTGCAGTGGTGTGATCTCAGCTCACCACAACCTCTGCTTTCTTGGCTTAAGTGATCCTCTCACATCAGCCTCCTGAGTAGCTGGGACCCCAGGTATAAGCTGCCATGCCCAGGTAATTTTTATATTTGTTGTAGAGAGGGGGTCTCACCATGTTTCCCAGGCTGGTTTCAAACTCCTGGGCTCAAGTGATCCTTCCAACTCAGCCTCCCAGAGTGCTGGGATTACAGGTGAGAGCCACACCTGGCCTGCCATTTTCTTTTCAAGGATGATTAAGAATTCACTTTATGCCAGGCACAGTGGCTCATGCTTGTAATCCCAGCAATTTGGGAGGACGACGTGGGTCTATTATGAGGTCAGGAGTTCAAGACCAGCCTGGCCAAGATGGTGAAACCCTGTCTCTACTAAAAATAGAAAAATTAGGTGCCTGTAATCCCAGCTACTCAGGAGGCTGAGGCAGGAGAATCGCTTCAATCTGGGGGGGCAGAGATGGAATTGAGCTGAGATCGAGCCACTGCACTCCACCCTGGGTGACAGAGTGAGACTCCATCTCAAAAAAAAAAAAGAATTTACTTTTTTATTAGTATACTGTAAATATTTATATATGTATGTGTGTGTATATATATTCATATATGTATATATGTGTATATTTTCATAGCATACACATACACACACACATCTATATATTGTGAAAGAGATATTTGAATGCCTAGAAGTTGATAAGCTTCTTCCAGGTTTTGAAACCACCCTTAGCACAAACATGAAAGAAGTACAAAGTATCATTATTAATGACCATGGACCAAGATGACCATGAGTCAATAGTACTTTGCACCTCAACCACCTTCCAGCAGAGCATCTCAAAGGGCTGGATGTATCTGAACATCACACCCTTTCACAGGGACTAGGATGCTTTGTAATTGTTACTTCTCTTAAGACCTCAGTGTGACCCTTGTCAACATGAAATCAAACTATTTCTCAAGTGATAGAGATATTGAATAACAGCTTTGGTCAGGAAATAGGTATTGCATTTGGTTTGTCATGACAAGTTCCTGACCTAGTCAGATGGAATATTGCAGAAATTGTGTGTTTGTGTGTGTGTGTGTGTGTGCGCGTGTGTGAACATTCTTGTGCACAGATGTGGGGGTGGAAGTGGGGTTTGAATTTGATAAGACCAGCAGTGGGCAGGCTGCTGGGAGGGGGCACTTATTTTGGCAGCGGCAGTGTAACTCTAGAATTAACAAATGCTTCTAAGCCTCAGTTTTCTCTCTTGGAAAATAAAGATTATAATTCTTGCCTTGATATGTGGATTAGGTGATCCGCTATATGCAAAATATCTAGCATATAATAGGTGCTGAATTAATACTACTTTCTGTAGCTCTTTCTTAATCACTGCTTAATTTTTAAAAGTTTAGAATGACTACTGCTTTTGTAAAAATTATTTGTAATTATTATATAAAATCTAAGTCCTATAGAAAAGTACAAAGCACGCCGGGTGCTATAGCTCACACCTGTAATCCCAGCACTTTGGGAAGGCAGGGTAGAAGGATTGCTCAAGGCCAGGAGTATGAGACCAGCATGAACAACATAGCAAGATCCCATCTCTATAAAAAGTTAAAAACCAGTTATGATAATGTGCACCTGTAGTCCCAGCGACTCGGGAGGCTGAGATAGGTGGATCACTAGAACCCAGGAGTTTGAGACTGCAGCCTGGGCAACAGAGTGAGACCCTGTCAGAAAGAGGGAGGGGGAGAGAGAGAGAGAGAGGAGAGAGGAAAGAAAAGTACAAAGAAGCAAGTAGCAAATCATGAAATTTTCAACCACCAAGAAATAACTCTTAACATTAGGTGATATGGCCAGGCATGATAGCTCATGCCTGTAATCCCAGCACTTTGGGAGGCTGAGGCAGGCAGATCACTTGAATTCAGGAGTTCGAGGCCAGCCTGGCCAACATAGTGAAACCTCATCTCTACTACAAATACAAAAATTAGCTGAGCATGGTGATGCCTGTAATCTTAACTACTTGAGAGGCTGAGGCACGAGAATCTCTTGAGCCTGGGAGGCAGAGGTTGCAGTGACCCAAGATCACACCATTCCACTCTAACTTAGGCAACAAAGAGAGACTCTGTCTCAAAAAAAAAAAAAAAAATTAATTCATACCTCTTTTTGTGCAAATAGGTAGCTAGATAAGTAGATAGATTAATGGACTGAAAATAACTTTGATGAGTGCGGTGGCTCACACCTGTAATCCCCAGCACTTTGGGAGGCTGAGGCAGGTGGATCACAAGGTCCAGAGATCGAGACAATTTTGGCCAACATGGTGAAACCCTGTCTCTACTAAAAATACAAAAATACAACTCCAGCCTGGTGACAGAGTGAGACTCCTTCTCAAAAAAAAAAGTAACTTTACGTATTTTTTATTGTGTTTTAGTTTAAATATATATATAACTTTTATTTTGCTTGCTACAACAGAAGCTGAAGAAACTAAAGTAAGGTGGGAGAATTTCTGAACTTCAGATAAATGCCTATGGGAAAGTGATATCTTTTTATCAATGTTCATTAAAATTATTTTAAAAATAATAAAAGTATTATGATTCTTTTTAATCTGCAGTTTCTGTTTTCACCCACAGCTGCTGTATTTTTGGAATTGGTGCATGTTTGATAGTTTCTGTTTAATGTGTTTATCCTTGGATGACTTTTTTTTTTTTTTTTTTTGACAGAGTCTTGCCCTGTTGCCCAGGCTGGAGTGCAGTGGTGTGATCTCAGCTCACTGCAACCTCCGTCTCCCAGGTTCAAGCGATTCTGCTGCCTCATTCTCCTAAGTAGCTAAGATTACAGGCACACACTACCACGCCTGGCTAATTTTTGTATTTTTAGTAGAGATAGGCTTTCACCATCTTGGACAGGCTGGTCTCGAACTCCTGACCTCAGGTGATCCTCCTGCCTTGGCCTCCCAAAATTCTGGGATTGCAGGCATGAGCCACCGCACTTGGCCTGGGAGAATATTCTTGATTCATTTTCCTTTTCTTCAGGTCTTCCCGTAAGTTCTGACTCTATTCTCATCTGACTCTGGCTGGGGCTAAGGGAAGGTCTGAGGCTGGCTGGAGGTTTTTCTCACATGTACTTATGTTTTCCTGCCCAAAGGCCAGTGGAGTACTTTCTTTATCATTGAAGTTTGATAGCTTAGCCAGGGTTGGCTCGAGGCCAATCACTCCGTATTAGTTTTTCCAGGTATACGGTGTGCCCTTTGGCTACTATGTACTTCTCTATCTCTGCATGCAATCTTTCTTTCTCTTTCTTTCTTTCTCTTTCTTTCTTTCTTTTCTTTCTTTCTCTCTTTCTCCTTTCCCTCCCTCCCCTTCCTCCCTTCCTTCTTCCTTCCTTCCTTCCTTTCCTCCCTCACTCCCCCCACCCTCCCTTCCTCCTTCCTCCATTCCTATGTTTCTTCTTTCAAGACAGGGCCTTGCTCTTTCACCCAGACTCTAGAATACAGTGGTGTCATCATACCTCACTGCAGCCTCAAACTCCTGGATTCAAAGGATCTTCCTGCCTCAGCCTTCCAAATAGCTGGGATTACAGGCATGCACCACCAAACCTGGCTAATTTTTGTTAATTTCTAGAGATGGGGTCTTACTATGTTGCCCAGGCTTGTCTCAAACTCCTGGCCTCAAGCTATCCTCACACCTCAGCTTCCTAAAGCACTGGGATTATAGGCTTGAGCCACCATGACCAGCCCTGTTTTATTTTTTTAGGTTGTCTAACTCAGGGTCACCAATTGACAACCCAGTGTTAGACTACTGTCTCTAATTTCCATAATTATTTTTTCAGTTGTTTTATTGTAGTTCTTTTATCCTCTGATTCAGTTTGATTATATCAAGCATTTCTATGTGTTGAACTTTTTTTTTTTTTTTTTTTGAGACAGAGTCTGACTCTGTCACCCAGGCTGGAGTGCAGTGGTGTAATCTCAGCTCACTGCAACCTCTGCCTCCCAAATTCAAGTGATTCTCCTGCCTCAGCCTCCTGAAGTAACTGGGATTACAGGTGCATACCACCATGCCTGGCACATTTTTGTATTTTTAGTAGAGACAGGGTTTCACCCATGTTAGCCAGGCTGGTCTCAAACTCCTGACTTCAGGTGATTCGCCCCCCTCAGCCTACCAAGGTGCTGGGAATACAGATTATAGGCATGAGCCACTGCGCCCGGCCGCCACATTTCCTTTATTCTTTTTTCCATTGATGGAAAGAAACATAGGTTGATTCCATCTCTTCACTGTTAAGAATAGTTGTCTACAAATTTTTTTTTTTTTTTTTTTTTTTTTTTTTTGAGACGGAGTCTCGCTCTGTCGCCCAGGCTGGAGTGCAGTGGCGGGATCTCGGCTCACTGCAAGCTCCGCCTCCCGGGTTCACGCCATTCTCCTGCCTCAGCCTCCCAAGTAGCTAGGACTACAGGCGCCCGCCACTACGCCCGGCTATTTTTTGTAGTTTTAGTAGAGACGGGGTTTCACCGTTTTAGCCGGGATGGTCTCGATCTCCTGACCTTGTGATCCGCCCGCCTCGGCCTCCCAAAGTGCTGGGATTACAGGCGTGAGCCACCGCGCCCGGCCGTCTACAAATTTTTTTACACTTGTCATCAAGAGATAGAATCTGGTTTCAGGCTGGGTGTGGCGGCTTACGCCTGTAATCCCAGCACTTTGGGAGGCCGAGGTGGGTGGATCACGAAGTCAGGAGATTGAGACCATCCTCGCCAACATGGTGAAACCCCATCTCTACTAAACATACAAAAATTAGCTGGCCGTGGTGGCTTGTGCCTGTAGTCCCAGCTACTCAGGAGGCTGAGGCAGCAGAATCACTTGAACCTGAGTGGTGGAGGTTGCAGTGAGCTGAGATCGGGCCACTGCACTCCAGCCTGGGTGACAGAGCAAGACTCTGTCTCAAAAAAAATAAAAAATCTAGTTAATCTTCCCTTGAATATGAACTTAGTCCCCTGCTTCTATAAGTAGAATACAATGGAAGTGTTGCTCGTGATCTGCCAAAGTTAGGTCATAAAAGATGTTTCCACTTGGCTGTCCTTCCTGGGATGGGTGCACTTAGAACCCATTCACCATTTTGTGAGAAAGCCCAGGCCACATATGGAGGTGATGTGTGGGTGTTCCACCAGATAGCCCCAGCTGAGGCCCTAGCTAACAGCCCACATTAACCAGGAGATATTTGAGCAAGGAAACCATTGAGACTATTCTAACTGCATACTGTTTGAAGGCAACCACATAAGACATCCTAAGCCAGAACTGCCTAGGTGAGTCTAGTCAGCCTTCAGTATTGTGAGAAGACTAATAAGCATCATTGTAACTTTATACCATTACGCTTGGAGTGGTTTGTTACACAGCAATAGATAGCTGATACACAAAGTGGTCTTCCAATACGAATATTATGTCAGTTCTCCACTTGACAGCATTTAATGATTTAGAATTGAGTGTAAAAGTCAAAACCCAATTCTGAATCCATCTGACAAGGGATTAATAACTAGAGTACATAAAGAGCTCAGGTGGAAAAAAAATAAATGGGAAAAAATATAATAATCTGATTTTAAAATGGGCAAAAGATCAGAATAAATATTTCTCAAAAGAAGACATACAAATTGCAAACAGGTATATAAAAAGGTGCTCAACATCATCGATCATCAGAGAAATGCAAATCAAAACTATAATGAGCTATCATCCTACCCCAGTTAAAATGGCTTATATCCAAAAGACAGGCGATACCAAATGCTATTGAGGATGTGGAGAAAAGGGAACCCTGATACACTGTTGATGGGAACGTAAATTAGTACAACCACTATGGAGAACGGTTTGGAGGGTCCTCAAAAAATGAAAAATAGAGTTACTTTATGATGCAATAATCTTACTGCTGGATATATACCCAAAAGGAAGAAAATCAGTATATTGAAGAAATATCTGCATTTCTATATTTATTACAACACTATTCACAATAGCCAAGATTTGGAAGCAATTTAAGTGTCCATCAACAGGTGAATGGATAGAAAAAATGTGGTATATATACACAATGGAATATTATTCAGCCATGAGAAAGAATATAATCCTGTTATTTGCAACAACATGAGTAGAACTGGAGATCATTATGTTAACTAAAATAAGCCAGACACAGAAAGACAAATTTTGCATGTTCTCAGTCATTTGTGGGTGCTAAGAATTAAAATAATTGAACTTATGAAGATAGAGAACAGAATGATGGTTACCAGAGGCTGGGAAGGGTAGTGGGCTGGAGGGGGTGCACAGGAATGATTAATGGGTACAAAAATACAGTTAGAATGAATAAGATGTAGTATTTGGCAGTACAACAGCATGACTATAGTAAACAATAATTTATTGTATATTTAAAAATAGCTTAAATAGGCCAGGTGTGGTGGCTTATGCCTGTAATCCCAGCACTTTGGGAGGCCAAGGGGGGCTGATCACCTGAGGTCAGAAGTTCAAGACCAGCCTGGCCAACATGGAGAAACCCCACCTCTACTAAAAATACAAAAATTAGCGGGGCGTGGTGGTGCACGCCTGTAGTCCCAGCTACTCAGGAGGCTGAGGCAGGGGAATCACTTGAACTGAGGGGGCAGAGGTTGCAGTTAGCCAAGATTGTGCTACTGCACTCCAGCCCCGATGACAGAGCTGGACTTTGTCTCAAAAAAAAAAAAAAAAAAAGCATAATTGGAGATTGTAAAACAAAGAAAGGACAAATGCTTGAGGTGATGGGCATCCCATTCACCCTGATGTGATTATTACACATTACATGCTGTGTCAAAACGTCTCATGCACCCCATAAATATATACACCTACTGTGTATCCACAAAAATTAAAAGTAAAGCATTTTTTAAACCCCCAATCTTGGCCAGATGTGGTGTCCCACACCTGTAATTCCAGTGCTTTTATAGGCCAGGATGGGAGGATCACTTGAGTCCAGGAGTTTGAGACCCACCTAGGCAACATAGCAAGACTGTCATCTCTAATAACAATAAAAAAACTTAGCCAGGCATGGTGGGGCTCAGGCCTATAGTCCCAGCTACTTGGGAGGCTGAGGTGACAGGATCTCTTGAACCCAGGAGGTTGAGGCTGCAGTGAGCTATGATTGCCCCACTGCACTCCAGCCTGGGTGACAGAGTGAGACCATGTCTCTTAAAAACCAAACCAATCCTAGCATGATCGGACCCTGTCTGCCACCCTCTATTCCTTTCCTCTTGCTCAGTGTGCATCAGGCATCTGGGCTTCTTTTCTGCTCCTGTAAATGAATGCCAAGTGGTTTCCCTCTTCAGGACCTTTGCACATGCTCTCCCCTGCCCGAAATGGACTTCCCATACCTCCTGCCATAGCTGGATTTTTCTCATGTTTCAGACCTCAGCTCGCACATCATCTCTCGAGAAATCCTCCCTCATCCTGTGAAGAGAAAATCATCGTCCTTTTCATTGCCTCGTCCTGCCTGGTTCTCTCAAAGCAGATACCACACTAAAAAATCAGCTTGTTATTTATTGAACTGCTTGTCTGCATATCCTCCTCCCAAACTCACGGCAAATCAGAACAGAGGCTCCTTGTGGCAGGAGTCCCATCTTGTTCATTCTCAGAACCTAATATAGTACTTGGCACATAGTAGGCACACAACAAATGTCATTAGAATGAGTAAGTATCAAGGGGTCAGGCGCGGTGGCTCATGCCTGTAATCCCAGCACTTTGGGAGGCCAAGGCAGGTGAATCACCTCAGGTCAGAAGTTCGAGACCAGCCTGGCCAACATGGTGAAACCTTGTCTCTGCTAAAAATACAAAAGTTAGCTGGGCATGGTGGTGCACACCTGTAATCCCAGCTACTTGGGAGGCTGAGGCAGGAGAACCACTTGAATTTGGGAGGCAGAGGTTGCAGTGGGCCAAGATTGTGCCACTACACCCCAGCCTGGGTGACAGAGTGAGATTCCATCTCAAAAAAAAAAAATGAATGAATAAGTATCAAGGAAGGGAGATTTTGTGATTTGCCACCTTTACATGGAAAGCCTACTTAACATTGACATTTTCTATTTGATGGTATTTTTATAATAGGAAATTGAAACTGAGCTAATTAAAAAAGAATAAGGCTGGGCATGGTGATTTATGCCTGTAATTCCAGCACTTTGGGAGGCTGAAGAGGGAGGATCACTTGAGGGTAGCAGTTTCAGACCAGCGTGGGCAACATACAGAGACCCCTGTCTCTGTAAAAACAACTTTTTTTTTTTGAGACAGAATTTCGCTCTTGTTGCCCAGGCTGGAGTGCAGTGGCACGATCTCGGTTCACCAGCCTCTGCCTCCTGGGTTCAAGCAATTCTCCTGCCTCAGCCTCCCAAATAGCTGGTACTACAGGCATGCACCACCACACCTGGCGAATTTTGTATTTTTAGTAGAGATGGGGTTTCTCCATGTTGGTCAGGCTGGTCTGGAACTCCCGACCTCGTCTGATACACCTGTCTTGGCCTCCCAAAGTGCTGGGATTACAGGCGTAAGCCACCTCGCCCGGCCAAAAATAACTTTTAAAAAATAAACCAGGTGTACCAGGTGCAGTGGCTCATGTCTGTATTCCCAGCACTTTGGGAGGCTGAGGGGGGCAGATCACCTGAGGTCAGGAGTTTGAGACCAGCCTGGCCAGCATGGTGAAACCTCATCTCCACTAAAAATACAAAAATTAGCTGGGCATGGTGGCAGGCACCTGTAATCCCAGCTACTCAGGAGGCTGAGGCACAAGAATCACTTGAACCCGGGAGGCAGAGTTTGCAGTGAGCCGATATCAGGCCATTGCACTCCAGCCTAGACAACAAGAGTGAAACTCCTTCTTGAAAAAAAAATTAACCAGATGTGGTGGCACATGCCTATAGTCCCAGCTCCTCCAGAGGCTGAGGTGGGAGGATCACTTGAGTCCAGGAGATAGAGGCTGCAGCGAGCCATGATTGCCCAACTGCACTCAGCCTGAGCAACAGAGCTAGACCTTATCTCTAAAATCAAAAAACAAAAACAAAAAAAAAGGCCAGGCGCGGTGGCTCACACCTGTAATCCCAGCACTTTGGAAGGCTGAAGCAGGTGGATTACCTGAGGTCAGGAGTTCAAGACCAGCCTGGCCAACATGGTGAAACCGTCTCTACTAAAAAATACAAAAATTAGCCGGGCATGGTGGCAGGCACCTGTAATCCCAGCTACTCAGGAGGCTGAGGCACAAGAATTGCTTGAACCCGGGAGGCAGAGGTTGCAGTGAGCAGAGATCACACCACTGCACTCCAGCCTGGGCGACAGAGCAAGACTCCATGTCAAAGAAAAAACAAAACAAAAACACGAAAAAGAACATTTCAGCTGCTTGTCAAGAGACTGGACATGGAGGGGCAAGAGTTGGAGCAGGACATCTGGTGAGGAGCTGTCATTTCAACATCTTTTGATCACTCCAGGCCACGTTTTGAGTGGGGCCTCGGCTAGAATGTGGCCCAGCCTCAGATGCCTTAATTCTGACACTCAGTGCCAGTAGAGGCCCTGTGAGGTCACACTGTGGAGGCTTGTTGGGAAAGTGTTGGCTCTAAAATCAACATCCTGGTTCATTCCTTTGATGCTGGAGACAATGACCTGTGTCTCCTCATATGTCTGCTCAAGACTGTTACAAACAGGGTGGAGTGTCTCTTAGTCTAGGAGCTTGGGCTGCTCTGGAGTTTGCACAAATACAAATAATCATCACAGGTCTCAGGCCATGTGTCTTGGTTATGACACAAAACAGCCCTTCAGCAGTGGATGTCTACATAGTGGAAGTTCCCAAACACCTCTTTTTTTAAAAAAAATATAGAGACAGGGTCTCACTATGTTGTCCAGGCTGGTCTTGAATTCCTGGCCTCAAGAGATCCTCCTGCCTCAGCCTCCCAAAGTGCTGGGATTACAGGTGTGAGCCACTGAGTCTGGCCCTTTTTTGTTGTTGTTGTTTTTAGACAGGGTCTTGCTCTGTCACGCAGGCTGGAGTGCAGTGACGTGATTACAGCTTGCTGCAGCTTCAAATTCCTGGGCTCAAGTGATCCTCCTGCCTCAGCCTCCTGAGAACCTGGGACCACAAGCATACAGCCACACCCAGCTAAGTAAAAAAAAAAAAAAAAAAATTCTGGAGACAAGGTCTCACTATATTGACCAGGCTGGTCTTGAACTCCTGATCTAAAGCCATCCTCCTGCCTCCACCTCCCACCTTGAACACCTCTTTTCTCCAGTTTGAAAATGAAATCCACACTTTGAGAAGGAGGAACAAATGGGGAAGACAGGAAGCCAAGAAGCCAACCAGGCTTGCTTGGATAAACACTAAATCCCTTACATTGGTTTTACTTCAATGATACAGCTAATTAAGGGTTGTTGATTTTTTTAAGTTCCTATTTGGCAAGTGAACAGTTTCTTCCTCAGTAAATTTGAACATCAAGTATCTGTTCTGTGATTGAATGAAGCAAATATTTTACACATGGGGAACCATTGTTAAATGATTGTATTATAGAAAGGGATGAACGGGACAGGGGCAAGGCAGGGTCGGATGTCAGTGCCTGTGTCCCTGTGCTCCCCACCCACCTCCTCTGTCCCTGCTCCCCATGGTGTTTGTCAAGGGGCATAGTGCACTGAAGGAGGGGTTACCAGGTGGCACATCCAGAAGACATCATTCTCGGCTACATGGAATCCACTTACTTTGATCTAATTTCTTTACTCATAAAATTCATTTAACATTCACATCAGCAGCTTCTGAATATCTAAGCCAATTGTTAAACATAGTGATGTTACTGGATTCTTAAAACAAGCTGGAGGCCGGCCGGGCACAGTGGCTCACACCTGCAATCCTAACACTTTGGGAGGCTGAGGGTGGATCACCTGAGGTCAGCAGTCAGAGACCAGCCTGGCCAACATGGTGAAACCCCGTCTTTACTAAAAAAAATACAAAAAAATTAGCCGGGCATGGTGGCAGGCCTGTAATCCCAGATACTCTGGAGGCTGAGGCAGGAAAATCACCGGAACCCTGGGGTCAGAGGTTGCAGTTATCCGAGATCGCACCACTGTACTCCAGCCTAGGTGATAGAGTGAGACTCCGTCTCAGAAAAAAGCAAAACAAGTTAGAGAAGGGTTTTTTTTTTTAGCTTCATTTTGAAATTGTGAAGACAGGCAGTGAGAGTGAGTGAGTTGTCCAAATTCAGGCTGCAAGCTGGAGAGCATGCGATTCCTGGCCTTTTGCAGCCAGGTTGTGTGGGCCAGCTGTGTGGTGGTGTGCACTCCCCTCTCCGTCTGCTGGCACTACCATATACCACGTCTGGCCTTGTCACCTGGAGACCTGGGAGTCTTCTTTTGTTTTCCCTGACTTTTGTCACCAGATCTGCTTACTTACAAGTCCTGTTGGTTTTGCCCCTCCCAGCCTTTCCCGTCTTCCTCCTTTTTATCTTGGTCATTATTTCAACCCAGCTAGAATCATATCTGGCCCAGATTACTGCATTAGTTCCTAGTTGGAGTCCTTTAAACTATCTTTTTTAAACAAAGATGGCTGAACAGGTGGCTCCTGCCTGTAATCCAAGCACTTTGGGAAGCTGAGGCAGGAGGATCACTTGAGGCCAAGAGTTCAAGACAAGCCTGGGCATCAGAGTGAGACCCCCATCTCTACAAAAAAAAAATTAAAATTAGCTGGGTAAAGGAAATAATGTATACAGTGGTCCATTTCCAAGACAAAGTGCCTTAAATCAGATTAGGTCAGCAAACTACAGAAGAAACAGGGTATACACGGCTCAGCATGGTGACTCACGCCTGCAATCCCAGCACTTTGGGAGGCCAAGGCGGGTGGATCATGAGGTCAGGAGATCAAGACCATCCTGGCTAACACGGTGAAACCCCGTATCTACTAAAAATACAAAGAAAAATAGCTGGGCGTGGTGGCGGGCGCATGTAATCCAAGCTACTCAGTAGGCTGAGGGAGGAGAATGGCAAGAACCTGGGAGGCAGAGGTTGCAGTGAGTCGAGATTGCGCCACTGCACTCCCACCTGGGCGACAGAGCAAGACTCCATCTTAAAAAAACAAACAAAAAAGACACCTAAAGCCCCTATCCAACAACCAATAGGTGACATCCAGGAAGATTGTGACCCCATAGTACTCAGCCTATGTATGAGGAAGCGGGAGGGACCTGCACACAAGAGGATAAATTGCTTGTTGAAACTGTTATGAGTGTGCCTGCCTATCAGACACCCAATCCTGCAAGACCATCGTTAAAAGTCTTACTTTCGCTGTTCTCTGGGTATCTGAGTCCATTCTTTGTGTTTGGACAGGTGAGTTTGTTTCTGACACTGGGCATGGTGGTGCAACCTCCACCTCCCAGGTTCAAGTGATTCTCCCTTCTTCAGCCTCCCGAGTAGCTGGGACTACAGGCACCCGCCACCATGCCCAGCTAATTTTTGTATTTTTAGTAAAGGGGTTTCACCGTGTTGGCCATGCTGGTCTTCAGCTCCTGATCTCAGGTGATCTGCCTGCCTCAGGCTCCCAAAGTGCTGGGATTACAGGTGTGAGCCACCGCTCCTGGTCCAGTTGTGAAGTCTTATACAGAGTATCAATCAGTCGATGTTATTCCTGGTTTTGAATGTATTTGTTTTACTTCAAGAGTAAGTTGCTGGGCACGGTTGATCATGCCTCTAATCCCAGCATTTTGGGAGGCTGAGGCAGGTGGATCACTTGAGGTCAGGAGTTTGAGACCAGCCTGGCCAACATGGTAAAATGCTGTCTCTACTAAAAATACAAAAATTAACCAGGCACGGTGGTGGGTGCCTGTAATCCCACCTACTCGGGAGAGTTTGAGGCAGGAGAATCACTTGAACCCAGGAGGCGGAAGTTGCAGTGAGCTGAGATCATGCCACTGCGCTCCAGCCTGGGGGATAGAGTGACACTCTGTCTCCAGGAAAAAAAAAAAGAAGGGAAGTTGTATCTAGAGGAATTAAATGAAATTTGATGCTAAGAGATAAAGGGAGAAAATTGAGAGTGTAAAAAAGCAACATTTAAAGAGTTTAGCTGGTGTTTTTATCAGAAATAGTGTTTCTTGGACTCTTCTCCATTAAAAAAGTGGCCAGGTATAGTGACTCATTCCTGTAATCCTAACAATTTGAGAAGCCAAGGCAGGAGAAATTCTTGAGACCAGGAGATCAAGACCCAGCCTGGGCAACATAGCAAAACTCCATTGCTCCAAAAGGATGTTTTTCAGATTAGCCGAGTGCAGTGGCACACACCTGTAGTCCCAACTACTTGGGAGGCTGAGGTGTGAGGATCACTTGAGCCCAGGAGGCAGAGGTTACAGTGAGCCAAGATCTCACCACTGCACTCCAGCCTGGGTGATAGAGCAAGGCCCTGGCTCTAAAGGAAATTTTAAAGATTGCCCTTGGAATTAAGATTAATATGTATTCCCTGTGATTTCCAGGGTATTAAGAAAAAAAAAAAAGGAGGCAGAAAGACAGAGAAGAAGAAAAAGGAAAATTTGAGCAAGAATGGAAGAAGGGCTGGGTGTGGTGGCTCATGCCTATAATTTCAGCACTTTGGGAGGCCTAGACGGGCGGATCACCTGAGGTCAGGAGTTCGAGACCAGCCTGACCAACATGGCGAAACCCCATCTCTACTAAAAATACAAAAATTAGCAGGGCATGGTGGCGGGCACCTGCAATCCTAGCTACTCGGGCGGCTGAGGCAGGAGAATCACTTGAACACAGGAGGCGGAGGTTGCAGTGAGCTGAGATCATGCCATTGCACTCCAGCCTGGGCGACAGAGCAAGACTGTCTCAAAAAAAAAAAAAAAGTTTTCTGAGCCCGGGTGTAGTGTTTCATGCCTATAATCCCAGCACTTGGGGAGGCTGAGGCAGGCAGATCATTTGAGGTCAGGAGTTTGACACCAGCCTGGCCAACATGGTGAAATCCCATCTCTACTAAAAAATACAAAAATTAGTTGGGCATGGCAGTGAGTGCCTGTAATCCTAGCTGCTTGGGAGGCTGAGGAAGGGAGAATCACTTGAACCCGGGAGGTGGAGGTTGCAGTGAGCCGAGATCGCGCCATTGCTCTCCAGCCTGTGTGACGAGTAAAACTCTGTCTCGAAAAAAAATAAAAATAAGTCAGTAAAATAAATAAAAATACAAAAATTAGCTGGGCATGGTAGTGGGTGCCTGTAATCCCAGCTACTTGGAAGGCTGAGGCAGGAGAATCACTTGAACTCAGGAAATGGGAGGTTGCAGTGAGCCAAGATAGCTCCATTGCACTCCAGCCTGGGCAACAAGAGTGAAACTCCGTCTCAAAAAAAAAATTTAAAAAAAAAAATATATATATAATATATAATATATACTTATATATAATATATATATATATATATATATATAGTGAGAGAGAGACAGAGAAAGTTTACCTCTACTTGATGAGCCAAGTCTCTTCAGTGTGTGAAAAATAAATGCTTTTTTTTCCAGCCACCCCAGACCTCTGGGAAAGGACCCTGGAGCTGTGCCCAAGCATCCCAGCCTTTGCCCTCAATTGCAAACAGAGTGGAGTGTCTCTTAGCTAAGAAGTTTGTGCTGCTCAAGGGTTTGCACAAATACAAAGTTGAGAAATACTCCTTGCTGAAAGGGGTGTAAAAGGCAAAGGACAAACCGGTTGTCCTCTGAAGTGGAGACATTTCTATTCTATGTTGGGCTATGATCTTGGAGAATGCAGGCAAGGAACGAGTTTCGCTGGTTTTTCAGTGAGAGACCCCTTGTAGTAAGAGAGGCTCTTCTCTCTCTACCTGGTGAGTTATTTCACCTCTTTGGTACCCATTTCCTCATGTTTAAACTTAGGAGTGAAACCACACGTCCCCTAAGATCCTTTTCTCTTAGCTGTTCTGTGAGTTAATTAATGAGATTTGTTTTCCCATTAGCATATATCCAAAAAGGTAGTCAGGGTAGGTTTTTCATGTTTCCTGGAACCTTGTAATTGCCCCAAATGAAGTGGGAGTATTTGGAGGAGAAGCCCTTCCTTGCTTCCTTTATTTCATTTTTAGAGACAAAATCTCTCTGTCACCCAGGGTGGAGAGCAATGGTGCAGTCCTGGCTCACTGCAACCTCCAATTCTTGGCCTCAAGTAATCCTCCCATCCCAGCCTCTGGAGTAGCTGGGACAACAGGCTAACACCACCATGCCCAGCTAATTTTTTTTTTTTTTTTTTGAGACCGAGTCTCACTCTGTCGACCAGGCTGGAGTGCAGTGGCGTGATCTCGGCTCACTGCCTCACTACAAGCTCCACCTCCCGGGTTCAGGCCATTCTCCTGTCTCAGCCTCCTGAGTAGCTGGGACTACAGGCACCCGCCACCATGCCCAGCTAATTTTTTGTATTTTTAGTAGAGACAGGGTTTCACCGTGTTAGCCAGGATGGTCTCGATCTCCTGACCTCGTGATCCACCCATCTCGGCCTCCCAAACTGCTGGGATTACAGGCGTGAGCCACCGCACCCGGCCGACCAGCTAATTTTTAAAATTATTTTGTAGAGACAGGGTCTCACTATGTTGCTCAGGCTGGCCTCAAACTCCTGGCCTCAAGTGATCCTTCTGCTGCAGCCTCCCAAAGTGCTGGGATTACAGGCATGAGACATTGTGCCTGGCCCTTCATTGCTTTTTAATTACCTTAATTTTTTGAATATCTTTAGAACTACAGTGGTTTTGTCTTTTGAGGCTAGAGTTGATTTCCATAAATAGTCATTTTGAGCCAGGTCTTTTGAATAAAGTGAGTGGTCAGAGATGAAGCCACAACTTTGGCGAAAACAGTTTCCCAAGGATTATGCCATGAACTCTAAAATGCTGTGTGCCAGTCACTGGGCCACAGTTCACTCCTCTTGCCAAATTCAGAATTGCAAATGAAAACTTTATTTCATTTTATTTTATTTATTTAATTTTTTTAGACAGAGTCTCGCTCTGTCACACAGGCTGGAGTGCAGTGGTGTGATCTCAGCTCACTGCAACCTCCGCCTCCCGGGTTCAAGAGATTCTCCTGCCTCAGCCTCCCATGTAGCTGGGATTACAGGCATGTAATGCCCAGCTAATTTTTGTACTTTATTTATTTATTTATTTATTTATTTATTTATTTATTGAGATGGAGTCTTGCCCTGTCACCCTGGCTGGAGTGCAATGGTGCGATCTCAGCTCACTGCAACCTCCACCTCCTGGGTTCAAGTGATTCTCCCTGCCTCTGACTCCTGAGTAGCTGGGATTACAAGTGCCCACCACCACACCCGGCTAATTTTTGTATTTTTTGTAAAGACAAGGTTTCACCATGTTGGCCAGGCTGGTCTCGAACTCCTGATCTCAAGTGATCCGCCTGCCTTGGCCTCCCAAAGTGCTAGGATTAGAGGCATGAGACACTGCACCCGGCCTAATTTTTGGACTTTTAGTAGATACGGAGTTTCACCATGTTGGTCAGGCTGGTCTCCAACTCCTGACCTCAAATGATCTGCCTGCCTTGGCCTCCCAAAGTGCTAGGATTACAGGCATGAGCCATTGTGCCCAGCTGATTTTTTCTGATATCAAAGGAATCACCAAGGTCTTCCCTTTCTTTTGATTCATTTATTTTCTTGGTTCTGAAATATTTTTTAAAATATGGAATGCTTCATGAATTTGTTTGTCATCCTTTCACAGGGACCATGCTTATCTTCTCCATGTCATGCCACCTTTTGTATATGTGCTGCCGAAGTGAGCACTGGTTCTGGATTGATTGATTGATTTGTTTGTTTGTCTGTTTTTGAGACAGGGTTTCACTGTGTCTTCCAGGCTGGAATACTGTGGTATTATCGTGGCTCACTGCAACCTCTGCTCCCCAGGGCTCAAGCAGTCCTCCTGCCTGGGCCTCCCAAAGTGTTGAGATTACAGGCATGAGCCACTGTGCCCAGCCTGGAATGTTTAACTGCTGACTTTGATGCCTGGTTTTGGTTGTACTAGACACTCCCACTACTTTTTTCTTTAAAAATTACTGGTTTCTTTAGCTCCTTAAAAAGATCTTTGGTGTTTTATATATCAAAATATGTGAGGCCAGGTGTGGTGGCTCATGCCTGTAATCCCAGCATTTGAGGAAGCCAAGGTGGGAGGATCTCTCGAGCCCATGTGTTCAAAACCAGTCTGGACAACATAGTGAGACCCCTGTCTGTATAAGAACTAAAAAATTAGCTGGGCACGATGGTGCACGCATGTAGTCCCAGCTCTTGGAAGGCTGAGGCAGGAAGATCGCTTAAGCCCAAGAGGGTGAGGCTTTAGTGAGCCATGATCATGTCACTGCAGTCCAGCTTGGGTGACAGAGTGAGACCCTGTCTCAAAAAAAAAAGAGTAATAATTGCAGAAACATTTTCTATGCTCCAGATTACTTTAAAAATTAGACCTAATCTTGGCCAGCCATGGTGGCTTATGCCTGTAATCCCAGCACTTTAGGAGACCAAGGCAGGTGGATCACTTGAGGTCAGAAGTTGGAGACCAGTCTGGCCAACATGATGAAAGCCTGTGGGTGAAAGTAAAGTTGGGTGCGGTGGCTCTCCCTGGATTCCTTGATGCTTTTAATACCCTGAGTCCTCTACCCCACTCTGAGCCACACTGACACTTGTGCACCAAGGTGCGTGGTGTGGCCCCAGTGCCCACAGGATCGCTTGTAAGAACTGCTCCTTCAGCCCCCACCTGTGGCCTTTCCTCCAGGGTGAAGTCTGGTTCCTGATGTTCACGCCATGCTCCTTCTCACCAGGGTGCACGGGCATCACTGCCTACAAAACATTTGATTGAAACCTGTTCCTCGTGGGGCCACCTCACCTGTCCAGGATGGCTTTCTCTGAAGTCAGTTCTCCCACCACAGTGGAGGTAAAGAAAATTATGAAAATTGGCCAGGCACGGTGGCTCACGCCTGTAATTCCAGCACTTTGGGAGGCCGAGTGGGGCAGATCACTCAAGGTCAGGAGTTCGAGACCAGCCTGGCCAACATGGCAAAACCTGGTCTCTAATAAAAATACAAAAAATTAGTCAGGCATAGTGGTGTGCGCCTGCAATCCCAGCTTCTCAGTAGGCTGAGTCAGAAGAATTGCTTGAGCCTGGGAGGTAGAGGTTGCAGTGAGCTGAGATCATGTCACTGCACTCCAGCCTGTGCGACAGAGCAAGAGACTCTGCCTCAAAAAAAAAAGAAAAGAAAAGAAAAAGAAAATTATGAACACTCTCTCTTGAATAGATGGGCATCTCCTGAACAGGGAGGTGCTTGAGGGGAGGTCCTGGCAGGTGGCACAGGGAATCCTGGCAGAACAGCAGCTGGGACTTCAGTGTATTCAGTGTCTGGACCACAATGGTTCCCTTTGTCACAAGTATCCATCTACATTCACTGACTTATATGGGGGAACCTGGGGAAAAACCAATGATATGGTTTGGCTGTGTCCCCACCCAAATCGCTTCTTTAATTTTAGCTCCCATAATCCCCACATGTTGTGGCAGGGACCCAGTAGGAGGTAATTGAATCATGGGAGTGCGTTTTTCCCATGCTGTTCTCATTGATAGTGAATAAGTCTCAGGAGATCTGTTAGTTTTATAAAAGGGCAGTTTCCCTGCACATGCTTTCTTGCCTGCCACCATGGAAGATGTGCTTTTGGTCTTCCTTTGCCTTTGGTCACAATTGTGAGGCCTCCCCAGCCATGCTGAACAGAGAGTCCATTAAACCTCTTTCCTTTATAAATTACCCAGTCTCAGGTATGTCTTTGTTAGCAGCGTGAGAACAGACGAATACAATCAACTTCAATAGCTTAAGTAGGTCTAGCCACCACTCCAGAAGAGATACAGGATTATAAACCATGGTGGCATCCACACAGTGCTAACTCAGCATATGTGCAGAGTATATGAACTGTGGGGCTATGGTGGGCTCCACCTAGATTTCTTTCTTTTTTTTTTTTTTTTTTTTTTGAGATAGAGTCTTGCTCTGTTGCCCAGGCTGGAGTGCAGTGGCGTGATCTCAGCTCACACTGCAAGCTCCACCTCCCGGGTTCACGCCATTCTTCTGCCTCAGCCTCCCAAGTAGCTGGGACTACAGGTGCCCGCCACCACGCCCGTCTAATTTTTTGTATTTTTAGTAGAGACGGGGTTTCACTGTGTTAGCCAAGATGGTCTCGATCTTCTGACCTCGTGATCCACCCGCCTCGGCCTCCCAAAGTGCTGGGATTACAAGCATGAGCCATGGCGCCCAGCCCTCCACCTAGATTTCAAAACATGTGTTGAACAGCTGGGCGCCCCAGGCAGAAGTTTGTCACAGAGGTGGAGCTCATGCCTGTAATCCCAGCACTTTGGGAGGCCGAGGAGGGCGGATCACGAGGTCAGGAGATCGAGACCATCCTGGCTAACATGGTGAAACCCCATCTCTCCTAAAAAAAGTACAAAAAATTAGACGGGCATGGTGGCGGGCACCTGTAGTCCCAGCTACTCAGGAGGCTGAGGCAGGAGAATGGCCTGAACCCAGGAGGCGGAGCTTGCAGTGAGCTGAGATATAGCCACTGCACTCCAGCCTGGGCGACAGAGCAAGACTCCATCTCAAAAGAAAAAAAAAAAAACTTAGCTGGGTGTGATGGCGGGCCCCTGTAATCCCAGCTACTCAGGAGGCCAAGGCAGGAGAATCGCTTGAAATCAGGAGGTGGAGGTTGCAGTGAGCCGAAATTGTGCCATTGCACTACAGCCTGGGCAACGAGCGAAACTCCGTCTCAAAAAAAAAAAAAAAGTGGCCAGGCGTGGTGGCTCATGCCTGTAATCCCAGCACTTTGGGAGGCCGAGGCGGGTGGATCACGAGGTCAGGATATTGAAACCATCCTGGCTAACATGGTGAAACCCCGTCTCTACTAAAAATACAAAAAATTAGCTGGGTGTGGTGATGGGAACCTGTAGTCCCAGCTACTCTGGAGGCTGAGGCAGGAGAATGGCGTGAACCCGGGAGGCCGAGCTTGCAGTGAGCCGAGATCGTGCCACTGCACACCAGCCTGGGCGACAGAGTGAGACGCCATCTCAAAAACAAAAACAAAGAAAGAAAATATCTGCCTTATATCTGTCCTACCATTATATTTTGGAGGCACCTTTTTTTTTTTTTTAATTTCACAGGCTCACAGCTGTTGCCTCAGAATGAATTGTGCCGTGGGTCTCACCCATATCTGATTTAGATGAGACTCTGAACTTTAAACTTTTGAGTTGGTCCTGAAACAAATTAAGACTTTTGGAGCTATTGGGATGGAATGAATGTATTTTGCAGGTGAGAAGAACATGAATTTGGGTGGTTGGGGCAGAATGCTATGGTTTGAATGTATCCTCCAAAGTTAATGTGTTGGAAACTTAATCCCCAATGCAACAATGTTGAGCGGTGCAACCTTTAAGAGATAATTAGGTCAGGAAGACTTTGCCTTCAGGAATGGATTAATGTCGTTATTGTGGGAGTGGGGTTCATTATGATGCGAGTGAGTTTCTTATGAAGGATGAGTTCTGCCCCCTTCCTGCTCTCTCTCACCATGTGATACTTTCTGCCATTGTCTGATATAGCAAGAAGGCCCTCACCAGATGTAGCCCCTCTACTCAGACTTCCCAACCTCCAGAACCCTGAGTCAAATAAATTTCTGTTCATTATAAATTACCTGTTATAGCAGCACAGAATGAAGACAAGTGCGTCTGAATTATTCACCCTGGAGAGAAGAAACTGGTTTAAAAAACGCAGATTTTTTAGTGTCTCCCAGAGCTCTGAATCTAAATCTCTGGATATCTAAACCTCTGGACATGTAATTTTTAACAATTTTCCTGGTGATTCTTAAGCACTTCAAATTTGAGAACTGCTGCTCTATACCCAATATCATTTTAACCTGGAAAATATGCACTCACCAACCGTTCAATGTTATTACCTGAGTTTGCCTGATCATAAAGGTCACTAGAGGGCTTAATAAAAAACCAAACACCGAATGTTCTCACTCATAGGTGGGCACTGAACAATGAGAACACATGGACACAGGAAGGGGAGCATCACACACCGGGGCCTGTTGTGGGGTGGGGGGAGGGGGGAGGGATAGCATTAGGAGATATACCTAATGTTAAATGACGAGTTAATGGGTGCAGCACACCAACATGGCACATGTATACATATGTAACAAATCTGCACGTTGTGCACATGTACCCTAAAACTTAAACTGTAATAAAAAAATAGAACTAAGAAGTTACATAGTATAATATGCCATGAAAGTAAATGTATTTAATAAGAGAAGAAATGGAAAATATCAAATAAAGCAATATAATAATTTCAAAAAATATATATATATATTTACATTCTTAGGTCGCTCTGCTGGTGGGAATCATGAATGAAACAAAGCCCAAGAATTTACATTTATTTACTTATTTGCTCTTTTTAAAATGGAGTCTCTGTCACCCAGGCTGAGGTGCAGTTGTGCGATCTCAGCTCACTGCAACCTCCACCTCCTGGGTTCAAATGATTCTCTGGCCTTAGCCTCCTGAGTGGCTGGGATTACAGATGCCCGCCAACATGCCCAACTAATTTTTGTATTTTTAGTAGAGACAGGGTTTCACAATGTTGGCCAGGCTGGTCTCAAACTCCTAACCTCAGGTGATCCACCCAACTTGGCCTCCCAAATTTCTGGGATTCGAGGTGTGAGCCACCATGCCCAGCCAAGAATCTACATTTAAATGCAGTTGTTAAATGTTCTTCTAAGTAACTGTGTACACATTTATCTATTTTGTGGAATTACTGGAAGATAGATCACTTACATTTTGGATAGCTTTAGCCCAGTATGATAATTTTAGTTTTTGAATAGCAGTTTATTTTAAGCCATTGCTTCCAGAAGAATTTAATCTGATCCAATGTTGCATTTTTCTTTCACCCATAGAGACAAGAATGAAGATAATAGCTATAGCATTTATTGAACATTAACTATGTGCCTGTCACCATGTAACTGATTCTCCTCAAACCCTCAGAGGCATGGACCACTGTACTACTGCCATCCCCATTTTATGGAGAAGATACTGAGGCAAAGGGGAGTTAAGTACCTTGCTAGGCACAGGCAGTTATTAACGCGGTAGAGCTGGGATTCCAAACCATTCTTGTAAGCAACGCAACACTGCGTCTCTGGACTTAATCCAGACAAATTTCTCTGATGCTTAAAAGTTGCCTGCATTAAATGCGCTTTTGTGAAATTCCTTCCTTCCTTCCTTCTTTTTTTTTTGTTTTTTTTTTGAGATAGAGTCTCTCTCTGTCACCCAGGCTGGAGTGCAATGGCACAAACTCCGCTTACTGTAACCTCCACCTCCTGGTTCAAGTGATTCTCCTGCCTCAGCCTCCCGAGTAGCTGCAATTATGGGTGCCCACCACTACACCCGGCTAATTTTTGTATTTTTAGTAGAGACAGTGTTTCATCTTGTTGGCCAAGCTGGTCTCAAACTCATGGCCTCAGGTGATCTGCCTGCTTTGGCCTCCCAAAGTGCTGGGATTACTGGCGTGAGCCACCACACCCGGCCAAAATATATTTCTTATATAAAAGAGAAAGTTTTCCTTGTGTTGTGTTCTACTCATGGTTAAAAGGTTCCTAAAATGGGCCTTGTTGTTTTCTCTTCTTCTTCTTCTTCTCTAGAGCAGCTAGAAAGAAAGACACTTGTTCTTAACCCAAAGAGGCCTCTTCTAAAAATGTTTTCTATATTGGTGAGACTAATTAAACTGGAAAAGTTCATCAACTAAATGATGAAACAAGGTAAAGCCTTTTGTTAATTATTTTTGAATAATTTATTCCTGGCCTGCCACCGTGGCTCACGCCTATAATCCCAGCATTTTGGGAGGCTGAGGTGGGAGGATCACGAGGTCAAGAGATCGAGACCATCCTGGCCAACATGGTGAAATCCTGTCTCTACTAAAAGTACAAAAATTAGCTCAGTGTGGTGGCACATGCCTGTAATCCCAGCTACTCGAGGGGCTAAGAAGGGCACTTGAACCTGGGAGGTAGAGGTTGCAGTGAGCTGAGATGGTGCCACTGCACTCTAGCCTGGTGATAGAGTGGGACTCCGTCTCAAAAAAAAAATTATTCCTGGGCTCCGTATGACTTGTTGAGGAATTGCAAGATACTGGGAAGTCTCTAATTAGGGAGTTTTAGAATAAACAGAAGTATAAACATTCATAGGAGTTAGATTTGAAGACAACTGCTTTTAACACACAGACCCACCAGGAAGTGAGCATCTTGGTGGGGGTTATTTATTATGTGTTTTACTTTGAACAGAGAACATGCACGTTCATTAGCTCAAAAGTGTTCTTGTCCTCGCATAGTGAAGGAAATGTGTGCAAGATAAGGATGAATGTGGCATGCAGGGAGATCCAGGCACGGCTGGCATTTGGCTTTGCTGATGGCTGCAATGTGGACTGTGGACTGTGGGCAAATTAACTCACCACTTTTTGAATGGCCTTTAGAGAGGAAATCCTAAAAAGATTCCAGGACCTGCAGCAGCCACACAGGAGATTGAGTATTCAAGGGAATAGAATGCTGGAGAACACAGAGACAGTTAGGTTAACTAAAGAAGATGAAAAATTAGTCTGGGCTCAGTGCTTCATACTTGTAATCCCAACACTGTGGGAGGCTGAGGCAGGAGCATCACTTGAGCCCAAAAGGTTGAGGCTGGCCTGAGTGACATAGTGAGACCCCCATCTCTACAAAAAATAAAAAGAAATCAATTGGGTACGGTGGCATGCACATGCGGTCACAGCTACTCGGGAGGCTGAGGTGGGAGAATTGCTTGAGCCTGGGGAGGTGAGACCCTGTCGAGGAGGAAGAGGAGGAGGGGGAAGAAGAGGAGGAAGAAAAAATAGAAGAAGAGCTGGGTGTGGTGGCTCATGCCTGTAATCCCAGCACTTTCGGAGGCCGAGGTGGGCAGATCATGGTCAACAGATGAAGACCATCCTGGCCAACATCATGAAACCCCATCTCTAATAAAAATACAAAAATTAGCTGGGCGTGGTGGCATGTGCCTGTAGTCCCAGCTACTCAGGAGGTTGAGGCAGGAGAATCACTTGAACCCAGGAAGCAGAGGTTGCAGTGAGCTGAGATTGTGCCACTGCGCTCCAGCCTGGTGACAGAGGGAGACTCCATCACTAAAAAAAGAAAGAAGAAGGAGAAGGAGAAGGAGTAGGAGAAGAAGAAGAAGAAGAAATGGTCTCTGAGCAGCCATGAAGAGTAGGAAGATAACCCAACCTACCTCTCGCTGGGTCTATGGGGAAAATATTGATTAAGGCAGAGCAGGTCTTCAGAGAGAGACTAGGTTTGGTGAGTAAGAGATTCGAAAAGCTAGAAGGGAATGAGGATATTTAAGTTACTCTTATTGCATAATATATAACCCCAAAACTTTGGGTGCTTAAAATCATCTTTTTTTTTTCATGGTTCTGGGAGTTGACTGGGTTCAGGTAGGTGATTTTCACTCGGGGTGTCTCATGCTGTTGCAGTGGCTGGGGCTGGAGTCTTCACAAAGCCTTCTTCAGTCCCATGTCTGGCAACTGATGTTGGCTGTCATCTGAAACCTGTGCTGGGACTGTTGATTGGAACATCAAAATGTGGCCTCTCCCTGTGATCTGGGCTTCCTCACAGCATGGTGGCTGGGTTCAAAGAGCAAGCATCCCAGGAAGACCATGGAGAAAAGGTGTCCCCTTTTATGAGCTACCTTGAATCACTTCTGCCAGTCACAGACCTTCTTGAATTCAAGGGGGAGGAGCACAGACCTGACCTCACCATGGGAGCAATGTTAAAGTTATGTTGAAGAAGAGCACATGCTATTATTATTATTATGTCTTGCTCTGTCACCCAGGCTGGAGTCCAGTTGTGCAATCTCGACTCACTGCAACTTCCACCTCCCAGATTCAAGTGATTCTCCTGCCTCAGCCTCCCGAGTAGCTGGCATTACAGGCACATGCCACCATGCCCAGCTAATTTTTGCACTTTTAGTAGAGATAGGGTTTCCCCATGTTGGCCAGGCTGGTCTCAAACTCCTGACCTCAGGTGATTCACCTGCCTAGGCCTCCCAAAGTGCTGGGATTACAGGTGTCAGCCACCACACCTAGCACATGCTATTAGTAAAAAGTCAGAAAACAGTCAGGTGAGATGGCTCGCACCTGTAACCTTGCACTTTGAGAGGCTGAGGTGGGCAGATAACTGGAGGTCAGGAGTTCGAGACCAGCCTCGGCAACATAATGAGACCCCCATCTCTATACAAATAAAAAATTGAAAGTCAGAAAAAAAAAGATGTTGGTGAGGATTCAGAGAAAAAAGGAACGCTTATACACCGTTGGTGGGAATGTAAATTAGTACAACCATTACAGAAAACAGTAGGGAGATTTCTCAAAAAACTAAAAATAGAACTGCAATCCAACCAGCAATCTCACTACTAGATATCTACCCAAAGGGAAAGAAATCAATATATCAAAAAGTACCTGTACTCATATGTTTATCACAGCACTATTCATAGTAGCAAAGATATGGAATCAACCTAAGTGTCCATCAACAGATGATTGGATAAAGAAAATATGGTACATGTACACCACGGAACATGACCTAGCCACATAAAGAATGAAATCGTGTCTTTTGCATCACTGTGGATAGAACTGGAGGCCATTCTCCTCAGTGAAATAATTCAGAAACAAAGTCAAATACTGAATGTTCTCATACATGGGAGTTAAACAATAGGTACACATGAGGAGCAACAGATATTGGAGACTCCAAAAGATGGGAGGATGGGAGGAGGGTGAGGGGTGAAAATTTCCTATTGAGTACAATGTTCACTATTTGAATCATGGCTACACACAAAGCCCAGACCTCAGCACTCCACAATATATGCATATAGCACTCCACAATATTTGCCCCTGGTCCAGTTGTGAAGTCTCATACAGAGTATCAATCAGTCAATGTTCTCCCTTGGTTTTGAATGTATTTCTTTTACTTCAAGAGTAAGTTGTCAAGTGTGGTGGCTCACACCTGTAATCCCAGCACTTTGGGAGGCCGAGGCGGGCAGATCACTTGAGGTCAGGAGATCAAGACCAGCCTGGCCAACATGATGAAAACCTGTCTTTACTAAAAATACAAAAATTAGCCAGGCATGGTGGCAGGCACCTGTAGTCTCAGCTACTCAAAGGCTGAGGCAGGAGAATCTCTTCAACCTGGCTGATGGAGGTTGCAGTGAGTCAAGATCACACCACTGCACTCCAGCCTGCGTGACAGAGCTAAAAAAAAAATTTATAAAAATAAAACTAAATAAATAAAAATTGTAAAAAAAGCACACGGGATGGCAGAACTTGTTGCAGCCACCTTGGAATATAGAATTTGCCACAGAGGGCAAGTAGAAAAGTATGTCAGAGTTTAAGATTTCAGAAATCTAGCCATCCAAAAGGATCATAAGAGCCATTCCTGTGGCGGCTTTGGGGAGTGGATGCAAAGGTCATCAGAGCTGAGAAAGACGTGGGATGATGAGTCAGGCGAATTGCATGCTCATCCACATGGATGCTGACATCCTCAGGAAAGCAGAAGGACTTCAGATAACAGAGGGCAAAACACGATTTCATTCTTTTTTTTTTTTTTTTTTTTTTTTTTTAGAGACAGGGTCTTTCTCTGTCACCCAGGCTGGAGTGCAGTGGCATGATCATAGCTCACTGTAGCCTTGAACTCCTGGGCTCAAGTAATCCTTCTGCCTTGGCCTCCTGAATAGTTAGGGCTACAGTGTGTGCCACCACGCCTGGCTAATGTTGTATTTTTATTTTTTGTAGAGATGGGGTCTTGCTATGTTGCCCAGGCTGGTTGATAACTCCTGGCCTCAAGCGATTCTCCCACATTGGCCTCCCAAAGCATTGGGATTACAAGCGTGAGCCACTGTGCTCTGCCTCAAAACACTCTTTTAAAAGCTTTTGTTTTTTTTTTTCTGTAGTGGTGAAATAATTAACCTCTGTGGTGAGGACTTCCTTTTTATTTGGGAAAAGATATTTGCTGTGGGCCTATTGTTTCTGCAAAAATACTAGTAGCTAACATTTTTTGAGTGTCCATTCATTCATTCATTCATTCAAAATATATATATGGGGGCCAGACATGGTGGCTCACACCTGTAATCCCAAGGCCAAAGCGGGTGGATCACCTGAGGTCAGGAGTTCGAGACCAGCCTGACCAATATGGTGAAACCCCATCTCTACTAAGTACAGAAAAAAAAAAAAAAAAAAGCCAGGCGTGGTGGTGCATGCCTGTAATCCCAGCTACTTGGGAGGCTGAGGCAGGAGAATCACTTGAACATGGGAGGTGGAGGTTGCAGTGAGTCGAGATTGCATCATTGCCCTCCAGCCTGGGCAACAAGAGCAAAACTCTGTCTCAAATTTAAAAATAAAAATAAAAATAAGTGAGGGCTTATGAGGCATCAAAGGTCATTTATAGAATGTTGTTAGCAATTTAATTCATGATAGCTAAAAATGGGCCAGATGTCCATCCGTAGTAGAATGGACACGTAAAATTGTGGATATCTAATATAATGGACTATTATACAGTAATGAAAAATAACAATCACTATTCACAATAGCATGGGTAAACCTCCCAGACCTATTGATGAAAGAAGCCAGATGATCAAGAGATCTCATCAACTGAGTAAAGGAATCTATAAGAAGGGAAGTTGCAGGAGTCTACTTAGATTTATTAAAATCATTAGGGATGTAGAGTGAGGTTTTTGTTTTTTGTTTTTGTTTCTTAATCAGTGTGTCATTCTGTCATCCAGGCTGGAGTGCAGTGGGGCAACGTTGGCTCATTGCAGCCTCAATCCACACCCCTGCCCCAAGCCCTCTGGGCTCAGTCAGTCCTCCCAAGTAGCTGGAACAACAGGCATGCACCACACCTTGCTAATTTTGTATATATTTTTGCAGAGACCAGGGCTCCCTATGTTGCTCAGGCTGGTCTTGAACTGCTGGCCTCAAGCAATCCTCCTGCCTCAGCCTCTCAAAGTGTTGTGAGCCACCCCACCTGGGCAGAGCAAGGATGTTTTTGAGGACTGTGGTAGATAGCTTCCTCATATTCATGTCCTGTGTAATCCTCTCCCTCTGAGCATGGGCTGGACCTAGGGACTATTTTCTTTTTCTTTCTTTCTTTCTTTTTTTTCTTCTTTTTTTGAGATGGAGTTTTTCCTTGTAAGCCAGGCTGGAGTGCAATGGTGTGAGCTTGGCTCACTGCAACCTCCACCTCCCAGGTTCAAGTGATTCTCATGCCTCAGCTTCCCAAGTAGCTGGGTTTACAGGCATGTGCCACCGCATCCGGCTAATTTTTGTATTTTTAGTAGAGACGGGGTTTCACCATGTTGGTCAGCTGGTCTCGAACTCCTGACCTCAGGTGCTCTACCCACCTCGGCCTCCCAAAATTCTGGGATTACAGGTGTGAGCCACCATGACTGGCTGGACCTAGAGACTATTTTCTAAGTAGCAATAGACTTCGTAAAAGTGATGGGATGTCACTTCTGGGATTAGGTTTCAAAAAAGGACTGTGATCTCACTCTCATTTTCTTTTTCTGTCTCTTCCTCTTTCTCCTCCCTCTCCCTGGGGTAAGCCTGCCGCTTCTTACCAAGAGGTGCAAGTGGACAGGAAATGATGTCTCCAGCCAACAGCCAGAGAGGACCTCAGGCCTGCCAGCAGCAGTGGAAGTGAGTTTGAAAGAGGATTCTGAAGCCTTGAGAGAGCTGCAGCCCTGGCTGACAGCTTGATTGTATCCTCATGAGAGCCTGAGCCAGAGGACACAGCTAACCTCACCCAGATTCCTAGCCCGTGGAAACTGTGAGGGAAAAAAAAGTTTATTGTTTATTAACTGCTAAATTTGGGGTGATTTTTACCCAACAATAGATAACGAATACAAGGATATTGCTTATTATTCAAAATCACTATATAAAGCCCCTGAAAAATTGAAAGCTGCAACCAGGGAAACACTGAAAATCTCCAAGAACCCTGTGTTTCTTCTTAAAGACAGTGAGAAAAAGCACATACATCTGTTTTCCTTTTAGTTTTGGCCACCAGGAAGCTCAGAGCCAAATTTATGATGCAATTTTAATAACTATGTAAGCCCCTATGGCCTGCTTATCTGTGTTCTTATTCCTGGCCTTTCATTTTATTCTGACTTTTCTTTTTCTTCGTCCTGATTGTATTAGCTCATCTTTATTTTTCTATATTATATGAGTTATGGTAAGCAACTTCAAATTCAGCTTACGGAAAAGCAAGGCATTCGTAAATCTCTCTTTTTTTTTTTGAGACTCTTACTCTATCGCCCAGGCTGGAGTGCAGTGGCACGATCTTGGCTCACTGCAACCTCCACCTCCCGGGTTCCGGCAATTCTCATGCCTCAGTCTCCCGAGTAGCTGGGATTACAGGCGCCCACCACGACACCGGGCTAATTTGTTTTTGTTTGTTTTTTGTATTTTTAGTAGAGACGCGGTTACGCCATGTAGGCCAGGCTGGTCTCGAACTCCTGACCTCAAGTGATCCACCTGCCTCGGCCTCCCAAAGTGTTGGGATTACGGGTGTAAGCCACTGTACCCGGTCCATAAATCATTTTTTAAAAATAGTTTTTAAATTTAAAACATAGTTTTGCACATTAAAAAAAAAGTTTTGCACAGGTCTAACCGAAGGTGGTGGTGGGAAGATCAGGTCATAGGTGTGGGTCTCTGGAGCTCCAAGCATTGGCCAGGGTTGATTTGGATTGGGTCAGAAATATACAACGAAAAAGGGAAAAAGGATGGCAATTGATTGCCATCCCCAGAGGGAGGGGCCGAGGGTTCGCCCAGTCACCCACAGTGGCATCCTTGCAATGTGCTAGTTAGACCGCTCCTTTAAGTCCCTCCCGCACTGGCCCGCTCGGCCCCGCCCCTCTCTGGCTCCGCCCCTCCCCACCCCTGCCCCGCCCATCCCCACCCCTGCCCCACCCCTTTCTCCCCCGGGCTCCACCCCTCGCGCGCGACCGGCCGCGCGGCGCAGCGCCACGCCGCCTCAGTCTCCGCCCGCCGATCCGGCCTCTTCGGCCGTTGCGCACTCCACCCCCTCCCTCCGCGCCCGCGCGCGCCTTCCCCGCCCCGTCCGCCTCACTCCTTTTGGGGCGGTTGGGCCGCGCGCCTGTGGGGGCGGGGCCCGGAGCAGGCCACCGAGCCAATGGGGCGCGGCGGCGGCGGCGGCGGTGGTGGCGGCGGCGGCGGAGGCGGCGGTGGCGGCGGTGGCGGCTGGGTCGGGCCCCGACGGGCGGCGGCGGCTGAGGTGGAGGCGGAGGGAGGCGGCGGCGGCGGCGGCGGGAAGATGGCGGCTCCCGTCCTGCTAAGAGTGTCGGTGCCGCGGTGGGAGCGGGTGGCCCGGTATGCAGTGTGCGCTGCCGGAATCCTGCTCTCCATCTACGCCTACCACGTGGAGCGGGAGAAGGAGCGGGACCCCGAGCACCGGGCCCTCTGCGACCTGGGGCCCTGGGTGAAGTGCTCCGCCGCCCTTGCCTCCAGGTAGCCGGCTTGGGGGAGTGGGCCAGGAGCGGCCGAGCGGGGCGAGGGTGGAGTCTCGGGGTGGGGAGCGCGCGGCGGGAGCTCAGGCCTGGGGGCGGCGGGGACCGGGCCGCTGGGGAACTGACGGGGTCGGGTCGGGGCCAGGCGGGGGGCGGCGGCGGGGCGCTCCTGCCCGGGGGGCGGCCTGAGCCCAGGCCGCGGGGCGGAGGTGGCGGGGCCGCGAGGCAGCCGGGGAGGGATGAGGTGGCAGAGTGCAGCCGGGAGGCCGGGGCGGACGCGGAGCGGTCGGGCGGGCTGGGGCCCGGCTGTGCAGGAGCGCGAGGGGGCTGCGGAGGGTGGGTCCAGGCTGGCTTGACAGGTTTCCTGGTTCTCGGGAGGCGGGCCGGGGGTGTGGGACCTTGTCCACCGCACCCTTGAGACCAGCGGCAACCTCTTGTCCCCCCGATCGCTGCAGCCGAGGCTTTGGGGCCGGCGCGGAGACAGGGGGGTTGCCTTTCCCACTGTCTTCCTGGTGCTAGGACAGGTGTTTCCGTGGTCAGGCCTCTTTGTACTCCAGCGCTAGTGAGAATTTGCAGACTTAACTGGGACGGTGACATTTGCTGGCAAACACGAATTTGACCCTACTGTGGAAGAAGATACCCGCACTTAACATATCTGATTTCTTGGATTCCCTCTCGTATGTTTCAGTGTGCCAGGAGAAGGAAATGGTCTGAGTTTGGGTCTAGTTTAAGCTTCATTGGAGTAAAGGACAAGTATGTTATGTATATGGTGGTGTTTTAGGCATTGGAATGACTTTTAAACGTTGTTGCCTATTAGCATATTCGAGACCAGCATATTGGTCAGGCTGGTCTCGAACTCCTGACCTCAGGTAATCCACCCACCTCTGCCTTCCAAAGTGCTGGGAATCAAGCATGAGCCACCGCGCCTGGCCTGCTTAAGTGCTTAAAATTGACTTTTCTTGGCCGGGCACAGTGGCTCACGCCTGTAATCCCAGCACTTTGGGAGGCCGAGGCGGGTGGATCATGAGGTCAGGAGTTCAAGACCAGCCTGGCCAACATGGTGAAACCCCGTCTCTACCAAAAATACAAAAATTAGCTGGGTGTGGTGGCATGTGCCTATAGTCCCAGCTACTCGGGAGGCTGAGGCAGGAGAATTGCTTGAACCTGGGAGGCAGAGGTTGCAGTGAGCCAAGACCACACCATTGCACCCCAGCCTGGGCAACAGAATGAGACTCCATCTCAAATAAATAAATAAAATATAAATAAATAATTTTTAAAAATTGACTTGTCTTTAAAAAAGTGTATTTAGCATACACTCTAAATATTCTCATAGTTATATCCTGCAAGAGCTGCATGTTTGTGCATAAAACATCAAGTAGTATATTAAAAGTATGTATAAGTACATGTAAGACTAAAGGTAACTGGATCTCTTTATAGTTTTAAATGTGAATTTAATATGTTGTGACTGAAAGTGATGTTTCATTGTGTAGCTGTGGACATAAAATAGTTTAACTTAGATGCTTGCCAAAGGAGGGTAGGTAAAAATAAGATTTGCTAATAAGAAGAGTAGATAACTTATTTGCCATGTATACAGTGAAATTAAGAAATTTGTTCAATTTGATCAGCCTGTTTATAAACTACTTGCAAAAATCAAGTAGCTTATAAACTACCCATTTAATAAATGAATTTACAAATCAACTTGTTTTGCAGGTAGTTTATATGCAGGCTGATCAAAATCACATATGTATATATACATATATAATCACATATATGTACATATATAGACTCATTTTCTTTTGGAAGTGTGTAGACAAAACATCATTGAAAGTTTTTATTTTGTCAAGCTGAAAGACACTTTTCTTTTTTTTTCTGAGACGGAGTCTTGCTCTGTCACACAGGCTGGAGTGCAGTGGTGCGATCTCGACTCACTGCAACCTCCACCTCCCGGGTTCACTCCATTCTCCTGCCTCAGCCTCCTGAGTAGCTGGGACTACAGGCGCCCGCCACAACGCCCTGCTAATTTTTTGTATTTTTGGTAGAGACGGGGTTTCACCATGTTAGCCAGGATGGTCTCGATCTCCTGACCTCGTGATCCGCCCTCCTCGGCCTCCCAAAGTGCTGGGATTACAGACGTGAGCCACCGCGCCTAGCCTGAAACAGACTTTAAATGAAAGCTGATTATTGGACACCTCAAGTTAGTTTTTTTTGAGTGGTGATTGCCATGTAGCAGTAGTACTCAAATATGTGACTCTTTTAGGAAAAGAAAGTTTGAGCCCAGAGGAAAGTTAACAGACAAAGATTCTGAAGAAAATCATCTTCCAGGATCCAGAGTCAGCACGTGGTTTTGGATTGCTCAAACTCACTTTATTCTCATTTCGCAAGCCCTGTGTCTTAATCCAAACACGGTAAGGTAGAGATTAATGAGAGAATCTTGAGAGGCAGGTGTTATCTGTGTGTAAAGTCCTCTATTATTTTGGGGAGGCATAATGATGGAAAGTTCCAGATTTTATATTTCTAAAGAAATATTTCACCGAAATTAGTAGGCTACAATAGAAATGCTGATTTTTCAATTCTACCATGTACAGCCAGTAAAAACAATAACACACCACTATCTCCTGTCACCATCATTTCATTTAACAAAAGGATATTTCCATTCAAACAATTTGAAAGAACAGAATCTCTCAGAATAAAATATTTTTAAATGGAATCATTTAGCTATATGGAAAAGTTTACTTTCAGACCAGCCTGGCCAACATGCTGAAACCCCGTCTCTACTAAAAATACAAAACAAGCTGGGCGTGGTAGCATGCACCTGTAATCCCAGCTACTCGGGAGGCTGAGGCAGGAGAATCACTTGAACCTGGGATGCAGAGGTTGCAGTAAGCCAAGATCGCGCCATTGCACTCCAGCCTGTGTGACAGAACGAGACTCTGTCTTTAAAAAAAAAAAAAAAAAGTTTACTTTCGTGTCCTTACTTTTTCCCATTTTCCCATAAATCGGTGAAAACTCTGCTGCAAACCTGCACCAGCCTGCCAGCTAACATTCAGTTAGCAGTCCCTGCCCCCTTGGTTTGGTACACTGAGCTCAAATCTAAGGGATCTGGGTGGGCTTCCACCTCTCCCAGTTCTTAGGCTTGTGGCCTTATCTTCATGGTGCCTCAGTTTCTTATGTTAAATAGGGCTTTTAACACCTACTTAGGGCCTGGTGCAGTGGCTCACACCTGTAATCCCAGCAGTTTGGGACGCTGACACCTGGCAGACCTCTTGAGCTCAGGAGTTTCAGACCAGCCTGGGCAACAGGGCAAAACCGTGTCTTTACAAAAAATACAAACGTTAACCGGGCATGGTGGCGCATGCCTGTATTTCCAGCTTCTTGGGAGGCTGAGGTGTGAGGATCACTTGAGCCTGAGAGGCTGAGGTCTGCAGTGAGCCATGATGGTGCCACTGCACTCCAGCCTGGGTGGTAGAGAGAGACCCTGTCTCAAAAAAAGAAAAACAAAAAAACCTACTTTGCCAGATTAGTGTTACGATGAAAAGTGATACATGTATGTTCCTGAAATAAAGCCTGTCCTCAGTTATAGCTGTTACCATTGATTGGAGATGTTCTTTTTTTTCCAGTGTTTGATAATAAATGCCTTTAAGTATAAGTTTCTTGTACATACTTGTTTATATGTTTAAACATTAATTGTTTTAATGTAGTTTATTGCTGACTTTATAGCATAGTATAAAGATGTGTTCATTTAAAACAATTTTGAAGTTGTGCAAGAGAAACTAATGCAGAATATTCTTTTTTTTTTTTTTGATGGAGTCTCGCTGCTCTGTCACCCGGACTGGAGTGCAGTGGCATGATCTCAGCTCACTGCAACCTCCACCTCCCGGGTTCAAGCGATTCTCCTACCTCAGCCTCCCAAGGAGCTGGGATTACAGGTGCCCACCACCATGCCCGGCTAATTTTTGTATTTTTAGTAGAGACAGGGTCTTGCCATGTTGGCCAGGCTGGTCTTAAACTCCTGACCTCAGGTGATCTGCCTGCCTCAGCCTCCGAAAGTGCTGAGATTATAGGCATCAGCCACCGTGTCCAGCTGTAATATGCAGAATATTCTATGTAGGTATTTTCTATATATAAGACCCCCTCTAAGAAGGGTTTCTATGTAAGAATAGTACAAATGATCTGGAAAGGTTAATAGGCTTGACAAATCTATGTTTCTTAAAACTGTAAAAATAGTCTGGTTGTCCTATGGTCTATGTATAGAACATATACCATAGGGGATTGGTTTCAGGACCCCTGTTTTTACTGAGATCCTGGCATACTCAAGTCCCCACTGTGGGCCCTGCAGAACCTGAATGTGAAAATTTGGGCCTCCATATATGCAGGTTTCGGTCTGCATTTGGTTGAAAAAGATCCACGTATAAGTGAGCACACACAGCTTAAACCCGTGTTGTTCAAGGGTCCACTGCATTTGAAAATCAAGTCCATAAAAAAGTTGCCTTATTTTACAAAATGTCGGATTACTACCTCTCCCATATCTTAAAAAAAAAGTACCATCTATTTACTACCCCATTGAGATAATAAAACTTTTAGAATTAGAATAGAACCTAGGGCTGGGCATAGTGGTTCACGCCTGTAATCCCAGCACTTTGGGAGGCTGAGGTGGGTGGATCACCTGAGTTCAGGAGTTTGAGACCAGCCTGGCCAATATGGTGAAACCCCTTGTCTACTAAAAATACAAAAAATTAGCCGGGCATGGTGGTGGGCACCTGTAATTCCAGCTACTCGGGAGGCTGAGGCAGGAGAATCACTTGAACCCGGGAGGTGGAGGTAGCAGTAAGCCGAGATTGTGCCACTGCCCTCCTGCCTGGGCAATAAGAGGGAAACTCTGTCTTACAAAAAAAAAAAAGAACCTAGAAGTATTTACTGCTCTTTGCTTTGTCTGAGACTCAGAGGTTAAGTGACTTGCCCAAGATAGCACAGGTAGTAGCAAATTGAGACTTGACACCTGGCTTCCAGAGTACTTATTTAAAGTCCCCTTTGCACCCCCATTTTAAAAATTAAATTCTTGGCTGGACGCAGTGGCTCACGCCTGTAATCTCAGCACTTTGGGAGGCCGAGGTGGGCGGATCACGAGGTCGGGAGATCAAGACCATCCTGGCTAACATGGTGAAACCCCGTCTCTACTAAAAATACAAAAAAAATTAGCCAGACATGGTGGCACACGCCTGTAGTCCCAGCTACTTGAGAGGGGCTGAGGCAGGAGAATCACTTGAACCCGGGAGGTGGAGGTTGTGGTGAGCTGAGGTCGTGCCACTGCACTCCAGACTGGGTGACAGAGTGAGACTCTGTCTCAAAAAAAAAGAAAAATTAAATTCTTGTCTAGGTAAGGCATTCGCTGCTTCGGATTTGAAAGATAACAAAGCATGTACAGTGAAAAGTCTCCTTCATATCCCTTCCACCAGACAGTTCTCCCGCTCAGTAGACCGCTGTGAAACTTTTCAGAGCCGTTTGACACATAGACAAACATCCACGTGACCATATGATTCCTCCCTTTTTTTAACATGGAAGTATCACGTATGCATCCTTATTGATAGCCTGCTTTTTGCTTGGCATTCGTTCCATTGCTCCCATACTTTAAATGCTTATGTTCATATTTAGTGAAATGTTAATAACTGCTAGTACGTAAAAGAGAATTTGTTCTAGTAGTTTTGACTAACCAAGATAAATTTCAGAAATAAAATTCTTAACATTATCATTGTTTCTTGGTATGGAAATTTCAGAAGCAGGTTGAACTGAAAAGAGTCCAAGAGGAATAGAGAAATATCACAAGGAAGTGAATCTGGACTGTAGTAGAGATAAATGTTAATACTTACAGATAATGCTTACTATGTGCTAGGCAGTGTTCTAAATGTTTTGCATACATTATTGAAGTCTCTCAAGAGTCCCATGAGGCAGGTAGCTTTTATCACCATTTTACACATGAGAAAACTGAGCAACGCAGACTAACACTTGATCCAGGTAGTACAGTGGCAGAGGCCTGATTCTAACCCAGGCAGTCTGGCTCAAGAGTCCAAGCTCTTTACCACTACTCTTTCGTCTTCCTTTCTTCCTTTCCCTCCCACCCTCCTTCTTCCTTTCCTTTCTTTTCTCTCTTTCTTTTCCTTCCTTCTTTTCTTTCTTTTTCCTTCCTTCCTTCCTTTTCTTTATTTTTCCTTCTTCCTTCCTCCTTCGTTCCTTGCTTCCTTCTTTCCTTTTCTTTTTCTTTCCTTTCCTTTTTTTTTCTTTCCTTTCTTTTCTTTCTTCTTTAACTTTTTGAGACATTGTCTCACTCTGTCTCCCCAGGCTGAGTGCAGTGGTGCAGTCATGGCTCACTGCAGCCTCAACCTCCCTGGGTCAAGTGATCCTCCAACCTCAGCTTCCTGAGTAGCTGGGTCTACAGTTGCACACCCCACCATGCCTAGCTAATTTTTTCTATTTTTCATAGTGACGAGGTCTCACTTTGTTGCCTGAGTTGGTCTCAAACTCCTGGCCTCAAGCAGTCTTCCCACTTGGCCTCCCAAAGTGCTGAGATTACAGGTGTGAGCCACCACGCCCAGCCTTTTACCACTACTTTAAATTCCATTTAGATCTAATATTGATAGAGTGATAACCATATCAACCAGATTTTTTAAATATGCAAACAATGGTGCCAGTTTCTGTATCTATGTGACAAAAATATATAGAGTTTGTGGTATCACTTTTACCTGTTTAGAGCACTCTTTGGAAAGGCAGGGAAATTACTGTGAAGGTATTGGTATTCCAGAAGTAAGTTCCTGGAGTGTTTGCCTTCTAAGGTGTGAGGACGTGGTTTGTCACACCCAGTTAACTAACAGATAGACGGTGTAGTGAGCTGTCCGGAAGACTTAGCAGGTTAGCCTAGGGAGGAAGGAGAAAGGGGTTCTGGGCACATGGAGGGAGGGGGAGGGAAAAGAGTTTGTTTGAATCTGTCCTAGATTGGGGTAGCTTTTTCGGAGGGAGGCCTTGTCGTGTGGACCTGCTGCATATAAAGACAGGAGAATTGGACCTGAGGTGTGGTGCTAGCTAAAGCGCCACACAGATCTGGGAATTTAAGAGGAGTTCATTTCCTCAATCATTAGGAAGAACTTGAAAGGGTAGCAAACTGTGGTCATTTGAGAAGAACAGCAAGTGGTCATATTTGAATGTAACATATTCAACTGGGTTGGGAAAGAACCAGAATCTAGATCTTGCCCATAGCAAGTGCAAAACCAGGCGTTCTTATAAACCATGTACTCTTGTAAACACTGATAAGACATAGCACTGAGTCCTGAGCTTTTCTTCTATAAAGTTATTGTACAGGTTGAGGATCCCTAATCCGAAAATCCAAAATCTGAAATGCCCCTGTGAGCATTTCCGTTGAGTGTCATTGGCACTCAAAGTTTTGGATTTTGGACCATTTCAGATTTTGAACTTTCAGATTTGGGATGCTCAACCGGTATATAATGCACATATTCCCAAATCTGAAAAAATCCCAAATCCAAAGCATTTCAGCTCCAAAGTGTTTCAGATAAGGAATATTCAACCTGTACTACATTGTACTAGGCTTGTATTAGATTCCCAGTTTTCAAAATTTGTATCTCAGAATCCCTGTTCTCTGTCAATGAAACAGGGATTTCATACACCTTTGATTCACATTTTAATGTTTTAAGTTTAAAATATTATAAATGTTTATACACAGTCAAATGAATCTCATGCTAAATTTTAATATATTAGAGACAACTGATTTGTCTGCCAGGTTATCTCAAGAGAGTTAATACTGAGTGAAAACAAGTGAGAACCCTAAAAGATTACATACTGTATGATTGCATTTATGTAACATTATTGAAATAACAAACCTGCAGAGATGGAGAACAGATTTAGTGGTTGCTAGGAGTTAGGAATGGGAGGTGAGGGGTGGTGTGGTTATAAAGTGGTAGCATGAGGGAGCTGTGTAGGGATGGAACAGTTCAATGTCTCAGGTGTGATTATACAAAGCTGCAAATGTGATAAAAACTTCATACAACCACACACACACATACTGCATATAAATCCTAGCGTACTCAAGTCCCATTTTGCATACAAAACTGGTGAAACCTGAATAAACTCAGGATTGGAGGAATTTGGGCGAGGGTACTTGGGACCTCCCTGTGTACTTTTTTGTAAATTCCTGTGATTTATAATTATAGTAATTTTAAAATAAAAAGTTGGCCAGGCACAGTGGCTCATGCCTGTAATCCCAGCACTTTGGGAGGCTGAGGCGGATGTATCACGTGAGGTCAGGAGTTCAAGACCAGCTTGGCCAACATGGTGAAACCCCATCTCTACTAAAAATACAAAAATTAGCCGGGCATGGTAGTGGGTGCCTGTAGTCTGAGCTACCTGGGAGGCTGAGGCAGGAGAATCACTTGAACCTGGGAGGCAGAGGTTGCAGTGAGCTGAGATCATGCCACTGCACTCCAGCCTGAGCGACAGAGCAAACTCTGTCTCAAGAAAATAAAATAAAATAGACTGGGTGTAGTGGCTCACGCCTGTAACCCCAGCACTTTGGGAGACTGAGGCGGGTGGATCACCTGAGGTCGGGAGTTGGAGACCAGCCTGACCAACATGGTGAAACCCCATCTCTACTAAAAATACAAAATTAGTCGGGCATGGTGGTGCATGCCTGTAATCTCAGCTACTCGGGAGGCTGAGACAGGAGAGTTGCTTGAACCCAGGAGGCAGAGGTTGCAGTGAGCCAAGATCACGCCATTGCACTCCAGCCTGGGCAACAAGAGTGAAACTCCGTCTGAAAAATAAAATAAAATAAAATAAAAAGTAAAAAAGCAAAAAAAAAAAAAAAGTGCATTTAGAATATTTGAGAGAAAATAAGCAAAAGGAAGAAAATGTAAATTATCTATAATGCTTACACCCAGGACAATAATCCTTGGAATAGAGTGTCTCACTTTGTGTATAGAAATGAAACTTTTAAAATGCCATTTTATTTTTTAATTAAAATTTTTTCTTTCCTTTTTTTTCCTCCTCAGAGTTAGAAAGGATAAAAATGTTATTGATTAGTAAGACTGTAGCTTTATGTTGATATTTTGAAATTTTAGGCTAGTGCTTGTTTGTTCATGTAACATATAAGCACATTCAGTACTATTAGAACTGTTGCATTATGCAATAACATGACTGCCTAATGCATATATCAGGATTAGTACATATTGTAAAGTTTTTATTTTTTACCAAAATGTTTACGACTACCAAGTATTCATTCCTTAACACTATTACATAATTAATTTAGAAATGTTTTACTTTTAAAACTTCTGGACAGGTGTAATTAAATCCTTAGATAGCGTTAATGTACTATTTAAAAAACACACACAAAACATTATCATTGGCAAAACATGCTTTATCATCTATTCATCTTTGTGAATCCGGTTTTTCTTGATACCATGCCATCAAAACAAAACAAATTTGACATAAGACTGCCCAATCATCCATAATTTAAAGTTGGTGTTCGTCAGAAGAATTTTATTGTTCTCATTATACATGTTATACATTTGAGCTTTTTTTTTTTTTTTTTTTTTTGGAGATGGAGTCTCACTCTGTCACCCAGGCTGGAATGCAGTGGTGCCATCTCGGCTCACTGCAACCTCCACCTCCCAGCTTCAAGCGATTTTCCTGCTTCAGCCTCCTGAGTAGCTGGAACTACAGGCATGTGCCACCATGCCTGGCTGATTTTTTGTGTGTGTATATTTTTAGTAGAGACGGGGTTTCACCATGTTGGTCAGGCTCGTCTCGAACTCCTGACCTCAAATGATCCACCCCCACTTGGCCTCCCAAAGTGCTGCAATTACAGGCATGAGCCACCACACCCGGCCACATTTGAGCTTTAAAATACATTGATAGAATAAAATACTGCTTTAATCTTTTTTTGTTTGTTTTTTGAGACGGAGTTTCACTCTTTCACCCAGGCTGGAGTGCAGTGGCGGGTTCTCGGCTCACTGCAACCTCTGCCTTCCAGTTTCAAGTGATTCTCCTGCCTCAGGCTCCCGAGTAGCTGGGATTACAGGCACCTGCCACCAAACCCGGCTAATTTTTGTATTTTTAATAGAGATGGGGTTTCACCATGTTGGCCAGGCTGGTCTCGACCTCCTGACCTCGTAATCTGCCCGCCTCGGCCTCCCAAAGTGCTGGGATTACAGGTGCAAGCCACCACACCCAGCCTAATCTGTTTATGTTATAGATGCACATAAAATTTCATTTAGAAAAATGTTCTTGTAGTGCAATATTTAAAGCTATTGAATTACGATTCATAAGTTTTATTTTGTAGTTAGCATCTCTAACTAGGGGAATTTCAGGGACACTGTTGGCTGTCTTGTGATTACCGATCCTTTTAAAAACTCATCGTATTTGAGAAGTAAAGTAGTAGAAAATCTATGACAAAATCAGGAATTAAAGTAGACAGTATACTCAACTCCACTGTGTTTAAAGTGTTTGATTAATTTCTATACATTGTGCCAGTGGTTAAGATCTGGGACTCTAGAGTCAACCTGAGTTGAAATCTTGGCTCTGTCACTTGATCTCTTGTCTCAGCTTCTTCCTCCATAAAATGAGGGTAGTAATAGTGTTAACTCATAGGATTATTGTGACTATGAAGTGTACCAGTACATGTAAATAGTCCTGGTGTCTGGCATAAAGGTACTCATAAAACATAGTTACTGTTATTTTAGAACATGGTTTAGATCTTGCTGTATGTTTAATTTGTCTTTTCCTCACTTAACATGTCACAGCAGGGCACGGTGGCCATAATCCCAGCACTTTGGGAGGCTGAGGCAGGTGGATCATCTGAGGTCAGGAGTTTGAGACCAGCCTGGCCAACGTGGTGAAACCCCGTCTCTACTAAAAATACAAAAATTAGCTAGGCATGGTAATTCACACTGATGGTCCCAGCTACTTGGGAAGCTGAGGCAGGAGAATTGCTTGCACTGGGGAGGCAGAAGTTGCAGTGAGCCGAGATCATGCCATTGTACTTCAGCCTGGGCGACAGAGTGAGACTGTCTCAAAAAAAAGAAAATATTACCACTATTTTCCCATGTTGTTAAAAATTCCACCAGTAATGGAATAGAATATTAGGTGCCCTGTGCCCTTGCCAAATTGGGCATTCTCATTTTTTAGATATTTGCCAATATGATATATGAAAATTGTCATGTTATTGTTTTGATTTGCATTTTCCCCAAGCATCAGCAAGATTTAATGGTTTCACATTTAAAAAATTTATTTTTTAATTTATAATCACCTTGTTTGATAATGAGGTTTTCATGTTTTTATTAACTGTGTTTCTTCTCCTGCCTGGATAAATTTTAGAATTTTTCACATTGATTTAGACGAATGCTAGTACAAAGGTTTTTTCAAGTCTATGATAATTTTAATGATTTTTCTTGGTAATTTTTGTCTGTAGATTCAAGTTCAGACAGGCATTTCCCATTCTGATATTGTGTAAATATATGTAATTTGTTAGTTCTGAAAAACATGACTTCTTAAATCTCCTAGCATGTAGTTTACTGGGTGTTACATGAGTCTACAACATAATTTTTGTACAGACAAAAATTTTGCATTTCTTCTGGATATTGCCTGTTCATACCTTTGCCCATTTTTTCCCTTTCTGGGTTGTTTATCTTTTCTTCTTATTGCTTTATAGGAGTTCTTTAGATGTCACAATGGTTAATCTTTTGTTATATGTGTTACACATTTTCTCTTCATTTGTTATTTGTCTTTTAATTTTGTTTATGATGTCTTTACATAGAAGTGTTAACTTAGGTGGTCAGATCTTTCACTTAAAAAAATTCTTCATTATTCAACTGGAAAATCTTTCACATATTTATAGTTGTTTTTTTTTTCTGGTTTAGCAAAATCTCTACCATCCCAAGATTATCTTTAAAATATTTTCATATATTTTATGTGAAAAAATTTTTTTCACACTGAGCTCTTTTAGTTTGTATGGAATTTCCTTTTGTGTCTAGTGTAAGGGTAGGGATCTAAATTTTTCCTAAATGGATAGGCTTTTGCCTCTCTCAGTTCATTGACTTGTTCATATTTCAAATGCCACAAGGCTTTTCTGCATACATAAGGCCTCTTTCTGGATTCTCAGTTCTGTTCCAGTGACAGGTCGGTCTGTGTTTATTCCATTACCACCCCTCCCCCGTGGCTTTTTATAGAAGTTTGATATCTGATAGGGCAAATATGCTCATTTCCAAATTTTTCTTTGCTATTGTCATGAATTTACTGTTTCCGGTGAATTCTAGAATAATTTTGATGAGTTCTAAGACAAATCCCACTGAGATTTTGATTAGAATTGTGCTAAATTTATAGACGAATATGGGAAGGAGTCAGTTCTCACTAGCAGGTCTTTCCATCAAGGAGCATATCGTATCTGTTTATTCTGGAGTTGCCTCTCTGATAATGGTTTTAACCTAGATGCTTATTGTGGCATTGTTTTGTTCTAAACACATGTATTACAAAGATAGTATTAGAGTAAATTAGTTGAGGGAAAAGCCTTATATCATCTATCCCTGTTTTCATTTCTCTTTTCACCTTTACTTTTGGTCTAAAGAGACTTTATCATGATATATGGTATATGTATACTCTGGTTCTTGTAATAATCGGCAGTATATTATGATCTCTTTTTCTTGTAGTCATTAATTTAATGATTAAGGACCATTTAATCAAGTTGATAACTGTACTTAACTCTTATTGTTAGATATGAAGGATGTTTCCAGTTTCTGAGGGTACACATTAAGATAGTGCCTTTACTTTTGTTTTATTTGAAAAATGTTTCAGGAGGGGTTGTTTTATTTTTTCAAAAAACCTCTTTGAGGTAATACGCAATTGTTGTGAAAATGTCGTACAATATTGCAGCATATAAAGAAGAAGGTGCCTTTTGAGAAGGTGAGAGTTTTTTTTTTATTATTTTATTTATTTTTTTGAGACGGAGTCTCACTCTGTCGCCCAGGCTGGAGTGCAGTGGTGCAATCTCGGCTCACTGCAACCTCCGCCTCCCGAGTTCACGCCGTTCTCCTGCCTCAGCATCCTGAGTAGCTGGGACTACAGGCGCCTGCCACCATGCCCGGCTAATTTTTTATATTTTTAGTAGAGACGGGGTTTCACCGTGTTAGCCAGGATGGTCTCAATCTCCTGACCTTGTGATCCACCCACCTTGGCCTCCCAGAGTGCTGGGATTACAGGCGTGAGCCACTGCGCCTGTCCGAGTTTTTTTTTTTTTTTTTTTTTTTTTTCTGAGACAGATTGTTACTCTGTCGCCCAAGCTGAAGTGCAGTGGTGCAATCTTGGCTCACTGAAACCTCTGCCTCCTGGGTTCAAGCTATTCTCCTGCCTCAGCCTCCCAAGTAGCTGGGATTACAGGCGCACGCCACCAACCCTGGCTGATTTTACATGTTTTTAGTAGAGATGAGGTTTCACCGTGTTAGCCAGGATGGTCTCAATCTCCTGACCTCATGATCTGCCCACCTCAGCCTCCCAAAGTGCTGGGATTACAGGCATGAGCCACCATGCCTGGCCGGGAAGGTAAGAGTTTTGTTCTCCAAACTTTCAGTCATTAGAGTGCCTCCTTGTTACTTTTGCCATATGCTTGTATCATCTGTACTGTTAATTCATAACAGTTTTCTTAAAATTTACTAAAGAAACCCAGAAATCCTTAGTGATAAGAGCTGTGAACTCATACATTGATCTATATTAGATAAATACATAACGTTGATATTATGTACATTGCTGTATATTAAAGAAATATAACATTGATCCATATTAAATGAGTTTTTCAAAAGTATGTATACTTTATGACACACTGGCACAGTGAGTGGAAGTGTAGGTTCTGAAATCAAGGTTTGGTGCTTTTAGATCCTAATTGTGCTATGGCCTCCCTCAGTGATACTAGATAATAAACTTAAGCCTCCACTTCCATTTTATTTGTTAAATGAGGTTAGTATGCCACCTGCCTTGTAAGGTTATTGTAAAATTAAACAGCAAGTGTACAAGCAGTCAGCACAGCCCTAGTACATAGGTGTTGCCCAAATACTAGCTATCATTCAGTAGAATAATTTGTAAATACCTTGCTCCTCCTTCAAAGTTAGTTCTCACACAAGTGTCTCATTTTTAAAGTGTTTACATAGTATTCATTGTAAGAATGTATTGTGATTTATGAAACATAGCCTTTTTTAATTTTGTTTTTTTTCCTGTCATTTAAAAAAAAAGCAACAAATAACAGGATTGCTTCGCAATATGTATCACCATATTTCCCTCCCAAAGGACTGTACTAATTTGCTGTTCTGTCAGTTTAGACTTTATCACTTAGTGATAGTGGGTTTAAAAATAAAAATTGTTTTTGTTTTAGTTAACATTTTATTATTATTCACCAGCCATTAAGGAACACATTAATTACTATTTATTCTTTCTCGTTGAATCTGTGCAATTTTCTGAGAAGTAGGTAAACCCGCCCCTGTGTGTGTATGTGTCTGTGTGTGTGAGATGCAATTTGTGTGGTGCTAGAAATTGAGAAATTACAGTAATTTCTTATTATTCTGGTCAGAGATCCCTGGAATATCAAAATTGTCTGCAATCTATAGTCACTGTTTTCAAGTCTATAGGGTCCCTGGGAGAAATACTTATATTAAATATTTGCACTGACAAATGGACAACAAAAGGACTCTACGTTTTATTCTTAACTAGGACTTGGGCACCAAACTCCAGGGTAAAAGACTGGAATGAACCCAGCTGGTTCAGGTGGAAATGTTGTTTTTTTGGAATCTAGTTAAGCTTAAATTGTTTCAAACTAAAGCAGGCCATGAGATGAACCCTTTTCATCTTCCCAGTTCTCAAACACACTGAGATCTTCCCCACATTTCACTCCTTTCTGTCAGTTGCTCGAGGTCATGTAACCAGAGTGAGCCCATTTGCCCTGGCTGACTGCTGATCTGGCCTTGGACACCTGCCTTGGCCTCTTCTACCGAAGCTGCAGGTTTGGCCCTGTCTCTCCCTTACTGCGGTGGTGAGGGGGGTGCAGGGGGGAGTTGACAACCTTCTTAACCACTTCAGTCACATGAAAGAAGCAGACAAGTGAGCTTGCATCTGTGTGCTGACCTTTTAACAGTGATGCTGCCCAGTACACTCAGACCCAATCAGTGTTCTCACATCTGCCTTCCTCCTTCCTGAGAATTAGGAGAAAGAAGAGCTCAGCCTTGATTTCTTACCTCAAAAGACAGCACAAACAAACTTGCAGCCATTCTCAGAAGTATTGGTTTTCTGTTGGGTTGTTGCTTGTGTCAAGTCAGCTAGAAAGAGGTGGAGTAAAAACTGGCCTGCTGAGTAGTACCCATAATCCATGTCCTCCCCAACCCCCCAACTACACATCAACCTGCAGGGAGTGACTTCTTACTCTTGAGACGCTCTTTCCTCTTGCTTAATGGTTCGTGACAGTTCTTCATTTTCCTCCTACCACTCTCAATTTTTTTTTTTTTTTGGCTGGCTTATTCTCCTGTATCTGGCCATTAAATGTTGATGTCCCACCAAGCAGCCTTAGGCCCTTCTGTCATTCTTCTTTCCCTTAACAGTCACAGCCATGTCCATGGTCTCACTCATGGGTGAATCCAACATTTTTATCTCTACCCCAACCTCTGCTGTTGAGTACTTCATTTGCTAATATCTAATTGCCTACTAGACATCTCTACTTGGATGTCCCAAAACTAATAAATTCAGTATGTCCAAGATTTATTTCATACTCTTCCTCCAAAAATGCTGTTGGCTATCTCAGTGAAAGGCATCACCACCTAAGCAGTTGTGCAAGTCAGAAACCTGGGACTTGTCCATGATTCTCTTCCTCCCCTCCCCCACCAAATTCAATCAATCACCAGGCCCCATTGATTGTTTTTCACGTTCTTTTATTGTGAACTATAACTTACAGAAAAATCATTGAGCGGTGCATCTTTTTGTTGTTGTAATCACCAAAGTATAACCCTGTAACCAACATTCCGGTCATTAAATAGACCAATGCCAGCACTCCAGAAAGCCCTCCCTTAACTTTCCCCTAGTCAACTATATGCGTCCCCCTTCTCAAAAGTTACCTCTGTCCTGACTTTTATGAGAATCATTTTCTTACTTTTCTAAGATCGCACCTAAACTTAGTAGTTTAGTTTTGCTATTTGAACTTTATATAAATGGAACCATTTAGTTTGTTTTCTTTACTTGGCTGCTTTCACTCAGTGTCATTTTGTGAGATTCACCTGTGTTTTATGGAGCTGTAGTTTGTGCATTAGTCATTGCTGAATAATACTCTATTATGAATATAACACAATTGATATATTCATTCTCTCTCTTTTTTTGTTTTTGTTTTTGGAGACTGAGTTTCACTCTTGTCACCCGGGCTGGAGTACAATGGCATGATCTCAGCTCACTGCAACCTCTGCTTCCTGGGCTCAAGCAATTCTCCTGCCTCAGCCTGCCAAGTAGCTGGGACTACAGGTGCACACCACCACACCTGGGTAATTTTTTTTTTTTTTTTTTTTTTTTGAGACAGAGTCTCGCTCTGTTTCCCAGGCTGGAGTGCAGTGGTGTGATCTCGGCTTACTGCAGCCTCCACCTCCTGGGTTCACACCGTTCTCCTGCCTCAGCCTCCCGAGTAACTGGGACGACAGGCTCCTGCCACCACGCCCGGCTAATTTTTTTGTATTTTTAGTAAAGACAGGGTTTCACCTTGTTAGCCAGGATGGTCTCTATCTCCTGACCTCGTGATCCGCCTGCCTCGGCCTCCCAAAATGCTGGGATTACAGGCGTGAGCCACCACACCCAGCCCCTAATTATTGTCTTTTTAGTAGAGATGGCATTTCACCATGTTGGCCAGGCTGGTCTCAAACTCCTCACCTCAGGTTATCCACCTGCCTTGGCCTCCCAGAGTGCTGGGATTACAGACGTGAGCCACCACATCCAGCCTTCACTCTCTTTTTGATTGATATTTGTCTCCAGTTTGCAGCAATTATGAATACTGCAGCTATAAACATTTTTGCATATCTTCAGTTTTACTTGGTAATGCCAGACTATTTTCCAAAGTGGTTGCACTAGTTTAGATTCCTACCAACAATGTGTGAGAATTCCTGTTTATCCACCTCTTTGCCAAGGCTTAGAATTGTCAGTCTGTTAAATTATATTAACCATTCTGGTAGGTACATAATGGGTTTTTGTGTGTAACTGAGGTATATGTCATACACAATAAAAACAAAAATGTACAGCCTGAAGAGTATTTTACCTATAAATGTATCTATAACCACTACCCAGATGAAGATATAGAATATTTCCGTCACCCAGAAAGTTCTTTCATGGTAATTTCCAGAAAGAAGCTGCTATTCTAACCACACTGTTTTGACTTTGGCCACTATACATGCGTTTGGCCTGTTTTTGAACTTCATATAAATGGGCTCAGACAGTAAGGACTCTGCTGTGTCTGGCTTCTTTTGCCCAGCATAATTTTTTTTTTTTTTTTTTGCAATTTATCCAACTTGGTGGTGGTATGAGTTACTCTTTTTTTCTTGCTGAGTTCTGTTGTATGATTATATTACCCTTTGTTTATTCATTTTCTTATTGATTGTTTCTAGGTTTTGGCTATTGTGAATTAAGCTGCTATGAACATTCTCATATATACTAATTTCTCTTGTGTATATATCTAGGAGTGGATTTCTGGGTCATGGGATAGGTGAGTGTTTAACTTTATTAGAAACAACAGAACAGTTTCCCAAAGTGGTTGTACTAATTAACACTCCACTTTGGTTTTAATTTGCATTTCCCTGATTACTAATGAGGTTGACCAGCCTTTTATATGTTTTTCGGCCATTTGGATATCTTCTCTGTGAAGAGCTCATTGAAGTCTTTTGGCTAATTTTCTGGTTGGTTTGTATAAGGGATAAATGTATTGATCCCCTCCCCTCCCTGCCCCATACCTGTGTTGCATGTATCTATTACTAGCTAGTGGCTGGCCTTTCCTTTTTATTCTCTTAAAGGTGTCTCTTCACTAACAGAATTTTTTTTATTTTTGTTTTTAATTATTATGGATACATAATAGCCATACATATTTATAGGGTAGATGTGGTATTTTGATGCAAGCATAGAATGCATGGTTATCAAATTAGGGTAGAGTACCCCATCACCTGAATCATTTATCATTTCTTCATGTTAGGAATATTCCAATTCTAGTCTTTTAGTCATTTTGAAATATAAAATAAATCATTGTTAACTGTAGTTGCCCTATTGTGGTACTGAACACTAGACTTACTCATTCTTTTTAACTGTATTTTTGTGCCCAGTCACCAATCCCTCTTTATTTCCCACTTCCCTTCCTGTCCTTTACTCTGTCTACATGGGTTCAATTTTTTTTCTTTAACTCCCACATATGGGTGAGAACATGCAATGTTCATCTTTCTGTGCCTGGCTTATTTCTCTTAACATAATGTCCTCCAGTTTTATCCATATTGTTGAAAATGACGGGATTGCATTCATTCTCATGGCTGAACAGTACTGCATTGTGTGTAAGTGCCACATTTTCTTTATCCATTCGTCTGTTGATGGACACTTAGGTTAATCCCATATTTTGGCTATTGTGAATAGTGCTGCAGTAAACATGGGAGTACAGAAATCTCTTCGATACACCAATTTCCTTTCTTTTGGGTGTATACCCAGTAGCAGGATTGCTGGATCACACGGTAGTTCTATTTTTAGTTTTTTTGAGGAACGTCCACATAGTGATTGTACTAATTTACATTACCAACAACAGTGTACAAGGGTTCCCCTTTTTCCACATCCTCACCATCATCTCATCCATTTAAACTGGAGTGAGACGATATCTCATTGTAGTTTTGATTTGCATTTCTCTGATTAATGGAAATTCTTAATTTTAATGTAGTTGAATATTTCTGCCTTTTCCTTTGTAATTGGGGGTTTTTGTATCCTGGTGTGAAGATAATCTACATTATTTTCTGTTACTGTTTTGCCTTTCTCATTTAGATCAACAATCTCTGGAATTTTTGTCTGTGTGGTGTGAGATGGGGTCAGTTTGTTATTCTAGATGACATGAAGATGATGATGATGATGTTTAGTTCCATTTATTGAAAAGGCCATCTCCTCCTGCTTTGTAGAGCTACCTTGGTCATAAATCAGGTAGTTATGTATACCAGGATTTGCCTGCCTCTTCTATTCCTGTTTGTCCTCTCCCAGTGACCCATTGTCTTAAGTACTGTATTTCAGCAATTCTCAAAGTGTGGTCCCAGGACTATGCAGGTTTCCTGAGACCCTTTCAGAGGCCAGGTCAAAACTATTTTGATAGTAACACTTGGTTGTTTTTTGCCTCACACTCATTCTCCCACAAGTGTACAATAGGGTTTTCCAGAGGCCGCATGAAATGCAGTGTTGCAACAGATTGAATGCAGAAGCAGATAAGAGAATCCAGCTGTCTCCCATCAAGCCAAACATTAAGGAGATTTCCAAAACATATCCAACAGTGCCACTCTTCTCACTCATTTTTTTAATCTGTTTTGGAAAACAGTTATTTTTCATTAAAGTGTTATTTATGTTAGCATATAATAGATTTCTTGTTATTTTTAAATGAATGAATTGATATTTAAAACTTTCCTGTTTGGACCTGGTGTGGTGGCTCATACCTGTAATCCATCAGTTTGGGAGGCTGAGGCGGGCAGATAACCTGAGGTTAGGAGTTCGAGACCAGCCTGAGCAACATGGTGAAACCCTGTTTCTACTAAAAATACAAAATTAGCTGGATGTGATAGCACATGCATTTAATCCCAGCTACTTGGGAGGCTGAGGCAGGAGAATCACTTGAACCTGAGAAGTGGAGAGGTTACAGTGAGCCGAGATCATGCCACTGCACTCCAGCCTGGGTGACAGAGGGAGACTCTATCTCAAAAAAGTAAAAATAAATAAATAAATTTCCTGTTTTAATTTCTAATGTGATAAATATAATAGGTATGTGCCACTGCACTCCAGCCTGGGTGACAGAGGGAGATTCCATCTCAAAAAAAGTAAAAATAAATAAATTTCCTGTTGTAATTTCTAATGTGATAAATATAATAGGTATAATGCATGTTAACTAAAGCATTTTAGAGTCTCAGTAGTTTGCAGGAATGTCAAACCAAAAAGTTTGAGAATCACTCGTCTAGTTTTATGTCTTGATATCCAGTGGATAATAAATCTTGGTTATGTGTGGCCCTGGGCCCTGTGCATTTCCACATACATTTTAGAATCAGCTGTGATGTTCCACAAGAATACCTGTTAGGATTTTGATTGGAATTGTGTTGAATCAGTTTGGGAATAATTGACTTTTTTTTTTTTTGAGACGGAGTTTCGCTCCTGTTGCCCAGGCTGGAGTGCAATGGTGCGATCTCGGCTCACTGCAACCTCCGCCTCCCAGGTTCAAGCAATTCTCCTGCCTCAGCTTCCTGAGTAGCTGGGATTACAGGCACCTACTAGCACGCCCGACTAATTTTTGTATTTTTAGTAGAGATGGGGTTTCACTATGTTGGCCAGGCTGGTCTCGAACTCCTGACCTCAGGCGATCCACCTGCCTCAACCTCCCAAAATGTTAGGATTACAGGCATGAGCCACTGCGCCCAGCCAAAATTTTTTTTTTTTAATCTACACCTGCTGTAATGGGAATTTGAAATCTTTATACTATTGAATCCTCTGATTCATAGACATAATTTCTCCATGTGTTTTGAACTTTAATTTTTTTCTCAATTTTGTTACACAATTTTGTGTATAAAGGTTTGCACATTTTCCAAACAGAATTTTTGAAGGAAAAAATTCTACTTAGAAATAAATTGGGGCCGGGCACGGTGGCAGCACTTTGGGAGGCCAAGGCAGGTGGATCACGAGGTCAGAAGATCGAGACCATCCTGGCTAACACGGTGAAACCCCATCTCTACTAAAAATACAAAAAATTAACTGGGCATGGTGGTGGGCACCTGTAGTCCCAGCTACTCGGGAGGCTGAGGCAGGAGAATGGTGTGAACCCGGGAGGTGGAGGTTGCAGTGAGCCGAGATCGCACCACTGCACTCCAGCCTGGGCGACAGAGCGAGACTCCGTCTCAAAAAGGAAAAAGAAAGAAAAGAAAAGAAGTAAATTGGCCAGGCATAGTGTCTTGTGCCTGTAATCCCAGCACTTTGGGAGGGCAAGGCAGGAGGATCACTTGAGCCCAGGAGTTTGAGACCAGCTTGGGCAACACAGTGAGACCCTATCTTTACAAAGAAAAAGTAAGAGAAACTTAAGAATTAACAAGAAAATGAAAGATATTTCTGAAAAACATTGCAAAACTTTACTGAAGCTCATAAAAGAATTGAATAAATGCTAAAACATATTTTGTTCTTGAACAGGATAGCTCTCACATTTGTAAGATGTCAGTATCTGCTGTAAGTTGCTGTATTTTATATTGTTAGAAAGATCCTTTTTTACTTTTTATGATTTCTAAAGTTAAGATACGCCTTAAAGCTGATGACATCTTCCAGGTACTTCTGGCCATATGGTAATTATGAAGTTAGGTTAGGAGCATCTTAACCAACTTACCTTACATAACTTTACTTTCATTATAAGCACAAGTTAGATGGGATATGAAAACAGAAACATTTAAGTCTAAAGAAGCTATTTCAATTGGCATAAAATAACTGTGCATCTTAAATTGAAAATGTATTAAATTTAGTGAAATAGGCCAGGCACAGTGGCTCATGCCTATAATCCAGCACTTTGGGAGGCTGAGGATCACTTGAGGCCAGGAGTTGGAGACCAGCCTGGGCCATATAGTGAAATGCCATCTGTGAGAAAAAAAAAAAAAAAAAAAAAAAAAAAATATATATATATATATATATATATATATATATATATACACACACACACACACACACACATATAATTTGTGAATTTAAAGTAATCCCAATTAATATCTCAATAGGCTTTTCAAAACTTGATTCTAAAGTTTATATGAAAGAACGAAAATGAAACTTTTCACAAAAATTATGAAAATCTGTTCATGAGGGAGGTATTAGTGCTGTGAAATATTAAAGTGTATGTTGAAGCCAAACCAATTTGAGCATCAGATCACTGGCACAGAGCTGACAGCACTGAAGTAGCCTCATCTATAGAAATGTTTTATGTGGTCAACAGTGGTATATGTGATGAAAATAGTGAATTCCTTAGTAAATGGTATTGGGTGAACTGAGTAGCCATTGGGAAAAAAAGAGAACTATCTTGCTATCTCACTTCTTTTTTTTTTTTTTTTTTTTTTGAGACAGAGTCTCCCTCTGTCCAGGCTGGAGTGCAGTGGCGTGATCTCGGCTCACTGCAACCTCCGCCTCCCGGGTTCAAGCGATTCTCCTGCCTCAGCTTCCCAAGTAGCTGGGATTACAGGTGCCCGCTACCACACTCGGCCAACTTTTTTTTTTTTTTTTTGTAGTAGAGCCGGGGGTTTCACCATGTTGGCCAGGCTCGTTTTGAACTCCTGACCTCAAGTGATTCACTCGCCTCAGCCTCCCAAAGTGCTAGGATTTTAGGTGTGAGCCACCGCGCCCAGCCATTATCTCACTTCTTTTGTTTAACATGTCTATGAGATTTATTTATGTTGTATATTGCAGTTCTTCTTTAGGATATCACATTTTATCTGTTTTACTATTGATGAAAATTTTGGTTGTTTCTATATTTTGGCTAAAGTGAATAAAACTGCTAAGAACATTTATACATGTTTGGTGGACATAAATACTCATTTTCTGTTGGAATTGAGTGGGACTGCTGGGTCATAGGATGTATGTTTGTTTAGTTTTGGTATATATTGCCAGTTTTCCAGAATAATTGCAACAGCTTACCCTCCTACCAGCAATGTAATAGGTTCCGCTCCTATCTTCCCCTCCCTCCCTCCCTTCCTCCCTCCTTCCTTCCTTCCTTCTTTCCCTCCCTCCCTCCCTCCTTCCCTTTTCCTCTTCCTTTTCTTCTTCCTCTTTCTCTTCCTGCCTCTCTTATGATTCTTCATCATTCAACTTGAGCCCTTGCATACAGAAAAAAAAGTTGATGAATTTGCGTAAAAACAGACACGCTGCTGGGCCTGGTGGCTCATGCCTATAATCCCAGCACTTTGAGAGGCTGAGGCAGGCTGATCACTTGAAGCCAAGAGTTCGAGACCAGCCTGGCCAACAAGGTGAAACTGTCTCTATTAAAAATACAAAAATTAGCCAGGTGTAGTGGCACATGCCTGTAATCCCAGCTACTTGGGATGCTGAGGCAAGAGGATTGCTTGAACCTGGGAGGTGGAGGTTGCAGTGAGCCGAGATCGCACCATTGCACTGCACTCCAGCTGGGGCAACAGAGCAAGACTCCTCATCTCATAAATAAATAAATAAACAGACAACCTAGACATGGCAAAAACTAGTATAAACAAAATTGGGACTCCAGTGATAAGCTGGGAAGAAATAGTTGCCATGCAGCATGTTCAAAGGGCTAATTTCCTTTAAAAAGCAGGATCGCTTGCTGATAGAAAAGACCAACAACTCAGTAGACAGGTGGGCACATTCAGAGACAGTTCAAAGGAAAGACAAGTGGCTCCTAAATGTATGAAATGATCCTCAGTTGCAGTCAGTGTAAGAGTTAAGCAAATTGAAACTATACTGAAAGCATTTTAAAAATACCCGATTAACATGATTAAGAAGTTTGATTAGCTATTGACTAAGGTGTAGGAAGATAGCTACTTCCGTATATTAATGGTAAGTTTCTAAACTCTATGGAGAGCAGTTGAATAATATCCATTAAAGTTTAAGAATGCACATACCTTGTGTAGTATAGTATAGTTTAGATCAATTGTGATGTATTTACACAATGGGATATTATAGAGCAATAAGAATGAATGAATTACAGTTCACCCAACATGAATGACTCACAATCATAATGTTGGGTGAAAGAGCCAAACACAAATATAAATTCAAAAAAAGACAAAATTGTGGTGTTAGAAGTCAGGGTAGTATTACTCTTGCGGAGCTCACTGGATGGAGACATGAGGGGATTTTGGAGGCTTATAATCTTTTTTTTTTTTTTTTAATCTCTGTGTTATGTGGAATTACACTGAGAAAATTCATCAAGCTATGAACTTAAGAATTATGTACTGTTCTGAATGTATGCTATACTTCAATACACATTTTAATATAAATAAAAATAGTGTGTATACATCAAGTCACACATCACACAATCACACATAAAGAATGCACATAACTTTTGTTTTAGCAGTTTCATCCTAGGCATGTAACATATATTTACACACACTCTTGTATATGTGGGGCTTAAAAATAGCATGAAGGTATTCATTGCTGTGTTTATAAGCACAAAAACTTGTGCAAAACCTAATTACCCATAACTAGGGAACTGGTAAAATAATTGATACAGTCATACAGTAAATTTGTAGCAGGTTTTTTTTTTTTTTTTTTTTTTTTTTTTTGAGACAGAGTCTCACTTTGTCACCCAGGCTGGAGTATAGTGGCACGATCTCGGCTCACTGCAACCTCTGCCTCCTGGGTTCAAGCAATTCTCTGCCTTAGCCTCCCGAGTGTATGGGTTACAGGCGCCTGCCATCACGCCCGGCTAATTTTTGTATTTTTAGTAGAGACGGGGTTTCACCATCTTGCCAGGCTGGTCTTGAACTCCTGACTTCATGATCCACCCACCTCGGCCTCCCAAAGTGTTGGGATTACAGGTGTGAGCCACTACGCCCGGCCAGGTAGCAGCTCCTAAAAGGAGTAAGGCAGTTGTATATGAAGTAATTTAGAAAAGTCTCTGAGATACATTAAATGAAAAGACCAAAGTGCATGAACAGTATGTGTAGTATGCCACCGTTTGTGTATGGGTGTGTTTTATCTCTATAGGCATATATTTGCAAGCATATATAATTGGAATATATTTGGAAAGATGGGAAGATATGCTAACACTGGCTGTCTCTGAGGAGTGGAACCGAGTGGCCAGAAGGCAGAATTGGGTGACACTTTCTATACTAATTTGTGACTTAACATTTTTTAAAATTTTTAATTGTGATAAAATACATGTAGCAAAACTTACTATCTTAAACATTTTTAAGGGTACTGCTCAGTAGTGTAAAGTATATTCATATTGTTGTACAACCAGTCTCCAAAACTTTTTCCTAGCCATTAAACAAGTACTTAATACTTCCCCTACCCTTGGCAGTCACCATTCTACTTTCTGTTTCTATGAATTTGACTACTCTAGATAGCTCATGCAAGTGGAATCATATAGTGTTTGCCCTTTTGTAACTGGTTTGTTTCACTTAGCACAATGTTCTCAAGGTCCATACTATTTTGTGACTTTTGAATACTTTACTTTGTTTATTATCCATTTTTAAAAGAGCACTAAAGTAAAAAGACATGACCTTATTCAGAGCTGATTAATTACATGGTAAAAAGTTGAAGGCTGGCGTGTCTTATTCATTTCAACCAATATTAAATGCCAGTTTGGGCAGCAAAACAACTTTCTGCCAAAGTGCCATTTGAAGCCTGGTTTATGACATGTTTCTCCTTTTGTCATCTTTGGGTGCCACCCAAAATGCAGGCTCAAGGCCGCAGCCTCTTGACTCTGTTCAACAGTTTCCCCCCTTGGCTTATTGTCCAACATTGGCCTACTCTTCCAAATCCACCTCTTTATCCCAGGAACAAGCTGCTTCTATGCCAAGGGCATGGCTTCCTCTTTGCAGATTGTCTCATATCTCTGACCTGGAAAAAAGGGGGTTTTTCATTCTGCTAGCTTTTTAGTGCTGCTTTGAGATCATTATTCTAGAGCCCTCTGCAGTAATGTTTTTTCTCATGGATTGAAATTCATTGTTTCCAGTAGGATTTTTGACTAGACGTGGAAACAGAAGGACAAATTGAAATGACTCTGAAGCTTATGGGAGGACTGAGTATCATTAACTGGCACAGAGGGAGAAAGGCAGGCTCTAGGTGGAAGGTATGTGACTTGCTTTTGAAAACAGTGGTGTGAGATTCTGGCCTGTGAAAACAGCTGGAGTTACGAGATAGAAATGGGGACTTAAAAAATAGCTTCATACCAGACGTGGTGGCTCACGCCTGTAATCCCAGCACTTTGGGAGGCTGAGACAGGCGGATCATCTTAGGTCAGGAGTTTGAGACCAGCCTGACCAACATGGAGAAACCCCGTCTCTACTAAAAATACAAAAATTAGCCAGGCGTGGTGGTACATGCCTGTAATCCCAGCTACTCGGGAGGCTGAGGCAGGAGAATCGCTTGAACTCAGGCGGCAGAGGTTGCAGTGACCCAAGATCACGCCATTGCACTCCAGCCAGGACAACAAGAGTGAAACTGTCACACACACACAAAAATAGCTTTGTGCGTGTGTGCATGTGCACGCACGTGTGTGTGTGTGTGTGTGTGTGTGTGTGTGTGTGTGTGTGTGTGTATTGAAAATACAGAAAAATAGCCAGGTGTGGTGGCTCATGCCTGTAATCCCAGCATTTTGGGAGGCTGAGGTGGGCAGATCACAAGGTCAGGAGATCGAGACAATCCTGGCTAACACGGTGAAACCTCATCTCTACTAAAAATACAAAAAAATTAGCCAGGCGTGGTGGCGGGCACCTGTAGTCTCAGCTACTCGGGAGGCTGAGGCAGGAGAATGGCATGAACCCGGGAGGGGAGGCGGAGCTTGCAGTGAGCTGAGATCATGCCACTGCACTCCAGCCTGGGTGACAGAGCGAGGCTCTATCTCAAAAAAAAAAAAAGAAAATATAGAAAAATAAAATGTTACACACAAAACAGATCATCATTCTTAATACCTTAAGTGAATTAACTGCTGTTTGTTCCTCTGGTTGTATACGTATAAAACTACATACATAGCTGGGCATGGTGGCTCACGCCTGTAATCCCAGCACTTTGGGAGGCTGAGGCTGGTGGATCACTTAAGGCCAGGAGTTCGAGACCAGCCTGGCCAACGAGGTGAAACCCCATCTCTACTAAAAATACAAATATTAGAACTGGGTGTTGTGGCACATGCCTGTAGTCCCAGCTACTCGGGAGGCTAAGGCATGAGAATCGCTTGAACCCCAGAGGCAGAGGTTGCCGTGAGCCAAGATTGCGCCATTGAACTCCTGCCTGGGTGACAGAGCAAGACTCTGCTAAAAATAATAATAAAAATAATAATAATAGAAGTACATACATAAACTTTAAAATGTAATAGAAATTATATTTTGTATTCACCCTTTTCCCCTCTGTGAATGAAGAAGTCCAAGGCCAGTCACGTAGTACTTCTGCAAAAGAGGTTATGAATGAATTTGTGGGACTTGTTGAAATTTCACAGGTGAGATCCTACACAGATGGAGAAGAAAATGAGGCAAGAATAGGATTTTGGAAACTTGCCTAGAACTTTCAAGATTCAAGAATCAGAAATGATAATCAAAGAGATAGGAGAATTAAGAGTTTAGTGTCAAACTAAGAAGAGTGAATTCCAAGAAAAAAAGGAGGAAAAATTTTGTTCGGTGTTATAAAGAGGTAGAGCTGGATGAAGACTAAGCATTTAAATACTAAGTTGAGGGCATAGTAGCTGGCATGTGCCTATAATCCCAGTGTTTTGGGAGGCCTAGGCGGGAGGATGCCTTGAGCCCAGGAGATTGAAGCTGCAGTGAATTATGAGCCAATGCACTCCAGCCTGGGTGAGAGTGAGACCCTATCTCAAAACAGCAACAACAACAAGATACAAATTGAGAAACTGTTACTTGATTTGCGATATGTATTCTGTCCAGCAGTGATAGAATAACAAGGACTGGGTTTACCTTGCTATTTTAAGCAACAATATATGAAATAGCAATTTGTAGGCATTGGGTAACAGGCAAAGCAAGACTGTGGTCACTGAAAGCTGGGAAACAAACCTACTGAGCTCTATGGTTGCCCCAATTTATTATCTGGAGGTAGTTTTCAGGCTGCAGAGCAGGGATGGGGAAGTCAAACAGAGCATGGTGTCTTAGAATTGGGAGGACAAGATGGGGGTTGGCGGGGAGGGAAGGTTGTCATCATTCGTGGGGCAGAGTACCAGAGAGGTGGGAGTTGTACACAGAACTCCAGTGATAGGTGGAGGAGTCTCCTGAAATCTGGTTGAGTCCTGATCTACAGGTGCATGAGAGGAGAACACCTGAGGCCAGAGAAAGAACCCCACTGGAAAGCAGCAGGCCAAACAATTCCTGGGACTCAACACAGAGCTGGGAATAGTCTGTGTTCCCATTAGCCAGAGTATATACAAGGGCATCAAAAGGGCATTGTAAAGAGGCTAAATTCGCCCTAATTTAAAGGCTACTCTGGATCTACTCTAACAATGAAAAAGCAAGTCTTGGAAGATACAGCCGATTTAAAGAATCTTACCTGTGTGTGAGAACAAAGTCCAGCCCTATTTAAAGAAAAACACAAAATCCAACACCCAAAACACAAAACTCATAGTGTTTGGCATTCAGTAAAATGACCAGGCATGCAAAGAACCAGGAAAATGTGATGTAATCAGGAGAACAATCAGCAGAACTAGATCCAGAAATGACAGAGATGATGGAATTAACAGACAAAGACATGAAAACAGCAATTACAAATATGCTGTCAGTTCAAAAAAGTAGAGGAAATGGTTAACATAATGGAAAGAGAAGTGGAAGGTGTATTTTAAAAAGACCCAAACAGAACATCTTGAGTTGGAAATAAAATTTAAAATACAGTGATGGCATTAACAGAAGTTGAGGCACTGCAGATCAGTGGACTTGAAGACAGCAATAGAAACTGTCCAAAATGAGAACAGAAAGAAAAATGGAAACATTGATAGAGCATCAATGACTGTAACAAGGACAATTGTTAGAGATAGAAATAGTCTAACATATGTGTAATTGGAGCCCCAGAAAAGAGGGAAAGGGGAGAACAGAAAAAAAAGATTGTAAAAAATAATGACAAGAAAATTCTCAAATTTGATGAAAACAGTAAGCCCACATATTTAAGAATCCCAAGGAGAATAACTATAAAGGAAACCACACCAAGGCACATCATCATCAAACTGTTGGCAACCCATTATAAAGAGAAAATCTTGAAAGCAGGCAGAGAAAAAATACACATCATGTACAGAGTAACAGAGATAAGGATGATAGCAGACTTCTCATCAGAAATTTAGCAAATCAAAATACAATTGAGAGACATCTTTAATTTTATTTATTTATTTATTTATTTATTTATTTTGAGATGGAGTTTTGCTCTTATTGCTCAGGTTAGAGTGCAATGGCGTGATCTTGGCTCACCGTGACCTCCGCCTCCCGGGTTCAAGTGATTCTCCTGCCTCAGCCTACTGAGTAGCTGGGATTACAGGCATGTACCACCATGACTGGCTAATTTTGTATTTTTAGTAGAGACGGGGTTTCTCCATGTTGGTCAGGCTGATCTCGAACTCCCGACCTCAGGTGATCTGCCCACCTCGGCCTCCCAAAGTGCTGGGATTACAGGTGTAAGCCACCACGCTTGGCCTTCATTTTTTTTTTTTTTTTCAAGACAGAGTCTCACTCTTGCCCAGGCTGGAGTGCAGTGGCATGAACTCAGCTCACTGCAACCTCTGCCTCCTAGGATCAAGTGATTCTCCTGCCTCAGCCTCCCAAGTAGCTGTGATTACAGGCGCATGCCACCACGCCTGGCTAATTTTTTTATTTTTAGTAGAGACAAGGTTTCACCATGTTGGCCAGACTGGTCTCAAACTCCTGACCTTGTGATCTGCCTGCCTCAGCCTCCCAAAGTGCTGGGATTACAGGTATGAGCCACTGTGCCCAGCCTGGAGAGACACCTTTAAAGTGCTTTTTAAAAAAGACTACTGGGGCTGGGTGCAGTGACCAACACCTGTAATCCCAGCACTTGGGGAGGCAAGGTAGGAGGATTTTGAGATCAGCCTGGGTGACATGGCGAAAGCCTATCTCTACAAAGAATGCAAAAATCAGCCAGGCATGGTGGCGCGCGCCTGTGGTTCCAGCTCCTTGGGAGACTGAGGTTAGAGGATTGCTTGAGCCTGGGAGGCAGAGGCTGCAGTGAGCTATAATTGAGCCACACTGCACTTTAGCCTGGGTGATAGAGCGAGACCGTGTCTCAAAAAAAAAAAAAAAAAAAGGCCTACTGGAACTTGTTGCCAGCAGACCTGCACAAGAAGTGTTGAAGTTATTCAGGCAGAAGGCAAATGGTTTAAAATGGAAATTTAGATCTTCACAAAGGATTGAAAAGTGCTAGAAATGGTAACTGGGAGTAAACATAAGAATTTTTTTTCCATTTTATTCTCTTTAAAAGATGACTGCATTGAAGGTGATTGCTAACAGGTACAGGATTTCCCTTTTTGCACGATGGAAATGTTCTGCAGTTAGTGGTGATGGTTGCACAACATTGTGAATTAAAGAAATAGTAGCTTTAAAAAGATAGTTGCTTAAAGCAAAAATAATAATGCATTATAGGTTTTATAACACATGGGAGTAAAAGTTATGACAATAGCCCAAAGAATGGAAGGGGACGGGAAGGGTATAAGAAACCTTAGTCAGGTTATTTATTTATTTGAGACAGAGTATCACTTTGTTGCCCAGGGTGGAGTACAGTAGTGCAATCCCAGCTCACTGCAACCCCTGCCTCCTGGGTTCAACAAGGTTCAACAAGCCTCCCGAGTAGGTGGGATTTCAGGGGTGTGCCTCCACACCCAGCTAATTTTTGTATTTTTAGTAGAGATGGGGTTTCACCATGTTGGCCAGGCTGGTCTCAAACTCCTGACCTCAAGTCATCTGCCTGCCTCAGCCTCCCAAAGTGCTGGGATTACAGGCGTGAGCTACCGTGCCTGGCAGAAACCTTACTAAGGTTCTTAAGCTGTACATGGAGTGGTATACTTCACCTGGAAGGCAGACTGATAGTTAACAATGTATAATTTAAAACCTAGAACAACTACCATAAAAATTAAAGAGGTATAGCTAATAAACTGATAGTGGAAATAAATAGAATTCTAAAAAGTAATTAACCTAAAAGAATGCAAGACATATGGGGAAAGAAACAAAGCACAGATGGGATGAATAGAAAAAGACAGCAAAATGGTAGATTTAAACAGTCTTGGATCCATTATCACATTAAATGTAAATGGTCTTGAAAAATTCATTCAGGTTAAAAATACAAGAGAAGATAAAAATCTCCATTTTCACCATCATTAAGTGTACTTCTTTCCAGTTGATTTTTGTCTGTGTATATATATGTGTGTATACATTTCTTCCTGTGTATGTATGTATATATGTATGTTATACACATCGTATACATATTATGTATATATACATGCACGTGTATATACATACACATGCCTGTATGTATATGTATATGTATACATATAGGTATGTATATATATACACCTACATACATACACACACATATGCATACAAATGCAGGTGTATACACATAAATAATGTGCAGTTTTTTAGAAACAAAATTGGAATCATGCTTTTTGTTTCCTTTAACTTTTAATCGTGAACATTTGGACCTGTAATAAAATATTTGAAAACAGCTTTTAATGTCTGTATAGTATTCCACTGAGTGCCACATTATAACTTGTTTCAGTCTAGATAATTTGTCACATAAGTTGTTTTAAATTGGCGTGGTTATTTTTTTTATTTTTTTATTTTTTTTGAGATGGAGTCTCGCTCTGTCATCCAGGCTGGAGTGCAGTGGCGCGATCTCAGCTCACTACAACCTCTGCCTTCTGGGTTCATGCCATTTCCTGCCTCAGCCTCCCACATAGCTGGGACTACAGGTGCCCGCCACCACACTCGGCTAATTTTTTGTATTTTTAGTAGAGACAGGGTTTCACCATGTTAGCCAGGATGGTCTCAATCTCCTGACCTCGTGATCCACCCTCCTCGGCCTCCCAAAGTGCTGGGATTACAGGTGTGAGCCACTGTGCCCAGCCAAATTTGCCATTTTAAATAATATGAGTATTCTTGTATACTTCCGTGTAAATCTTTACATCATTGATTTTTTTGGCTGTATTCCTACAAGTAGAATTGTCAAATTTACATCTAGAAAATTTAAACAATTTGTGTTTCCACTACAGATGTATGGAAGTGCCAATTTAACCTTATGCTTGGTCCACGTGTGGTATTAGTATAAAAACATCGCCACCCAGATTTTTCAAAAACTTGATTACCCCAGACACCCAATCCTCACCGTGCTTGTAGGATACTTACTTTATCTCTGAAATCTTTGAAATTCTATCAAAATCTCTTTGCCTTAAATTTGGCTAAAACATAAAACGTATACATTTATTTTTTCCTTTTCTTCTCTTCCTGCCCCTTTTCTTCATCAACCTAGTTTTCTTCATTCACTTCTTTGGTTACTGCTTCAGCTTCATTGGTTCTAGAATGTGAGCGTTTTGAAGACACATTCCGTATCTCCCATATTCTCTGTTGTATCATGGCCATAGTATACTAGATGCTCAATAAATTTGTCAAAAAGGCCAGGCACGGTGGCTCATGCCTGTAATCCCAGCACTTTGGGAGGCCAAGGTGGGCGGATCACCTGAGGTCAGGAGTTCGAGACCAGCCTGGTGCCAGTGGTCTCAACTACTCGGGAGGCTGAGGTGGGAGGATTGCTTGAGCTCAGGAGGATGAGGCTGCAGTGAGCTGTAGTACCACTCCACTCCAGCTTGGGTGACAGAGCAAGACATTGTCTCAAAAAGAAAAAAAAAAGGAGTATGGTGAAATTTTTAGTAGTATAAAGTTAGGTCTAAGAGTTTTATTTGCAAAGATTACCATGTGGGAGTAATCTCTAGACATTTTTGACTTACTGGCCTATTTTGTAAGACCCCCAAAGGTGGAGAACTGGATCAGGGAAACAAGCAGATCTTGAATACACACTGCCTATTTTTGAGAGGACCACAAATTCAGAATTTGAAAGAATTGGAGTTATTCCTTTCCTTAATTACACTTTGGCCCTAGGGACCCAGAAATGAATGTGAGTTCCTCTTCTCTAGGAGTCCAGTTTAATGCTAGACATACATGGTAATAAGCAGAGTCCGTGCAACAGAAATCAGTGGCGTGAAAGTAAAGGGGAAGAGATCCATAATTCATGGTTGACTTGACGTTTTCCACTGAGGGGCCAGCATGGGTTTTATGCAGAATGAAGGACATTTGAGATTTCATTTTGGGGCCATAGGAGGCTATAACCTGGGATGGGTAAAAAAATTATAAAGCAGTGCTTACGCTCAGGTTGGGGACCTTGAACTTGTACTGGTGCTAATTATGGGTTTTTTCCTAGTAGTATTTACAGCCCCTATACAAGGGTGGAAAGTGAAACTAGTGTATTTACTCAAAATAGGTGACTTGAAGGAAAATGGGATGGAGCAAAGTAGTGCTTTATAATCAGCCCCAGTTTTAAGGATAAGACTGCTAGAGACTCATTACTTTTCACATTATAATGTGAAATTAATCATTAAAACTTAAGTAAAAATGGAGGTTTTTGGCCAGGCTCGGTGGCTCATGCCTGTAATCCCAAGCACTTTGGGAGGCCGAGGCAGGCACACCATCTGAAGTCAGGAGTTCGAGACCAGCCTGGCCAACATGGTGAAACCCCGTCTCTACTAAAAATACAAAAATTAGGCATGGTGGCGTGTGCCTATAATCCCAGCTACAACAGAGGCTGAGGCATGAGAATCGCTTAGAACCCGGGAGTCGGAGGTTGCAGTGAGCCGAGATCATGCCATTGCACTCCAGCCAGGGTGAGACTCTGTCTCAATAAATAAATAAATAAAATAAATAAATGGAGGATTTAAATATCTTTCCTCATACAAAAAACTATTCATGGTAGCAATATTTCTGACGGCCTCTGGCATCCTTTTGTTACTAGCTAGAAAGAGAAATGTAGATTGCTTTCACAGTCCAGAATGACCCTCCCTAGGCCTCCCGCTGTTCAGTTGTGATTACTGTCAATAAACACCACTGTGAATACTACTGTTTTGTTTCATTTTGTTTTAATCAGAGAGAAAAGGTTTTAATACTTTCTCTGTGACTAGGTAGGCTAATGATCTACAGATCTTTGAGCAGGTGTTTATTTTTCAAGTTCAAGTTCACTTGAACTTCAGGGAGTCTGAGATTACAATCAGAACATTTGGTTATTTCCAATGACAGTTTTACTCAGCTGGTTAACCTAAGCAAGATAGGTTTTGTTTTCAAGATCTTCCCTCATCAGTTTTTTTTTTTCCCGTATCAAAGACAACAGTTTCAATGGAGCGAACACTGGATTAAGTATGAAAATGTGCTCTGGTCCCAGCTTTGATTACTTACTGGGAAAACAAGCAAGCAGTGTGTCAGATCTGTTAACTCCTTTGATACACAGAGGCCACAACTGCTCTGCTCATGAATATTGACAGTTAAGACATTTTCCTATACCCTTCAAATTTGTATTAGTAGAATCTCAGTTAATAGAAATTTATTTGGCTGGGTGCTGTGGCTCATGCCTGTAATCCCAGCACTTTGGAAGGCCGAGGCGGGCAGATCACCTGAGGTCAGAAGTTCGAGACCAACCTGGCCAATAAGGTGAAACCGCCGTCCCTACTAAAAATAGAAAAATTAGCCGAGCATGGTGGCGCATGCCTGTAATCCCAGCTACTTGGGAGCTGAGGCAGGAGAATCGCTTGAACCCGGGAGGCAGAGGTTGCAGTGAGCCGAGATCGCGCCACTGCACTCCAGCTTGGGTGACAGAGCAAGACTCCATCTCAAAAGAAGAAGAACAGAGATTTATTCAAGATTATTTATCTGGATTTAATCTGTTGACACAAATTCAAAATGCAAGTAACTACTTAAGGCTAGCCTGGTATTTCTCAAACCACTGAAGGCAGAGTTTTTAAAATTTCAAATCCAGGCCGGCCATGGTGGCTCATGCCTGTAATCCCGGCACTTTGGGAGGTCAAGGCAGGTGGATCACGAAGTCAGGAGATGGAGACCATCCTGGCTAATATGGTGAAACCCCATCTCTACTAAAAATACAAAAAATTAGCTGGGTGTGGTGGCATGCACCTATCTTCCCAGCTACTCAGGAGGCTGAGGCAGGAGAATTGCTCGAACCTCAGAAGCAGAGGTTGCAGTGAGCCAAGATCGTGCCAGTGCACTCTAGCCTGGGTGACAAAGCAAGACTCCATCTCAAAAAAAAAAAAAAAAAATTCCAATCCATTGTAGACTGATATGTTTGCAAGATGAAGTATTAAAAAATAAATAAAAACATCAGACATGTAAAATACAAGCTCATGTAATTTATTCAGCTGAATTACGTTTTAATAATATCAATACAATACAGGCTGGGCACGGTGGCTGATGCCTGTAATCCCAGCACTTTGGGAGGCCGAGGTGGTTGGATCACCTGAGGTTGGGAGTTCAAGACCAGCCTGGCCAACATAGCCTTGGCCTCCCAAAGTACTGGGATTACAGGCGTGAGCCACCACGCCCAGCCTAATTTTTTTTTTTTTTTTTTTAGTAGAGACAGGGTTTTGCCATGTTAGCCAGGCTGGTCTCAAACTCCTCACCTCAAGCGATCCACCCACCTCGGCCTCCCAAATTGCTGGGATTGCAGATGAGCCACCGTGCCCGGGCACAGCATCACTTTCAAGTGACAATATAAAGCTAAGCTTTGCTATGTTTTGATTTAATAATACTCTTAAGTAGAGAAACCATTGTTACCGAGATGTCGTGATGGGAATGGAAGAAGAGATCTTAAAAACAATTTCACCAAGTTCAGGATATGGACTTCCAATTGTATCCACAATAAAGCAAGTCTCTTTAATCCTTTATCTTTCAGCATTAGCCAATTGTAACAGTTTATGCCATGAAGAGTTAAATTATCTTTAGGTGAAGGAAATAGATTTGGTTCTATTACATTTCCTGTGTGTGGATCTCATTGGTTGAAAAATTAAATTTCAGAATGTTCTGTTTCATTTATAAGGTATTTGGTGATCATCTGTCGAAACTGTTCTTTGAAGCTTCTAACTTTTGTTTTAGCCTTTGTGTGTGTGTGTGTGTGTGTGTGTGTGTGTGTGTGTGTGTGTGTGTGACGGAGGCTTGCTCTGTCGCCCAGGCTGGAGTGCAGTGGTGCAATCTCAGCTCACTGCAACCTCTGCCACCCAGGTTCAAGCGATTCTCTTGTCTCAACCTCCTGAGTAGCTGGGATTACAGGCATGTGCCACCATGCCCGGCTAATTTTTGTATTTTTAATAGAGACAGGGTTTCAGGATCTTGGCCAGGCTGGTCTTGAACTCCTGACCTCGTGATCCACCCACCTCGGCCTCCCAAAGTGCTGGGATTACAGGCATGAACCACCGTGCCTGGCCTTGTTTTTGCCTTTTAATCTTACCTGTTGTTAAAAAGCCTGTTGCTTTCCTTCCTCGTAAGGAAGTATTAAGATAATTAAAAGTAACAAGTTGGCTAACAAGTTCACATCTTTTAAAAGTTGGAAACAAACTTGTTTCTTACCTTGCAGAAGCACTGAGTCTGTTCTGTAATTCAAATTTCTCCTCAGTACCATTGTTTTAATATGAACATTATTTTAACATTAATTCACTAACAGTATCCTTTTCTATTAGCACATAATAAAGACAATAATCATTAATATGTATTTGCATTCTCATGATTCTTATTATGACACTACACACATACTGTTTAGTTCAACTGACATTTTTTGTACCGAGATCACACACCAAGCAGTGTGTGATTTTCTTTCTGGTGCAAGCTGCTTAATCTGGGGAACTACTCCAGAATGTTTTCTTGTCATTGCAGCTGTGCTATCAGAACATTCTTGTATACAAAATTCCAGACCAGTTTTGTTGCCAACATAATTCTCATCGTTTTACCCAGTTCAGAACTAGTTGTGTTTGTTGGATGTAAAACTGAGAAAAAGAGTTAGTTCTTCCTTCACATCACCATCATCTTTGGATAGCACATTAGCAATATCTGTGCGCTTGTCAAGGTACAATGAAAAGCACTTTGCAAGTTTTTTTTTTTTGTAAATTGGTCTTCTGTATCATTAGTTTCCAAAGGTAGCAAGCTGTGCTTTCATTGGAAAGTGCAGATTTACCCTTTCATGTAAGTGATATTCACTTGTTCTTGACAATAGCATTTTCATTTTAGCAATCCAAAGTGCTGGGACAGGAAGCATGTAAAACATTTATGGATAAAATACTGATCATCTGCTTCTATTAGCCTTTAAAATGTAGTATCTTTCAAAGAATTCTCTCTGTTTTGAGCTTATGTCTGTACATTTGGTTTATAAATGCCCCTTAAATTTTGATGATTTTGTTGCTCCATTAACCAGTATATCTCTTCAGTTAACACACTGTGATGTTACACTTCACCATTAATTATGGCTACAATCCTGAACTCAGTATATGAGGGCTCAGCCCCACTCCTGAGTGAAAGTGGTGTGGCATCTTTTGGTCTTCATCTCTTTGGATTCACTTCCTTCACTGTCCTGTGGTTTACTATATTCAGAGGCATGTCTTTTCCACTGAAAAGATGCTGCAAAATCAACTGAAGCTTGTTTATCCATATGTAAATTTGGTTAAAAAGAATGTAAACTTCATTTCTCTAGTTTAACTCATGTTAAATTACAAATTTAAATACAGGCTTAAAATGAAAATGTTTGCAAAATTAAGTAGTTATAAAAATGAATAAACCCATGCATTTTCTCAGATTTTTGTATACATTTAGGTAGTTGGTAAAATAGGCATAGCATTTCCCACATAACTTGATTCTGCCATACCTGCCTAGTACATGTCATGCCATATACACCTCCCCATGTGAGCTTGACAGCACCTAGATAGGTTATTACTCTCTGTTCAGCAAGACAAATCACTGGTCGTGCACTTGCATGTCATGGCATTGTTGAATGTGTATAAAAGTTTTGTTTGTTTGTTTGTTTGTTTGTTTTTAAGCAGAGACAGCATCTTGCTATTTTGCCCAGGTTAGTCTTGAACTCCTGGGCTCAAGCAGTCCTCCCACCTCAGTGTCCCAAAGTGTTGGGATCACAGGCATGAGCCACCATGCCTGGCCTATACAACTTTCTAAACACTTATTCTCAATTTCTGAACTGACCCTGTCGTGGATTCATAACAAATAATTCATAGACCAGCACTGGTTTGTGGTTTTGCTCTGATAGGCATTTTGCTCTGACTGGATGATTGTATCATTCTTAGAAAGTTATAGGCTTTACATGCATTAAGTCCATAGAAAATAGCTAGTTTCACTGCATCTTTTTAAAGGATTTATTTGATACCTATTATATCACACAACAGGGCACATTACCCACTATTGACATATAATCCCATAATATAATATCAAGGTAAAAGGGGGAGGACTGATTGAGCCTGGGAAACAGAGGTTGCAGTGAGCCGCTATTGCACCATTGTACTCCAGCCTGAGTGACAGAGCAAGACCCCATCTCAGGGAAAAAACAAGAAATGCTGTAACTTTATATTTCATCGTATTGCACTCTAATTTTCAAAAGCTTGACAATGCATTCATTTATAGGCGTCTACTATTTTAACTAGAATTTCAGAACATTTAAAGTAGGCATGAGCTGTGCGTAAATGTTTCTGAGGTGTGAATTTACAAAAGTAGCTTATATTAGTGGAGCTGTAGAATATTGTTTTTTCTCCAGGAAGCCACCAGGAACCATATATTGTGTGCTGGAGCTTGTGGCTCTTTCCGAGCTCACAGTGTTGACAGCTGATGCATTTCAGTGCGTGTAACATCCCGTGTTTCTCAGCTGGCTCAATCGCATGTCAGTTTCTTCTGATTTGTGTAATGGATTAGTGAGAATAACCTCATGAAGCATCTGCATGTTGAATCTTAATGCACAAAGGCCCATGTAGCAGGCAGTATGTTCCTCAACAGCTGACTGAGGGCTCCAAGGAAGCTTTACTGACACCATGACTAGGTTTGTCGTGGCTCGTACCCTTTGAAACTGGGCACTTAAGGCCTAGTGTGTAAGAATCTAGTACATCAGTGCTTCTCACATTGTGATGAGGAAATACTCCTCCCACCCATCAGGTGGGGATCTATACTTTGTAAAATACAATTGAAACAAAGTACTAGAAAAATTCATTTTAAAAGATAAAAATATAAAATATAAAACATATGCCACATTTTTATTAATAGATTCAATCATAAAATTACATTTTAGTAAATTTACAACATGGGAAAGTTTTTCTTTTCCATTTCTGTATGTATTTCATCATGGACTAGTAAACAGTTCCAGGAGCAGCACCGGTCCGTGGAACCCACTCTGAGTAGCACTGTGGTAGTTACTGAGCCTTGTGTGCCAATCTGTCTGCGTTACTGGCAAGATTAGGTAGGGAGGTGTGGGTATCTCAGAGAGCTGGTAATGCTGTCAGCAGCAAAACTGCAAATGAAAGAGCATCCTGTGGGGCTGCTCCCTCCACAGATCTGAAATGTGTATGTCAGAGCCCATCTTGGCTGCTATAACTATGAAAAATTGAATTTTTATGAAATATATATCATATTCTTAATTCTGATAGTGAATTTTCTGTAGAGGAAGATTGCTTCTCTGAGTTCTGGGAACGTTCCTGGTTCCCTTCTTTAGCACTGTTGCATAGACCCTTTGTTTTTTTCATGTAACGTCCTTATGGAAGGAGATCTGGGCCTGCTATTCATTGTACTACAGCAGTCAAATAGGAGTTGGGGTGTTCTCCACCCAGATCTTCACACACATATAATATTCTGTGCCATTAGAAGGGAAAAAAGAGGCAGGCGCGGTGACTCTCACCTGTAATCCATACTTTGGGAGGTCGAGGCAGGTGGATCACTTGAGGTCAGGAGTTTGAGACCAGCCTGGCCAATGTGGTGAAACCCCATCTCTACTAAAAATACAAAAATTAGCCGGGTGTGGTGGTGGGTGCCTGTAATCCCAGCTACTCAGAAGGCTGAGGCAGGAGAATTGCTTAAACCTGGGAGGTTGGAGGTTGTGGTGAGCCGAGATCGGGCCACTGCACTCCAGCCTGAGCGACAGAGTGAGACTCTGTCTCAAAAAAAAAAAAAAAAGGGAGGGGGGTGGGGGTGAGATGTGGTGGAATGAGAATATTCAGTTACCAGGATGAACATTCAGAGGTCTGATTGAAATTATATGGATGAAATCACTAAGGAAAATTTCTGAGTAGTTCTTTTGGTGTGGCTTTTTGTGCCAAAATAAACTTTTAGGGCCTCCCTCCAGTACTAGGTATATGGGAGAGTTTCCAAAGCTGCCAAAACACAGAGCTGGAATGACTACAAGTGGGAATTGGAATGGCCTCTTGACACACCTTAGACTCCAACCCTTATTTCTTGAGTTTAGAGGCATTATAAAAAAATAAAAATGTGTCTTGAATTTGGTACAGTGTATTAATATAGAGACAGTAAATCTTCAGTGCCTTTATTTTATTTTTAATTTAATTTTTTGAGGCAGGGTCTCACTCTGTCACCCAGACTGGAGTGCAGTGGTGCAATCCTGGGCTCAAGCGATCCTCCCACCTCAGCCTCCTGAGTAGCCAAAGCTACAGGTGTGCACCATCATACCACCATGCCCAACTAATTTTGAAAATTTTTGTAGAGGTGAAGTCTCACTTTGTTGCCCAGGCTGGTCTCCAACTCCTGGACTCAAGTGGTCCTCCCGCCTTGGCCTCCCAAAGTGCTGGGATTACAGGCGTGAGTCACTGCACCCAACCCAGGCACTTCTTTTTTGCCACTGTCTCTCCTATCCCTTCCCTCTATATCTTCTGTAAATAAATTGTCCTGCATCCTTAACCTCCCCATCTTTCCCTTTGCAATCTTACCTCAATGAAACTCACCTCTTCCAGCACTGCTTTTTAATGGCAATTACTCATTCTCTCACAGCCCATATACCATGGAGTCCAAGAGAGTGGTAACAGCATTCTTTCTGCTTCCCCTTGCTGTTTTCAAGCTAATTCTTTTCCACCCCTATATTGTTTTATTATTTTCATTCTTAGAATTCTCTTGTTTGCATCTACTTACTCTCCCTCTGGCTGGGTGTTGTGTCTCAACCCTGTAAGTCCAGGACTTTGAGAGGTTGAAGCGGGAGGATAGCTTGAGACCGACCAGGAGATTGAGACCAGCCCGGGTAACATGGCAAGACTCTGTCACTACAAAAAATAACAAAAATTAGCTGGATGTGGTGGCACATGCCTTGTGGTCCCAGGTACATGGGAAGCTGAGGTGAGAAACTCACTTGAGCCTAGGAGTTCGAGGCTGCAATGAGCCATGATTGTGCTACTGCACTCCAGCCTGGGTAACAGAGCAAGACCGTGTCTCAAAAAACAAAAAAACCCGCAAATACTTAACTCTCCCTCTTCGGTTTGTAATTTGTGATTGTGAGCTTATTTTTTTTCTTTTTTTTTTCTTTTTTTTTTTTTTTGAGACAAGAGTCTCACTGTGTTGCCCAGGCTGGAGTGCAGTGGCTCGATCTCGGCTCACTGCAAGCTCCGCCTCCTGGGTTCACATCATTCTCCTGCCTCAGCCTCCCGAGTAGCTGGGACTACAGGCCTCTGCCGCCATGCCTGGCTAATTTTTTGTAGTTTTAGTAGAGACGGGGTTTCACCGTGTTAGCCAGGATAGTCTCGATCTCCTGACCTCGTGATCCACCCACCTCAGCCTCCCAAAGTGCTGGAATTACAGGCATGAGCCACCGCGCCCAGCCTTTGTGAGCTTATTTTCTGAACTCTTTTTTTTTTTTTTTAGATGGAGTCTTGCTCTGCCACCGAGGCTGGAGTGCAGTGCTGCGATCTCTCCTCACTGCAACCTCCGCCTCCTGGGTTCAAGTGATTCTCCTGCCTCAGTCTCCCAAGTAGCTGGGACTACAGGCGTGCCCAGCCTGATGGTACCTTTAATCTGTAATTCTCCCTTCGTCTCTCCATCCCTTGCAGTTTATTAAAGAAACCAGTTTTTTTTTTTTTTTGGTTTAGTAGAGTTTCCTACCATCTGGGAAATTGGGAGTTAGATAGTAGAGGCATGATTGGGGGTGAGGCTATTTATATTCAATGCCTAAATCAACACCTAATTTATTAGGTGTTGCAAAATGGTGCTATTCCATCATTCATTCTTCATGTGTTAGCTGCAATACTTGTATAAGAGGAAACCTCCTGGCTGGGTGCAGTGGCTCACACCTGTAATCCCAGCACTTGCTGAGGCGGGCAGATCACTTGAGGTCAGGAGTTCAAGACCAGCCTAGACAAAATGGTGAAACCCCGTCTCTACTAAAAATACAAAAATGAGCTGGGCATGGTGGTGTATGTCTGTAATCCCAGCTACTTGGGAGGCTGAGGCGGGAGAATCGCTTGAACCCAGGAGGCGGAGGTTGCAGTGAGCCAAGATCACGCTACTCTACTCCAGCCTGGGCAGCAGACCGTGACTCTGTCTAAAATTAAAAAAAAAAAAAAAAAAGAGGAAACATCCTTTTTGTCTACTGCTTGATTACCCAGTGATACAGTTTGTATAGAGAAGGCAGGTTATGTGCCTGGTTTTTTTCTCTTTATTTGCCAGTTTTGAAAATAATGAGTTGGTTCCCTAGCATTTCCCATGTTGACCAATTAGTTTGTATTATTAGAAAGTCATAGAATTTAAATGTGTTTGATGTGCTTCAATCCATTGTGGTTATTATTCTTATTGACACCCAGACTTCTCTGCCTTCTTCTAAGTCCTTTTCTCCTGACTTCCATCGCCTTCGATAGCTTCCTTGTTTGGTATGACCAGATGTTCTTGGTTCATCTTGTGCATTTCCTGTCCCCTACCTGAAACTAGCCATTTCTCTGAGCTCAGAGTCCTAGATTCTTTTAGGGGGAAATGGAATTAGAAGATCACAACCTAGATCTTATTGCTATAGATTGGTCATTGTTTGATATAGGAAACATCTTTTTTTTTTTTTTGAGATGGAGTTTTGCTCTTGTTGCCCAGGCTGGAGTGCAATGGTGTAATCTCAGCCCACTGCAACCTCCACCTCCCAGGTTCAAGTGATTCTCCTGCCTCAGCCTCCTGAGTAGCTGGGATTACAGGCCTGCGCCACCATGCCTGGCTAATTTTGTATTTTTAGTAGAAACGGGGTTTCTCCATGTTGGTCAGGCTGGTCTCGAACTCCTGACCTCAGGTGATCCACCCACCTTGGCCTCCCAACGTGCTGGGATTATAGGCATGAGCTACCAAGCCTGGCCTGAAATATCTTTTTTTAGGATAACAGTTCATGGTTATCTTTAAAACATTCCCAATTCAAATTCAGGACTTCAGAGTGTTTATTTTATCTCCTATATCTTATCCCTTTTCTTCTACACCAGGAGTTTTAGGTCTCAAGGATGTTAGATGATAGTATTAGCATATCACGTAATTAGTCATTTACTTAATTCCTCATTTTACAAAGTGAGACTTTCTCCCGTGCACCAAGAGCCCCAACGAGACAAAAAAGTGTCCTGGTTACTTTCTCACAACTCTTTTTTCTTTATCTTCACATTCCTAATCCAATTGGTGATTAAGTCCTATTGATTTTACTTTAATGTTTCTCATCTCCACCCCTTCCCTCCACCTTTTCTCTGTGCGTTGATTTAGGCCTTCATTGTTCTTCTAGGTTTCCTATCCTTCCATTCTGCTGTGCATGTGGCTATGAGGGTATAGTGTAAAGTGCTTTTTGCCTGCATAGGACAGTCAGAATTCCTGTAAGTCTCTCCATGATTTGTCTTCTGTCTACCTCTCCTTCCTTGATACACTATACTCCAGGCATTGGAAGTAACCTGCAGTTTGCCAGACTTTTCATGTTCCTCTGCCTTTGCTCAGCTACTTACTCATTGGGTCTCATATGCCCTTTCCTCTCCCATGATAAATTTTTCCCAACATTTTATTATGAAAATATGAAACATACAGAAAACTTTAAAGAATTTTCTAGAGAATGCCTGTATATCCACCACTCAGATTCTACCATTAACATTTCACTTGTACTTGCATTTTTATTTGCTATACAATTATCTACCCCTGTATCCATCACTAAAAACTTTCTCCTAAGTACTTTAGCATGCATATCATTAGTTCATTATTTGACACATTTTCTTTTGAGCCAAAATACACATACAATGAAATACACAGATTTGAAATGTATATTCTCTGAATTTTAATGAACATGTACGCCTAAGTAAGCCAAAACTCTGTCAAGTTATATAGGGTGGTGGCTTTGCCTACCAGGGAACATTTGACAATGGTCTGGAAATAGTCTTGGTGTCACAACTGGGCAGGGTCGCGATAGGTTAGTAGTGACATCTAGCAGGTAGAGTCCAGGGACAGCTACAGTGACAGTTCTGTCTCGATAGTGCCACTGTTGATGAGCTTTGATACTTTGCTACTACATTACTACAACCCTAAAGGTTTCATCATGCCTCTTGCCAATCAGTTCCCTACCCCGCAACCTCCTAGAGATAACCATTGTGATTCTTTTGTTCTACTACAGTTTTCCTTGTTCTAGAAGATCATATAAATGGAATCAAACATTGTATACTTCATGGCAGTATTGCCTAAAAAGGGAAACATTGCCTGTAACTCTTCAGGGAATGCAAAGTTTTTCCATGGATTATAAAAGAAATCCCTTGGAGGGTTTCACATAAAGGACACAGAGATATGTAGATAATATTTTCAGCAACATTGCCAGAGCAAATTAAGCAAAGGCATTCGTATGACCATTTCCTTTTGAAATTACTAAGACATAATGCTGACATGAAACTCACTGCAAGCGCTTTTACATAGGAGAGACATACTGTCCAAAGACATAGCTTTCTGGTGGTCTGGGTTGATTTAAGAGTCAAACCTAGAGAAATGAATGGTTGGGATGATCTTCACTTTCCACAAAGGGCACTTTTCTCAGCCAGGTGTCAGTAACACATGCACAGCATCCATTTCAAGGTGCTTTCTTGCTTCAGTGCAGGTAACCTATGGTGTCAGTTAAGGCGAAAGCCACCAAATTTGGAGATCAAATAAGAGGTAACTGAGAAAATATATGTCGTGTTAATGTTAGCTGTGCAATTTTTTCTCAAAGGTGGTATAAGAGAATATCTGAAGGCAAAGGAAGATTCTTTAAAAACCAACAAAACAGGCGGGACGCGGTGGCTCCCATCTGTAATCCCAGCACTTTGGGAGGCTGAGGCAGGCAGATCACTTGAGGCCAAGAGTTCAAGACCAGCCTGGCCAACATGGTGAAACCCCATCTCTACTAAAAATACAAAAGTAATCCAGGTGTGATGGTACGTGATTGTAATCCCAGCTACTCCGGAGGCTGAGGCACAAGAATTGCTTGAATCCAGGAGATGAAGGTTGCAGTGATCGCGCCACTGCACTCCAGCTTGGGTGACAGAGCGAGACCCTTTCTCAAAAAATAAATAAGTAAAAATAAATAATAAACTAAAACAACAGCATAGCTGTGGTTCCACTCCAAGAGAAGCTCAGGTCCCCATAGTCCTACACTACCTGTTCATCCTTAACGGCTCTGATGGCTAATAGTCATATGTTTATTAGTCATTGATTAATGGATTGATGGATTTATCAAAGGTTACTTGTTGATGTCATTCAGTCTCTTGACTTTAAATACCAAGCTATATGCTGACCACTCCAAAATTTTTATTTCTAACTTAACTTGCAAATTCATATATCCATTTGCCTCTCTGACATTTCCACTTAAAAGGTAGTTCAACTTGTGTCCAAAACTGAATTCCTGATCCTGAATTCCTGGTCTCTGAAGCCTTTTCTTTCCTAACTCAGAAAATAGCAACTTTTCTTCCCAGCTAGTAAAGTCAGAAACCTCTGTGTCATCTTAGACCATTTTCTTGCCTCATGCTGCACATCCAGTCTGCGAGCAAGTCTTGGTGGCTCTACCTTCAAAATATATCCTGGGCCTAACCAGTTTTCACCACCTCCACTGCGGTCATCTTGTTCTAAGCTACCATGCTCTCTGCTGGGATCATTGCAGTAGCAGACTGAGTTTATTTCCATCCTTCTTCCTCATAGTCTATTTTCAATACTACAGCCAGAGTGACCTTTTAAAAATATAAACAGTGGCCAGGCCGGGCGCGGTGGCTCATGCCTGTAATCCCAGCACTTTGGGAAGTAGAGGCGGGCAGATCACAAGGTCAGGAGATCGAGACCATCCTGGCTGACACAGTGAAACTCTGTCTCTACTAAAACTACAAAAAAATTAGCCAGGTGGCCAAAACCACCCCTTGGATGCCCATTTTGTTCAGAGTCAAAGTCATCATCATGGCCTAAAGACCCCATGATCTACTGCTACCCTTGCCCTGGTGTTTTTTTTCTTGTGGCTCCTGTTACTCTTCCCTTCTTACATTTGCTTGCTCTGTTCCATGCATCCTGGCTTCCTGGCTGTACCTCACACCCGCCGGGCATGCATGACTTGCTTTCTCACCTCAGCGAGGCCTCCTCACCTCACCACCCGACTTCAAATTTTGAATATAAGTTTAGATTGCAGTTCCTTCAACCCTGTACTCATCTTTCCCTGCTTTGTTTCTGTTTGCTTTTCTGCTCGTCTCTCTCTCCATGAGAGGGTAGACACCATGAGGACATACAATGTTGTCTATTTTGTTTATTGTGTTCCCATCACCTGATACCATGCCCGACAAATGCTGGGCACTCAATAAGTATTTTTTAAATAAATGTTTGGGTCTCTCCCACCTGCTGGACCCTGCTACACACTGGGGACTCACTGCTGAATGATCCTTCTCCTCCTGGAGCATAGACTGGTATAGGAGACACCGTTATTGATTAACATATAGATTCGTGTACATAATTTGAGATAGAAGCTCTTGAGAAAGGAGCTTTGGTTGTAGGAGAGGATAAAATAGAAAGCTAACAGGAGGAGTGGGGAGGCTCCTTCTTGGCCAGGTGTCAAAAGCTGGGATCTGAAAGATGAGAATTAAGTAGCTTCTGTGGTGTCGTGTCCTTTCTCTTTCCTACACTGTTTTTCTCTCTTTTAAAAATTAAAGATGGGCCAGGCACGGTGGTATGCGCCTGCAGTCCCAGCTTCTTGGGAGGCTGAGGTGAGAGGATTGCTTGAGCCCAGGGGTTCAAGGCCAGCCTGGGCAACATAGTCCCTGTTTTTAGAAAAAAAAAAAGACAGAAAGGAAGAGAGGGAGGGAGGAAGAAAAGAAGGGAGAGAAGGAAGAAAGGAGAAAGGAAAGAGAAAGAGAAAAAGGAGAAGGAAAGAAAGAAGAAAGAAAGAAAGTTAAATATGGGTCTTTCTACACATTGACCACTTTTATTAATCTTTGATTTGTACTATTTTTGTTTCCTTTTTCATAGACTGCTTCTCTTACATTTATTAGTATCTTTTACTTTGGGGGGGGTTTAACTGGCTGTTATTTTTGTAACTTTTTGAGATTGATACTTAGAGCACTAATGCATGAAGTTATGGTTATAATTTCTCTCTAAACACAGTGTTAGCTACATCCTACAGGTGTTGATAGTAGTATTTTTAGTAGGCATTTTATAGACCTTTTATATGTTCAATTTAATTATGAATATATTTGGATTTAAAGCTAACGTCTTAGGATTCCTATTTCCCCTACCAGTGCCATGTTCATTTTTCTCTTTCCTTGCCTTCTTTTGGATTAATCAAACATCTTATTCCATTTCCCCCCACTGTATTATCTTATTCATATACATTAATTTACCTTTTAGAGACAAGGTCTTGCTGTGTCACCCAGGTTGGAGTGCAGTGGCGAGATCATAGCTCACTGCAGCCTTGAACTCCTGGCCTCAAGCAATCTTCCCACTTCACCTTCTCAAGTAGTTGAGATTACAGGTGCGTGCCACCATGCTCAACTAATTAAAAAAATTTTTGGCCGGGCACGATGGCTCACGCCTGCAATCCCAACACTTTGGGAGGCCAAGATAAGTGGATCATGAGGTCAGGAACTCAAGACCATCCTGGCCAAAATGGTGAAACCCCGTCTCTACTAAAAATACAAAAAATTAGCCGGGCGTGGTGGCGGGCGCCTGTAGTCCCAGCTACTCTGGAGGCTGAGGCAGGAGAATGGCATGAACCCGGGAGGCGGAGCTTGCAGTGAGCGGAGATCATGCCACTGCACTCCAGCCTGGGCGACAGAGCGAGACTCCATCTCAAAAAAAAAAAAAAAATTTTTTTTAGAGACGGGTCTCACGGTGTTACCCAGGCTGGTTTCAAACTCCTGGCCTCGGGGATTCTTCAACCTTGGCCTCCCAACGTGCTGTGATTACAGGCATGAGCCACCTCATTTCTTTTAAATCATTACCCTGCAGGTTATACCATGCATCCTTGGTTTATTGAACTCTAATATAAATTAATAGTTGTATCACTTTTCTGTCAGTGCGTGGACCTTTGGATATTTAGGCTTCATTTACCAATCACGTACCTTTTTTGTCATTATTGTCATTTATTTTAATTCTGCATATTTTTGACTCCACAAGACATTTTGTTTGACATAGTATTCATTTAGTCTCCCTCGTATTTCTCCTTTCAATCGTTATTTCCCCCTCTATCTTTGCAGTGCTTCTGTCTAGGATCATGTTCCTTTTTTTTTTTTTTCTTGAGACAGAGTCTTGCTCTGTCACCCAGGCTAGAGTGCAGTGCAGTCGCGCAATCTTGGCTGACCGCAACCTCTGCCTCCTGGGTTCAAGTGATTCTCCTGCCTCAGCCTCCCGAGTAGCTGGGATTACAGATGTGCTGCACCACCACTTCTGGCTAATTTTTGTATTTTTACTAGAGACGGGGCTTTGCCACATTGGCCAGGCTGGACTCTAACTCTTGGCCTCAGGTGATCTGCCCGCCTCAGCCTCCCAAAGTGCTGGGATTACAGGCGTGAGCCACTGCGCCTGGCCAGATCATGTTTCTTTTGCCTGAAGAACTTCCTTTGGCGTGAACAAATTCAGTTTTTATTCATCTGGAGAAGAAATTGTTTTTAACCTTCATTTTCAGCCGAAATGTACACTTGCACCTGGAATTGTGGATTGGCAGTTGATTGTCTTTTGGCTTTCTTTCCTTCTGTTGGTATTAGCTGTCAGTCTTAGTTTTGCTGCTTTAAGAGTGCTGTGTTCTTCCCTGCCTTCTCTGGCAGCTTTTAAAGATGGCTAATTTTCTTTCGTTTTCAGAAAGTTTACTGTGATGTGCTTGCAAAAGTATTTACGTGTCCTGCTTGGGGTTCAACTCTTCTTGAATCTGTGGCTTAGTGTGTCTTTCTTCAGTTTTGGAAAAATTTTAACCATTATCTCTCTCTCTCTCCAAATTTTGCTTTTGTCCTATTCTTCCCCTGTTTTTGCTGATGATAAAGTAGAGCATTTGATCATAGGAAAGGTAACTGAGTTGGAGTTATTAAGGACATAATTGATGTGCTTGTTCGTCTGTGTGAGGCTGACATCTCTTAAAAAGATGATAGGAGCAGGGTGCAATGGCACTTTGGGAGGCCAAGGCAGGTGAATCGCTTGAGCCCTGACGTTCAAGACCAGCCTGGGCAACATAGCAAGACCCTGTCTCTCAACAAATCACAAAAATTAGCCGGGTGTTGTGGTGCATGCCTGTAATTCCAGCTACTTGGGAGGCTGAGGCAGGAGGATCACACTTGAGCCTGGGGAGGTCGAGGCTGCAGTGAGTTGTGATTGCACCACTGCACTCCAGCCTAGGCGATAGAGACCCTGTCTCAAAAAGAAAAAAAAAAAGATGATAGTAATTGGGGAGGAGAGAAAGACTGATAAGCAAGGAGTGAAACAGCTTCCTTGAATGAGAGCGTGTGAGGGAGTGACTCCAAGTGTGATTATGAGGTTGGCAGGTGGCAACAGAGAGCAGTGGCTGGAGCATATGTAGTTATATGGAAACACACCTCCAAGAAGCAGGAAGATTTGCAAGAGGGAAAGAGAAGCAAACTCCTGACAGCAAAAATGAAAAGGAAGGACGGTATTTTCCTTCCTGGCCTTGACAAATTAAGAGTGTGAGACCAAAAAGTGTTTCCAGCTGAATGGGCTGCAAGAGAATTCATATTGTCAGGGAAGAGCGAAAGAAGGCAGAAATATTTTTCTAAAGTTAATAGCTTATTGATCAATGAGCAGGGATTTCAGAGGACAGAGCTGAGAGGTTTTGGACAGGAAAGGAATGAGACATTAGATTTTAATGAAAAGTACAGAGCAGTGTGGGTTCATGTGATGATCGGTGACTTAGGAAGCCTCACCTTCTGGCAGTGACAGGTAGAAGGGATGCTTCGAAGCTAATGGGATCGGTCTTGCTAGTTTCTGAGATATGGGTGGGTAGTTGGATTTCTACTCTGATTACAAAGTCTTCCCCTTCCAGTATAGCAGTGCATGAGGTGGTACCACCCTAAGGTTTTAATGTGTTGAGACTTAAAGCCTGTAGCAGAGGGTGATCTAGCCGGGGTAGGCTTCCCAGTAAGGAATGTGAGATCAGTATGTTCTAATATCTTCATACATGGCTTACTGAGGCTGGGCATATCAGCTTCCCAAGGTTTTTCAAGGTTTTGAGATTGTAAAACCCAAAGCTAGACCCTGGACCAGGTTCAATGCACCAAGTTAAACACCCATTGTGAGGCCTTTAGTGGCCAATCAGCCACTTAGCAGCAAACTCGTCTTTGCCTTCTGTTAATCTGGACGCTGACTTTTCATCCTAGAATGGCACACTCTATTGATAGTGACATTATACTGCAGTTAGCCAGCTTTTTCTGTTAAGAGCCAGAAAGCAAATACTTTAGGCTTCACGGGCCATAGGATCGTTGCCAAACTAACTACATGACTATTCTATAATATTATAGTTTGAAAGCAGCCAGAGTAATACAAATGTAAATGGCTGTTTTCTGATTAAACTTTATTTACAAAAACAAGCAGTGGGCTAGATTTGGCCATGAGTTGTAGTTTGCCAACCTCTAGCCAAGTAAAACCTCCAGGGTATTCCTCACTGGAACCACTGTTAGACTTTGACAGTACACTTCATGGTAAACTTTTTATGTGACACGTGGTCTTCAAATTGGGTGAAAATCTATCTAGTAATTTTTGCAGATGTGGTAACAAATGATGAAGTGCTTAGTTTTTATTTATATGGAATATAAATATTTGTTACTCTGTATTCTATGAATCTTTTTCTCAGCATTTGATACAGAATATTGTGTTCTTCCTTAGATTCTCCTGTACCTTCCTGTTACCGTTCTCTCTCCTGGTTCTCCCCCGCTTCCAGCTGTTTTCCATCACCTTCATGGGTGCTTTCCCTCCTGGTTGGTCCTTTGCTTAACTTGTGGTGTTCCCTAGTACTCCATCCGTAATCTTCCCTTTCCCTCATATTCTCCCTGAACACTCTTCTTCATGGCTATCATGTTTAGAACCATACTTCTAAATCTGCATTTCAGATCCATCTAGAAACCTTCAGGTTTTTATTTTGGGCTGCTTATTGGATGGAGTTATCTGTGTGACTTGGAGGTATGTGAAAAGTCAACATGTCAAAACTCAACTCAGTCATCTGTTCTTCCTCCTGTGTTCTTTGTCCCTTGAATGGCCTCACTATCTATTCAGTCATCCTGGAAACCCGGGAGTCAGTCATTCTTCCTCAATTCAGCCAGTTGTCAGATCCTGTCAGTCTTACTTCTTCAATCTTCGGATCCATCTTCAGTGCTCTAAACTGTTACAGTCTCCGAGTTGGTCTCACTCTTTCCAGTTCTGACCCCTTCAATCTGTGTTGTATACCAATGCCACAGTGACTGTTAACCCCTCAGGCAGAATTCAGCCTCTTCATTTGAGTCCATAGGTACTTGGTGTATTTAGTACATTATATTATGTTTCAGAGTATGATGTTTTTCCCTGTTCTTTAAGCTTCTTGAGGGTAGGGGCTGTCATTCAGTCACAAGAAATAGGTGTTGGAAGCAGTAAGGGCTTTGAGGTTCTCTATATGTTAGGTTGGTGCAAAACTTCAAAGCCTTTACTGCTTGTAACACCTATTGCTTATTATATAGGATTTGATAAAATTTGAGTAAGTGCATTTTAGATTCCAAGATAAACATAATAGATTTAATGCACGTGCTTATTTCTATACCCTTAGGAAACCCCAAGGAAATGAGAGTAAAGGAATACAAGAAATTGTATAAAACCACAGGACAAAAAGAATGAGAAAATAGGCAGAGTCCAAGAACACTGGCAGCCAAGCGTCTTCATTCCAATCTGTACCCTAGAAGTAGGAGGCTGGTGGAAATGATTTTTCTGAGAGAAATATTTTTTTCTAGAAAAAAATATGTACAGATATTGACCTTTGGGGACCACTAATGATATAATTAACTCTGCTTAATTATTCACCTATGGTAACATCTGTAATTATTCACCTATGGTAACATATGTTGGGTGTTGACAAAGCCACACTCAATAAGAATTCTATTCTGCCTTTAAATTTTAATGAATTATTATTATTATTATTATTATTATTATTTGAGACAGAGTCTCACTCTGTTGCCCAGGCTGGAGTGAAGTGGCACCATCTTGGCTCACTGCAACCTCCGCCTCCTGGGTTCAGGCGATTCTCCTGCCTCTGCCTCCAGGGTAGCTGGGACTACAGGCACCCGCCACCACGCCCAGCTAATTTTTGTAGTTTTAGTAGAGACGGGGTTTCACCATATTGGCCAGGCTGGTCTTGAACTCCTGACCTTGTGATCTGCCCGCCTCAGCCTCCCAAAGTGCTGGGATTATATGCATGAGCCACCACACTTAGCCTAATTAATTTTTAAGCTTCAAGGGAACACTTACATACTGCTGGTGAGAATGTAAATTAATACAACCTCTTTGGAAAACAGTATGGAGATTTCTTAAAGAACTAAAAGTAGAACTAACTACCATTTGATCCAGCAGTCCCACTCCTGGGTATCTACCCAGAGGAAAAGAAGTCATTCTATGAAAAAGACACCTGCACATGCATGTTTATAGCAGCACAATTCACAATTGCAAAGACATGGCACAAGCCTAAGTGCCCACTGGACCAATGAGTGAATACAGAAAATGTGGTATATATACATCAGGGAATACTACTCAGCCATAAAAAGGAATAAAGTAATGGCTTTTGCAGCAACTTGGATGGAGCTGGAGGCCATTATCCTCAGTGAAGTAACTCAGGAAGGGAAAACCAAAAACAATATGTTCTCACTTATAAGTGGGAGCTAAGCTATGAGTACTCAAAGGCAAACAGTATATATACTAGATATACTAGACTGTGGAGATTCAGAAGTGGGAGGTTGGAAGAAAGGTGAGGGATAATACACATATAGTGTGGCCAGGCATGGTGGCTCACGCCTGTAATCCTTGCACCTTGGGGGGCTGAGAAGGGCAGATCACTTGAGGCCAGGAGTTCAAGACCAGCCTGGCCAACATGGTGAAACCCCATCTCTACTAAAAGTACGAAAAATTGCTGGGCATAGTAGTGGGTGCCTGTAGTCCCAGCTACTTGGGAGGCTGAGGCAGGAGAATCATTTGAACCTGGAAGACAAAGGTTGCAGTGAGCCAAGATCGTGCCACTGCACTCCAGCCTGGGCAACAAGAGTGAGATGGTGTCTCAAAAAAAGGAAAAAAAAAAATCATAATGGGTACAATGTACACTAATTGGGTGACAAGTGTACTAAAATCCCAGAATTCACTATATGTAGGATGGATATGGATTCACTATATATAGTGGATTCTGGGATTTTATATATTGTATAATTCATCCATGTCAACCAATAACCTCTTGTACCTGTGAGAAACAAACTCATCTGTCCAAACCCAAAGAATGGACTCAGAGACCAGGAGAACAGCGAAAAGTGAGACTTTGAATGGCAGCCTTGCAAGATAAGGTGTCTGGTGGACAGGCACACCCAGCACAGTCACAACAAGCCATTTATCCCCTCGTGTGCAGGTCCCTCCCCCAGTTGCTCATTGGCTGAGTACTGCAGGTTTACAATCTTCCCAGACTTCGCCTATTGGTAGTTGGATTAAGATTTCAAGTATGTTCTTTAGGATCTTTCTGCTGCATTTTATTGTAGCCCACCATGCATTGCAACAGTCTCAGCACTCTCCAAACATTTGTCTTTTGGCCCTAGTGGCTGCACTTAGCTGATAAGAAAGGGTACAATTATTTATGTTGCAAGATAGCCTAAACTAAATTATTTGGTGGGGTGGGGAGAGGGTAGTTAAGGGGGCCCCAACTGATAGGCGCCTGGCTGCTGGGTGAAAGGGGAGGCAGGAAGGAGGAGGGAGCGGTGTTGGCTCAGTACACTCTGCTTCTTTATCTCTTTATTTCCGTGAAGGCTGTTTAAACCTATAGTAAGGCACTTAGAATTGAAAGTGGACTGCCACATATAGGTTATTTTCTACATGCCCCAAGAACTATTGAATTTTTTTTTAATGGGAAGAAAATTTTAAGCTTCTATACAGTGATATTCACTATTTGGTTTATAGTTTGTTGAGTTTAGAGAAACATGTATAGTCATGTAGCCACTATTAGCATCAACATCAAAACAATCCCTACCCCTACCTTTTTTCCTTCTTTTTTTTTTTTTTTTTTTTCAGATGGGGTCTCACTGTGATACCCAGGCTGGTCTTGAACTCCTGGGATCAAGAGATCCTCTCACCTCAGCTTCCCTGATAGCTGGGATTACAGGCATGTGCTCCTGGCATAGAACAATTCCCTTTTGTAGTCAGGCTTTCCCCATCCCTAACTCCTGGCATGTGTTTATTCTCTACCCTCATAGTTTTACCTTTTCCAGAATATCACTTAAATGGAATTTTATACTGTCTAGTCTTTGAGTCTCACTTTGTTCACATGTATTTGAGATTTATCCGTGTTGTTTCATGTATCACCAAATGAAACAATTCCTTTTTATTGCTGAGTGATAGTCCATGGTATGTACCAGTGTATTCATCCATTCACCCATTGAAGGACAATTGTGTTGCTTACGTGTGGGACAATTATAAATAAAGCTACTCTACGTTTCCAAACAGGTTTTTGGGTGAGCATAAATTTTTGCTTCTCTTGAGTAAATGGGGTGGAGAGGGTGAGGATTGCTGGGTCATATGATAAGTATATGTTTAACTTCATAGGAAACTCCCAATTTGATTTCCATACTATTTTGTGTGACCACCAGCAATGTGTGAGAGTTTCAGTTGCTCCACATCCTCACCAGTACTTGGGTATTTATTTTGTTATGTTTATTTGCTCTTCTGGTAGGTGTGTAGTGGTGTATCATTGGGATTCTCATTTGTATTTCTCTAATAACTAAAGATAATGGGCATCTTTCCATGTGCTTATATGCCATCTATATATATTTGGTGACTTGTTTGTTTAAATCTTTTGCCTTTAAACAAATTAGATTGTTTGTTTCCTTATGGTTCAGTTTTTAAGAGTTTTTGAAAAAAGAGGGCTGGGCATGGTAGCTCACGCCTGTAATCCCAGCACTTTGGAAGGCTGAGGCAGACGCATCACCTGAGGTCAGGAGTTCAAGACCAGCCTGGCCAACATGGTGAAACCTCATCTCTACTAGAAATACCAAAAAAAATTAGCTGGGTGTGGTGGGAGGCACCTGTAATCCACCTATTCAGGAGGGTGAGGTGGGAGAATAGCTTGAACCCTGGAGGCAGAGGTTGCAGTGAGCCGAGATCGCGCCACTGCACTGTAGCCTGGGTGACAGGGAGACTCTGTCTCAAAAAATAAAATAAAAATCAGTTGTGTCTGTTTCTGAGCTCTGTATTCTTCTCTGCTGATCATTGTGTCTGTCCTTTCACCACTACCACACTGTCTTGATTACAGTAGCTTTACAACATCTTGAAGTTAGTATGTGTTCACCAACTTTATTTTTCAAAACTGTTTCGGCTTTTCTAGTTTCTTCACTTTTCTGTGTAACATTTGTCACTATCCACAAAAAAATGCTACTGATATATATATATATGTATGTGTGTGTGTGTATGTGTGTGTGTGTATATATATATATATATATATGGTTTTTTTTAACTTTACTTTTAAAAATTTTTTTTTGTAGAGACAGGTTCTCCTGGGCTCAAGTGATCCTCCTGCCTTGGCCTCCCAAAGTGCTGGGATTGTAGTTGTGAGCCACCATGCCTGACCCCTACTGATATTTTGGTTAGCTTGCATTGAGTGCAGAGATCAATCTGAGGATAATTAATATCCTAAAAATATTTAGTCTTCCAATCCACAAACATAATATCTCTATGTATATAGGTTGTCTTTATTTTTATCAGTTTTATAATTTTCAGCTTATAAATACTACACGTATTTTGTTAGATATGTGCCTATGTATTTGTCTGTGTGTGCTATTATAAATTATATTACAAATATTTTTATTTCTAATAGTTCATTACTAGAATAAAGAAACATAATTTTGATTTTTGTATATTGGTCTTGTGCCGGGTAACCTTATAAACTTCTTAATTCTAGAAGCTCTTTTGCATTTTCCTTATGTGGAAATGAGACCACTCAAATGAGGATGAGTAAAGCTATTATTCAGAGCTTGCTATAGGAAGGTCATCAGTCACTACTATTTGCATTTGGCATAGACTCAAATGGGATTCTTAAAGAGGAGTGTAAAAGCTTTAGAGTGGAAGAAAGAAAAGACTTCAGGTGTGCCCTGACTGGAAGTTGTTGGCGTGGAGGAGCTGGAAGCAAGGCTCGCTAGAAGTGAGTCCTCCTGAGTGAGTGGTTAGGGGAGCGTATTTGGCTTGCTGTGCTTGTTCCTAAATTGGAAACAGCAAAAATTAGGGAAGCATGCAGTTATTGATCAAGCATTGGCTGTTTGGAACTGATTGCTACAGCGGTTGTAGTTTGGCTTCCTTGGTTGGTGGCTGCAGAAATTGTGGGTCAGAGTTCTGTATGTATATATGGTTTAGGCATCGTCCATTTTTGTATTCAGTCTCACTTGGGATTTTCTATATAGACAATTGTGCCATCTACAAATTGAGTTTTATTCCTTCTTTTCTGATCTGTATGCCTTTGATTTTTTTTTCTTCCTTTATTTTACTGGCTAAGGTCTTTCAGTACAATGTTGAGTAGGAGTGGTGAGAGCAGACATCCTTGCCTTCTTCCTATCTTAGGGAGAAAGAATTTCGTCTTTCCCCATTGAATGTGATGTTAACTGTAGGAGTATTTTAGATGACCTTTATCAAATCAAGGAAAATTGCCTCTCTTCCTAGCTTGCAGAGAAATTTAATCATGAATAGATTTTGTATTTTGTCAAATATATTATCTGCATCTATTGAGATGATCATATGGTTTTTCTTCAGTCTGTTAACATGATGAATTACGCTGATTGGTTTTTAAATGTCAGACCTGCCTTGCATTTCCAAAATTAATCCCACTTGGTCATGATATATTATCCTTTCTGTATATTGCTGGATTTGATTTACCATATTTTGTTGAGGGGTTTTAAGAGTCTATTTTCATGAATGATATTGGTCTGTGGTGGTTTTTTTTTTCCTTTTTTTCTTTTAATGCTTTTATATGGTTTTGATGTCAGGGTAAAGCTAGCCTTACAAAATGAGTTAAGAAGTGTTCCCTCCTCTTCTGTTTTCTGGAAGAGATTGTGTACAATTGGTATTACTTCGTATATATTTGGTAGAATTTGCCAGTGAAACCATCTGGACCTGCAGTTTTTGTTTTCTTTCAAGATTTTTAACTAGTAATAGGAATATTCAGATTCTGTATTTCTTGAGTGAGTTTTGATATTTGTGAATTTCAAAGTATTGGTCCTTTTCATCTAAGTTGTCAAATTTATGGGCATAGAGTTCCTTTATTATCCTCTTAATGTATATAACTGTGTCTAGTGATATCCCTTCTTTCATTTCTGATATTAATACTTTGTATCTTGTTTTTTTATTCTTTTGTCAGAGGTTTATCAATAAAGGTTAGCTAGAGGTTTATTGATTTTCTTTTTCTTTTTTTGAGATGCAGTCTCGCTCTGTGTCCCAAGCTGGAGTGCCGTGGGGTGATCTCGGCTCACTGCAACCTCTGCCTCCCAGGTTCAAGGAATTCTCATGCCTTGACCTGCAGAATAGCTGGGATTACAGACATCCACCACCATGCCCGGCTACTTTTTATATTTTTAGTAGAGACAGGGTTTCACCATGTTGGCCAGGCTGGTCTCAAACTCCTGACCTCAGGTGATCCCTGGCCTCAGCCTCCTAAAGAGCTGGAATTGCAGGCATGAGCCACCATGCCCAGCCCATTTATTGATTTTCTTGATCATTTCAAAGAACCAGCCTTTGGTTTCATTTATTTTCTCTATTGTTTTTCTGTTTTAAATTTCATTAATTTCTGCTCTAAGTTTTGTTTTGCTTTCCTTCGTTCTGCTTGCTTTAGATCTAAATTGTTCTTTGGGTTTGTTGTTGTTGTTGTTTTGAGGCAGGGTATCATGCTGTTGCCCAGGCTGGAGTGCAGTGGCACGAACTCAGCTCATGGCAACCTCTGCCTCCCGGGTTCCAGTAATTCTCCTGCCTCAGCCTCCCAACCAGCTGACATTACAGGCACCCGCCACCACCTCCAGCTAATTTTTGTATTTTTGGTAGAGACAGGGTTTCACCATGTTGGCCAGGCTGGTCTCGAACATCTGAGCTCAAGTGATCCATCCACCTTGGCCTCCCAGAGTGCTGAGATTACAGGGTGAGCCACTACACCTGGCCTGTTCTTTTTGTCATTTTTTAAGGTGGTAGCTTGGAGTAATAATTTTAAACTTTCCTTTCTAATATAAGCATTTTAATGCTATAAATTTCTCTCTCAGCACTACTTTAGCTGCATAACACCAATTTTAATTTGTTATATTTTTATTCAGTTCAAAATTTGTTATTTCCTTGAGACTTCCTCTTTGATCCATGAATCTATTGTTCAGTTTTCAAAGAGTTGAACATTTTGAAGATATCTTTCTGTATGAGTTCTAGTTTAATTCTATTATGGTCAGAGGACATACTTTGTACAATTTCAGTTATTTTAAACTTGAAGTTTGTTTATGATATGTTTATGTTTTGTTTACGATGTGGTCTATCTTGATGAAACTTCCATGTGTATTTGTAAGGAATGTGTGTGCAGCTGGGCGCAGTGGCTCATGCCTGTAATCCCAGCACTTTGGGAGGCCAAGGCGGGTGGATCACGAGGTCAGGAGTTCAAGACCAGCCTGGCCAAGATGATGAAACCCCATGTCTACTAAAAATACAAAAATTAGCCAGGCACAATGGCAGGTGCCTGTAATCCCAGCTACTCGGGAGGCTGAGGCAGGAGAATTGCTTGAACCCAAGGGATGGAGGTTGCAGTGAGCCGAGATCGCGCCACTGCACTCCAGCCTGGGCAACAGAATAAGACTTCGTCTCAAAAAAAAAAAAAAAAAAAAAAAGTGTGTCGGCTGTTGTTGGGCAGAATATTTTGTAAATGTCAGATCAGGTTGCTTGATGGTTCTCTTCAGACCTGTATCCTTTCTGATCTTCTGCCCACCTGTTCTGTCCATTACTGAGAGAGAGAGAGATTGAAGTCTTTAAGTATAATTGTGGATTTATTCTTTCTTTCAGTTTTGTTAGTTTTTGTTTCATTTATTTGGGAGTTCTCTTATTAGATTTCTGTATATTTAGGATTGTTTTATCCTTTTGGTTAATTGATCCTTTTACCGTTATATGTCTCTTTCTTCTCTGGTAAGTTCCCTTGTCCTGGAGACTACATTTTCTGGTATTAATACAAGCACGGTACCTTTTGTTTTTTTTCTTGTGCAAAGTTTATACAACATAAAGTTTACATTTTAACCATTTTCTGGATTTCTTTTGATTAGTGTTTGTATGATGTAACTTGTTTCATCTTTTTACTCTTAACCTATGTTATTATATTTAAAGTGAGTTTTTTGTAAATAGCATATACTTGGGTCTTTTTTGCTTTTCAGTTCAGTTTGACAATGTATGTCTTTTATTGGTATATTCAGACCATTTACTTTTAATGTAATTGTTAGTATGTTTAGATTTAGGTCAACCTCTCTGTTTTGGTTTGTCCTTTCCCCTATTTCATGCCTTTTAGATATTGGTATTTTTTGGTATTTTATCTATTGACTTTTTATTTTTATCTCTGTGAATTCTTATGTGGTAGCTCTAGAGATTACAGTATGCACACATAGCCTTTCGTATTCTAGTTAGATTTTATATTTAGCAACTTTAAGGAGAATATAGAAATCTTACAACTATTAATATAAAGATTCCTTAATCCTCCCCCGCCTTATGTTATAATTGTCATTTGTGTTATATCTACATATATTGAAAACCCCACTCCACAATGTTACATTTGCTTCCAACAATCTTAAGTTTTTAAACTGAAAAAAAATCTTTTGATGCATCTTTAGTCAGTTTTCTAAAAATTTTAATGTAAATTAGCTGCGTGTGGTGGCTCATGCCTGTAATCCCAGCACTTTGGGAGGCTGAGGTGAGAGGATCACTTGAGGCCAGAAGTTCAAGACCAGCCTGGGCAACATAGTGAGACCCCCATCTCTTTAAAAAAAAATCATTTTATTGTAAATTGACAGTCAATAATTGTATATATTTATGGAGTACAACATGATGTTATAATTTACCAATATAATATAGAATAATTAAATCAAGCTACTTAACATATCCATCACCTCAAATACTTATTTTTTGTGGTTGAGAACATTCGAAATTTATTCTCTTGGCAGTTTTGAAATGCAGAACACACTATTATTTACTATGTTCACTATGCTGTGCAATAGATCTCAAAATAAAACTTATTCCTCCTGTCTGAGATTTTTGTATCCTTTGACCACCATCTCTTCATTCCTCCCACTCCCCCAGCCTCTATAACCACCATTCTACTCTCTGCTTATATGAGTTCAATTGTCTTAGTTTCCACATGTAAGTGAAAACATGCAGTATTTGCTTTCTGTGCCAGGCTTATTTCATCCAGCATAATGTTCTCCAATTCCATCCACGTCACCAATGACAGAATTTCTCTCGTTTTAAAGGCTGAAGAATCTTACAAATGTTAAAGCACTTTAGATATTAAAAAAAAGTCTAGGCTGGGCTCAGTGGCTCATGCCTGTGGTCTCAGCATTTTAGGAGGCCAAGGCGGGCAGATCACGAGGTCAGGAGTTCGAGACCAGCCTTGCCAACATAGTGAAACCCCGTCTCTACTAAAAATACAAAAAATTAGCCGGGCGTGGTGGTGGGTGCCTGTAATCCCAGCCACTCAGGAGGCTGAGGCAGGAGAATCACTTGAACCCGGGAGGTGGATGTTGCAGTGAGTGGAGATCGCACCACTGCACTCCAGCCTGGGTGACAGTGTGAGATTACATCTCAAAAAAAAAAAAAAAAAGGGGGTCTATTTCAGATATTTACCATTTCTGAAATTTCATATTTCCCTCTGGTGTCATTCTCCTTCAATGTGAAGAACTTCCTTCAGCATTTCTCATAGTGCCAGTCTGCTGGTAGTAAGTTCTCTTTATTTTCTTGCTTCTGGAAGTGTCTGATTGTTCTTGATCCCTCAAAGAGATCTTGAGGGATGTAGAATTCTCAGTTGACAGTTCTTTTCAGTACTTTAAAGATTTCGGCCTCCATGGTTTCTTTTTTTTTTGAGATGGAGGCTTGGTCTGTCACCAGGCTGGAGTGCAGTGGCGTGATCTTGGCTCACTGCAACCTCTGCCTCCCAAGTTCAAGCGATTCTCCTGCCTCAGCCTCCCGAGTAGCTGGAATTACAGACGCACGCCACCACGCTCATCTAATTTTTGTATTTTTAGTAGAGACGGGTTTTCACCATGTTGGCCAGGATGATCTTCGATCTCCTGACCTCGTGATCCATCCGCCTCAGCCTCCCAAAGTGCTGGGATTACAGGCATGAGCCACTGCACCTGGCCCCCTTCATGGTTTCTGATGCAAAATTGGTAGGCATTTGAATTCTTGTCTACTTATATAATGTGTCATTTTTCTCTGGATGCTTTCAAGGGCTTTTCTGTCTTTGGTTTTTAGTAGTTTGGTTATGATGTGTCTGGGTGTGGCATTCTTCGAGTTTAATCAACTCTCATGTTAACTGAGTTTTTGAATCTATAAATTTTTATATTTGGCTAAATTTGGGAAGTTATTAGCTACTATTTTTTCATACCTTTTTGTGCATCAATCTCTTTCTTTCTCCTTCCAGAAGTCCAGTGAAATAAATGTTAGACCTTTTGATACTGTCCTATATTTCAGATTGATATTTAAGATTGTTCTTTAAGTCTCTATTCTTTTTTTTTTAACATGTTTTTCCTCTCTGTTGTTCAAATTGGATAATTTCTGTTAATCTTTCAGCTCACTGAATCTTCCCTTTGGTATCTCCATTCTGCTATTGACCTCATCTAGTGGATTTTTAATTTCAGATCTTATATTTTTTAGTTCTATAGTTTCCATTTTTTTTTTTAATGGTTACTTTTTCTCTGCTGAGAACTTCCATCTTCCCAGTCATTTCTCTTTACTTTCACTTATGGAACATAGATGTAATAACTGTTTTAAATCTGATTCTGGTAATTCCAGCATCTGTGTCATCTCAGGGTTGACATCTGTTCATCATCGTTTGTTTCTCTTGAGAACTGGTAACATTCTTCTAGTTCTTTGTATGTCATATAATCTTGGAGTGCATCGTCAGTGTATTTTGAAGAGTATGTTTAAGAGTCTGGGTCCTGTTAACATCTGGAGAATAATGATTTTGCTTTGTTTTAACAGGCAATCCAGTTTCACAAGCTCTGCCTCTCCTTCTGTGGGTGATGGGTTCAATGCCAGTTTTATTTTAAAAGCGTTTGCTATCCTGTTTGAGTTTGCCCTCATGTGCGCCTCTCAGTGATTTGTCTGCAATTTGAATGATGGTTTATATCATAGTTTATTTCTGAGAGACTTTGCTGTGCCTTTGGGGTCTATTCCATGCATGTGCCACTTGGGTGAGTCTGGGGCTTGTGTTAGTTCCTACACAGAATTAAGGGATTCCCTTCTCTGGTCCTTTCCTTGCTGGGATTTTCTTCCCCATCTCTGGCTCCCAGGCACCCCTTTCGCTGTTTCTCTTGCTAGAAAGATGGGTTTCTCTCAGACAGTTTTAACCTCCTTCTCTGTCACACAGTTCCATGTGACTGGCTTCACCCGAAGAGTGAGGCAGTGAAAGAAAAGAGAAGAAACAACAGGATTCCTTTTACATGCTTACAGCCACAGAGACCCCTTCTCTCATTTCTTCCAGGGAAAGAGACAGGCTTTGAGGTGCCTGGACTGCTGGCCAACCTTTAGGCAAGGCCAAGAGGGAAAAAATAATGAATGTGAAAGTACGCTGTCATCATGCTCTCCAGCCCACATGGATCTCTTGTCCTCATCCTCTGGCCAGAAAGAAGTTTTATGGGTTTTGTTTTGTTGTTGTTGTTGTTGTTGTTTTGCTGTCTGACCCCTCACACACCTTACCCCTTGGGCAATTCTGCAAAGAAGAGGGGAAAAGAACCCAAGAAACTCCAGTGTACTACTTGATCTTCCAGTTTTTACTCTCCTCTATCAACCAGCTATTTTTCCTTTTCAGAATCCTCAATTGCTTTTTGTGTTGTCCAATTTTTAATTGTAACCTGTCAGGAAGAGCAGCTTGTAGTGGGCATATTCCATTTTATCCAGCACTGGAATTGGCATTCAGATTTTTTTTGTTTTATTTTGTTTTGTTTTTGAGATAGTATCTCATTCTTTTAGGCTGGAGTGCAGTAGCACAAACACAGCTCACTGCAGCCTTGACCTCTGGGCTCAAGTGATCCTCCCACCTCAGCCTCCCTAGTAGCTAGGACTACAGGTGTGTGCCACTACATCCAGCTAATTTTTTTTGGTGGTGGTTTGTTTGTTTGTTTCGGTAGAGTCAGGGTTTTGCCATGTTGCCCAGGCTGGTCTCAGACTCCTGGGTTCAAGCAATCCCTCCAACCTCAGCCTCCCAAAGTGCTGGCATTACAGGCGTGAGGCAGTGTGCCTGGCTGACACTCAGATTTTTAATGCCTTGGTCTTACAAATGAATAGACGGTTAATGGTCCTCAAACATTTGAGAAAAGTCTCTAGTATGAGAGACAGACACATATGGATGTATGTCCAAGGAACTCAGAGCAACCAAAAATTGAAGTAGCCAGAAATAAACTTAAAATAAACATAAATTATTTGATCTCCTTAGATCTAAGAAAAAGTGATATCCTTGGCTGGGTGCAGTGGCTCGTGTCTGTAATCCCAGCACATTGGGAGGCTGAGGTGAGTGGACCATTTGAGGTCAGGAGTTCGAGACCATCCTTGCCAACATGGTGAAACCCCGTCTCTACTGAAAATATAAAAATTAGCCAGGTGTGGTGGTGGGTGCTGGTAATCCCAGCTACTTGGGAGGCTGAGGCAGGAGAATTGCTTGAACCCAGGAGGCGGAGGTTACAGTGAGCAGAGATCAAGCCGCTGTGCGACCGAGCGAGACTCCGTCTCAAAAAAAACCATCTCAGAAAAAAAAAATGATATCCTTAAAACAAGATGCTATTTATGTAAAAGGAATAATCAGAGACTAAGAGAGAACACATAAAATTAAACATATGTTAGCAATAAGTTTAATAAATGAATTTAACAGGTTTGGGAGAGTATATCATGGTAATCTCCTAGAAATGGAGTAAAAGGAAAAAGAGGGCAAATAGAAAAAAAGATCAAAGAAAATTAGAGGGCCAACATTTGGCTAAGAAATGTATGAAAATTTCCTAATATTGAATAATGTGAATTTCTGCATTGAAAGAGCCCTTCACAGTGAATGACTCAACTCCCACAACAAGGCACATCCTTTGTGAAATTTGAGAATGCCCAGATTAAAAAGAAGATTCTTAGAGCAGAAACAGGTCACATTCGAAGCTCAGAATAGCATCAGAATTTTCAAGAACCACCTCTGAACGCAGGATGGTGGAAGAGTATCTTTAAAAATGTTGAGGGATTTGTGGCCTTCAGTGCTGCCAAGGAAGCATCATTCAAGCCTCTCTTCCCACTGTGGGCATGTCTAAACCAGAGTCTCCTAAAGAGCCCGAACAGCTGTGGAAGCCTTGAAACAGCGAAGCCTTGAAACAGCCGAGTCCGGGGAGCCCTTCTGAACCATGGGGAATGCTCATGACTGTGTGGTCCTAGACCCAGACTCCAAGCACTCCGGGGGCTTTGGGTTGGTCATCTGCCACTGTGGAGGAGATGGATGCAGCCATGAATCAGGGCCACACCAGGTGGTTGGAAGAGCTGTGGAACCTCAGAGAGCTGTCTGAAGAGAAGATTCTCAAAGACTGGGTGCCCATGTGACTGTGGAAAAGATATTTGTTGGTGGCATTAAACAGGACACCGAAGAACATCACGTAAGAGATTATTTTGAACAGGATAGGAAAATTGAAGTGATTGAAATCACAACTGACTGAGGCAGTGGCAAGAAAAGGGTCTTTGCTTTTATAACCTTTGATGACCACGACTCCGTGGATAAGATTGTCATTCAGAAATACTATCCTGTAAATGGCCACGGCTGTGAAGTAAGGAAAGTCCAGGTTGCAGCAAGACATGGCTGGTGGCTCATCCAGCCAAAGAAGTAAAAGGGGTCCTGGAAACTGGTGGTGGTCGTGGAGGTGATTTGGTGGAAGTGACAAGTTTGGTCATGGTGGCTTTCATGCCAACCATGATGGTGGTGGATATGGTGGCAGTGGGGATGGCTATCATGGATTTGGTAATAATGGAAGCAATTTTGGATGTGGTGGAAGTGACAGTGATTTTGGCAGTTACAACAGTCAGTCTTCAAATTTTGGACCTATAAAGAGAAAAAACTTTGGAGGCAGAAGCTCTGGCCCCTATGGTGGTGGAAGCCAATATTTTGCCAAACCCTGAAACCAAGGTGGCTGTGGTGGTTGCAGTAGCAGCAGTAGGTATGGCAGAGGCAGAGGGCATTCATTTCTGCCGGAAACAAGGCTTAGCAGGAGAAACAAGGCTTAGCCAGAGCAGCGACAGGGAAGCCACAGGTTACAACAGATTTGCGAACTCAACCAGGCACAGTGGTGTCAGGGCCTAGCTGCTTCAGGGATATGCTTCAGACAATACTCATGTGTATGGGCAAAAGACTCGGGGGCTGTAATTGTATAACAGGGCATTTTAGTTTCTGTTCTCTGGAAACTGAAAACAGTCCAACAAAGAATTTTAATGTAGACTATTTTTGCACCCATGCTGTTGATTGCCAAATGTAATAGTCTGATCATGACGCTAAAGAAATGTGTCTTTAAAACATTCTGAGGGAAAATTGTCTTTTTTTTTTTAGTTTTTATGTTTTTGTGACAGGGTCTCACTCTGTCACCCAGGCCGGAATGGAGCGATGTGATCCTTGTTCACTGTGGCCTCGAACTGCTGGACTCAAGCAGTCAACCTACCCCAGCTGCCCGAGTAGCTGGGGCTACAGGTGTGTGCCACCACACCTAGCTAATTTTTTTATGTTTTCTAGAGATGGGGTCTCACCATGTTGCCCAGGCTGGTCTGGAATTCCTGTCCTCAAGCAATCCTGAACCTCCCAAAGTTCTGCAATAACAGGCATAAGCCATCACACCTAGCCAGAAACTTATTTTTAATGTATAATTACATACCCAAACAATCAATCAATTATGATAGCAGAAGAAAGATATTTTTAGATGTCCAGCATCTCAGAAATTTGACCTCCAGTGTGTATTTTCTCAAGGAAAGAAACTATTAGAGGATTGTGCCACCAAGTAAAGTAAACCAAGGAGAAATGGAAGACACCAAATATAAGAAATGGAAGATTCAGTGTGGGGAAGAGATTGGAAGTCTTAGGACGACAGCTGCAGCAGGACCAGAGAGTAGCCAGCCTGACATGTCATCCAGAGTGCTCCAGGAAGGCAAGGGCTCCAAGAGAGATGTCTTCAGAGAAAGATGCAAATCATAGATTCCTTCACATGGTTGATCTTGTTTAAAGTATTGCTCAGAAGGGGTTCAGAAGACCAATAATAGTGACATAGAAAACTAAGCAAACAAAATATAAATTCATAACTCCATGAAAAGCAATTTGTGCTCAAAAGGAAATATGATGACAGCTAATTATAGATATTTTTGTGATGGACAGTATAACATGTCCCTGGAAAAATTTATTTTCTACGGAATTGAGCCCTAAAAATACCAGAGCAAGGAACCTATAGCTTAAGAGAGTCCTAAACAACATATCAAGTAAAATAGAATGAGAGTGGGGATTAAACTATATAGTGTCTAGGAATGCTCACTTGTCAATCCTTAGAGAAACTAAGGATAAAAGTTGGGATAGTTAGTGCTTTTAGAGGAAAGAAGAGGTGTTTAATTGCATTGGGGCACAGACAGGGGCTAGCAAAGTTCTATTTCTTTTTTTTCTTTTCTTTTAAGACAGGCTCTCACTCTGTCACCCAGGCTGCAGTACAGTGGCACAATCATAGCTCATTGCTTGCAGCCTCAAACTCCTGGGCTCAAGTGATCAGCCTTCCAAGTAGCTGGGACTACAGGCATGTGCCATCACGCCCAGCAATTTTTTTTCTTTCTTCTTTTTTTAGGTAGCGACAGAGTCTCATAATGTTGCCCAGGCTGATCTTGAACTCCTGGGCTTAAGCAGTTCTCCCACCATGGCCTCCCAAAGTGCTGGATTACAGGCATGAGCCACCATGCCCTGCCAAAGTTCTATTTCTAGATGTGGGTGTGGCTATAAGGGTATGTGCCTTGTAAAAAATAATTTTTAAAAATACATTATTCAATGTATTTTTGTACGCTTATTTTATATTTACTATACTGTTTGGTATATTATGATGTTAATATAATATTTTTTAGAAAGACCCCAGGAGAGTGGTTATTCTGGGGGAGGAAGGGTAACTGGAAGAAGGGAATGGGTGCCTCTAAGGTGCTGCTGGTATTGTTGTGTTTCTTTTTCTTAAGGTTTTTTTTTTTTTTTTTTTTTTTTTGAGAGTTTTGCTCTATCATCCAGGCTGGGGTGCAGTGGCGTGATCTCGGCTCACTATAACCTCTCCCTCTCGGGTTCAAGCGATTATCTGCCTCAGCCTCCCAAGTAGCTGGGACTATAAGGCGAGTGCTACCACGTATTTGAGTAGAGATGGGATTTCACCATGCTGGCCAGGCTAGTCTTGAAATCTTGGCCTCAATTGCTCCACCTGCTTTGGCCTCCCAAAGTGTTGGAATTACAGGCGTGAGCCACTGCGCCTAGCCGTATTGCTGTTTCTTCATCCGGCTACTGATTCACGCATGTGTTCAGCTCATAGAAATTAACTGAACTTCATACACCTGTACTTTATGATGTATAATGATGCTCCAATAAAAAGTATTTTTAAAAAGTACCAGAGGTTATGGGACAGGAATGGAGCAGACCACTCAAAACCAATGTAATCTTGGGACCAGAGGATGAAAGCAATGATATTTCTAGTAAAACTACTGACAGAGTTTAAAGACTTGTTGGCCGGATGCAGTGACTCACACCTGTAATCCCAGCACTTTGGGAGGCTGAGACGAGCGGATCATGAGGTCAGGAGATTGAGACCACCCTGGCTAACACGGTGAAACCCCATCTCTACTAAAAATGCCAAAAAAAAAACTAGCCTGACATGGTGGCGGGCACCTATAGTCCCAGCTACTTGGGAGGCTGAGGCAGGAAAATGGCATGAACCCGGGAGGCGGAGCTTGCAGTGAGCCAAGACCACGCCACTGCACACCGGCCTGGGTGACAGAGCGAGACTCCATCTCAAAAAAAAAAAAAAAAAAAGACTTGTTGAATTTTTTTCTTTTCTTTTCTTTTTTTCTTTTAATCGAGATGGAGTCGTGCTCTTTCACCTAGGCTGGAGTGCAGTGGCGCAATCTCGGCTTGCGTCCTGGGTTCAAGCGATTTTTCTGCCTCAGTCTCCCAAGTAGCTGGGATTACAGGCGCCCGCCAGCACATCTGCATAATTTTTGTATTTTTAGTAGAGACGGGGTTTCGCCATGTTGGCCAGGCTGGTCTCAAACTCCTGACCTTAAGTGATCTGCCTACCTCGGCCTCCCAAAGTGCTGGGATTCCAGGCATGAGCACTTTTAACATGCTGGGGAAAATGATGTCTGGACCGTGCAACTTGGTGTTGTGTTACTGTCATTCTTCTATTTACTGATCGCCTATGACTTGATTTACTCTACAGAATCTTGTTAGAACAGATCATTCTGGGCTCTGTGTCAGACAATATAGTGATAACCATATAAACAATATATACTGATAGAACCAAAAATTTTGATATAAGTACAAATTATGGTATAATTGGGAGGGGGATAGGGAAATGAAAGTCTACGAAATCATAGTCTAGTTTAGCATACAGTGCTAGATGATCCAAAAATAATAAGTGGCCAGGCCTGGTGGCTCATGCCTGTAATCCCAGCACTTTGGGAGGCTGAGGTGGGAGGATCACTTGAGCCCAGGAGTTCGAGACGAGCCTGGCCAACATGGCGAAACCCTCTCTACAAAAAAAAATGTTTTAAATTTAAAAACAAAAATAATAAGGAATTTTTGTAAAAAGAAATTTGTGGGTAAATATTGAGAGAAACCAGTAAAATGAGTTGCTTCTAAGGAGGATACCTCAGGGGTCAGAAGAATGCTGCTTTTTGTTCCAAGTCTTGTAGCACTATCTGATTTTTTTAAACTATATATAACTGTAATAACATTAAAAATAATGAAAACAGCAACTTACCAAATAAGTTTACAAATCTTCCACTAAGTTCCTCAGAGCATCTTACATGTACCCATCTAAGCCTCATAATTGTTTCTCCCACCTTTTTAGACTTTCCAAGGTCCATTCTTCCTTTTTAATGGTCAGGAGTTCGAGACCAGCCTGGCCAATGTGGTGAAACCCCAACTGTACTAAAAATGCAAAAAAATTAGGTGGGGTAGTGGCAGGCACCTTTAATCCCAGCTACTCAGGAGGCTAAGGCAGGAGAATCCCTTGAACCTGGGAGGTAGAGGTTGCAGTGAGTCGAGATTGTGCCATTGCACTCCAGCCTGGGCAACAATAGTGAAACTCTGTCTGAAAAATAAATAAATAAAAATAAAGATAATTTTAAGATTATTGTTTTAAAGAATAAATGTTGATATTCTTAAGGTGGTAAAAGCAAGATAATGGCATATTTATTAGTAACAAAAATTTAAACAACAAAGAAAAAGCAAATGATTTCCAAAATATCAATAACAAATCAGTAAATAAAGGTAATCAGAAGTTTAACTTCCTTGTGGCTGGGCACAATGGCTTGTGCCTGTAATCCCAGCACTTTGGGAGGCTTCAGTGGGCGGATCACTTGAGGTCTAAAAACTACAAAAAATTAGCCAGGTGTGGTGGAACATGCCTGTGGTCCAGCTACTTGGGAGGCTGAGGCAGGAGAATCACTTGAATCTAGAAGATGAGACCAGCCTGGGCAACATGATGAAACCCTGGCTCTACCAAAAATAAAAAAAATTAGCCCTGCGTGGTGGTGGGAGCCTGTAATCCCAGCTACTTTAGGAGGCTGACACAGGAGTCTCACTTGAACCCGGGAGGCAGAGGTTGCAGTGAGCCGAGATAGCACCACTACACTCTGGCCTGGGTGACAGAATGAGACTCTGTCTCAAAAAATAAAAATAAAAGAACTAAAAGTAATTCTCAAGTGATGAGTATGTAGAGGTGGAGATGAAACAAGAAAGGCGTAATTATTGAAGCTGGGTGATGGGTACCTGGGTTTTTTTTGTTTTTTTGTATGCGTTTTGTTTTTATAGTACCCTTTCTCTTTACCATAGCAAAATAATACATGGGTGTTTATTACACTCTTGTGCTCACTTTGTGTATATGCATTTGAAGTTTTCTATAATTTTTTTTTTTAAGAAAAAGCAATATTTGGCTGGCCACAGTAACTCACACCTGTAATCCCAGCATTTGCAGAGGCCAAAATAGGTGGAATGCCTGAGCTCAGGAGTTCGAGACCAGCCTGGGCAACATGATGAAACCTCATCTCTACCAAAAATACAAAAATTAGCCAGGCACGGTGGTGGATGCCTGTGGTGCCAGCTATTCGGGAGGCTGAGGAGGGAAAATTGCTTGAGACTGGGAGGTGGAGGTTGCAATGAGTGCAGATTGCACCACTGCACTCTAACATTATTGACAGAGTGAGACCCCGTCTCAAAAAAAAAAAAAAAGCAACATTCTGGCTTACCATATTAGCGAGTCAAAAGATAATATTTAGGGCTGGGTGCGGTGGCTGATGCCTGTAATCCTAGCACTTTGGGAGGCCAAGGCGTACGGATGACCTGAGGTCAGGTGTTCAAGACCAGTCTGGCCAACATGGTGAAACCCCATCTCTACTGAAAATACAAAAATTAGCTGGGCGTGGTGGCGGGTGCTAGTAATCCCAACTACTCAAAAGGCTGAGGCAGGAGAATCACTTGAATCCAAGTGGTGAAGGTTGCATTGAGCTGAGATTGCGCTGCTACACTCCAGCCTGGGCGACAGAGCCAGACTGTCTCAAAAAGAAAAAAAAAAATAGCAATGTAAACATATTATTTAGAAATGTGGAAGTAAATAAGAGTGAAAACAGGGCCGGGCGCAGTGGCTCACGCCTGTAATCCCAGCACTTTGGGAGGCCGAGGCGGGCAGATCACGAGGTCAGCAGATCGAGACCATCTTGGCTAACACGGTGAAACCCCATCTCTACTAAAAATACAAAAAAATTAGCTGGGCATGGTGGTGGGCGCCTGTAGTCCCAGCCACTTGGGAGGCTGAGGCAGGAGAATGGCCTGAACCTGGGAGGCGGAACTTGCAGTGAGCCGAGATCGCGCCACTGCACTCCAGCCTGGGCGACACGAATGAGACTCCGTCTCAAAAAAAAAAGGTGGAAACAGTTAACAGACATCAAAGTGGATGCCTCTGGGATGAGAACTGACTTGGGGAGGGCTGGAGGAGGGAACATCTCTGTATTAGAAGGCTTTGATTTTATTTTATTTTGAAACCTTATGCATGTATAACTTTGATAATATATTCATTTGTGGATTGCCACATTGTTTTCGAGGAAAATACCCATGTGATCTTACATGAATAATCAGGCATAGACCAGTGCTTTGAATATATAAAAATTCTGTTTAGCCATGATAATTTTGGCAGTATGCCATTTATTTCTGTTGCCAAAGGCAGTGATTTAAATTGGAATTCCTGCCTGGGATGAGTAGGGCTAAGAGGTTTGATTACATATAGTTTCCCCATCTGTACTCTGGCCTCCAGCAGTTTGTTCTTTATGCAGCAGCGAAGAGTGATCATAAATAAGCTTATCTCACTCTCCAGTTTGAAAGCTACTAAACGTCTTTCATAGCAATTAGAATAAAATTCAAACTCTTCGGCATGGCCTACACACAAGGCCCTAAATAATGTAAATGATTGGACTCGCTCCCAGTTCTCCTGTCACTCTCCTCAATCACCATGCCCCAGCCTCAGTGGCCTTCCTTGGCACACCCACAGCTCATTCCTACCTCAAGGCCTTTGACTTGCCATTGCTCATGAGACCGATTGCTTACCATCACTCAGGATCTCATTCAAAACTTCATTCCTGGAAAAGGTCCTTCCCGACCATCAAGCTAGAGGAGCTTGCTGCACCCCTTCTCTGCCCACAGCTATGGATCTCCAAGTGTGGGCTTCAGACCAGAAGCGTCAGTGTTGCCTGCAAGCATTTCATTTTGTGTTGTGTTTTCTCTGGAAATGCAGAGTCTTAGGCCCCACCACAGACCCACTGAAGGAACAGCTACATTTTAACCAGACCCCAGAGTGATTGTGCTTTAAAAATTTCAGAAGCACTGATCTAGAGTTTCCCCTTCTAATTTTCCTGTGTATCTGTTACAAGGTGTGTCCATTGCTGCAGGTAATCTGGCATTTGTTTACCTGTTTATTATTTCTCTTCCCTAAATAGAATTTAAGGTCCACAAGGGCAGCACCTCGTCTGGCTCGTTCACTTCTGGATCCCCGGCACGTAGCGTCAGTGCACACAGTACATGCTCAATAAGTATTTAGATGAGTGAAAGAATAAATGAATATAATGGAAATTATTTTATGTTCTTTGAAATGTATAACTGAAGGCTGGGTGTCATAGCTCAGCCTGTAATCCCAGCACTTTGGGAGGCCAAGGTGGGAGGATTGCTTGAGTCCAGTACTTCAAGACCAGCCTTGGCACATGGCAAAGCTGCAACTCTATAAAAAAATACCAAAAAAAAAATATATATATATAGCTGGGTGTGGTAGTCTCAGCTACTTCGGGAGGCTGAGGCAGGAGAATCACTTGAACCTCGGAGGTCAAGGCTGCAGTGAGTCATGATTGCAACTGCACTGTAGCCTGGGCAACAGAGGAACATCCTGTCTCAAAAAAACAAAACAAAACAAAACAAACAAAAAGGATTGCATAATTCTACAATAAAAATCTTCATGGCTTTCACTTGTTTGTAAAATCGGGGTGATTTTTCTCTCCCAACATCATCGTTATACAGGGGTTTCATTCTATATCTTGGGCATCAAGTGCTATTAAACTATTGTGGCCTGTGAAGAATTACTTATTTATCCTTGCTTTGGGGCAGTTTGTCTTCAGAACCAAAGTTTAGATTTTGTTTAGACTGATTCTCTACTGACTTAACACCATAACTGGTTTTTTTTTTTTTTTTTAGTATTTAAGAAGCACTCTCGTTCAATCCAGAGTTAACATTATCTTTAAAGGTTTTTTATTCAAAATGAATGTTTGATATTTGTATCAAGTTTTATCAAATAAGTTAACAATTTAAAAAAAATCAGGTTTTAAAAATGTTAAGTCAAATGCAAGATTTAAAGTTAAATTGCAAATAAAAACTGATAGGGCATATAATGTATCCAGTTTTTTACATCTGAGATAGGATTCCAGGAAAGACCTATAGTTTCTGATATTATCCTGCATTTTTTTTTTTTGAAATGGAGTTTTGCTCTTGTTGCCCAGGCTGGAGTGCAGTGGTGCAGTCTCGGCCCACTGCAACCTCTGCTTCCAGGGTTCAAGTGATTCTCCTGCCTTAGTCTCCCAACTAGCTGGGATTACAGGTGCACACCACCATGTCCGGCTAATTTTTTGTATTTTGAGTAGAGACGGGTTTCACCATGCTGGCCAGCCTGGTCTCGAACTCTTGACCTTGTGATCTGCTCGCCTCGGCCTCCCAAGGTGGTGGGATTATAGGTGTGATCCACGGGCCCGGCCCTACATTTAAAAAATACATTCCCAGTATATTTCTTAATGCATATCCTGGTGAAATTTGTGAAGAAACAACTTTTCAATCTATATTCTTTGAGTGAATAAATAGCACAACTTACATTCTATGGTTTTCAACTGGGGGCAGTCGTGTCCCAGCGGATGTTTGGCAATGGCTGTGACTGCATTTTTGGTAGTCACACCTGGGATGGAGGAGTACTGGCAGCATCTAGTTGGGGGAGCTCTGGGGTACTGTTAGTTATGTAATGCACAGAACACCCCACAGCACAAAGAATTATCTAGCCCAAAATGTCAGTAGTCCACTGTTAAGAGACAGTGGACAACTGTCTCCTTCTGCATAGAGAAGTCTCCTTCTGCAAATACTAATGCCATTGGAAAACGAATACTTTGCCCTACCTTCTGGAGAAGAGAATATATAGAAATTGGCAACTGAGAGATTCAGATGGGTATACTGGCACCTTTAGATATGTTCATTTTAGATGATTATTTCTAATCAGAAATCTAGTGACTGGCCTCCCTCTCTTTGGGGCAAATCACTCTCTCAACACAGGACATTTAAGACATTTCACAACTTAGTTGATTTTAGAATTGGATAACGTTCTCAAATAATGATACATTTTTTAAAATAGGGAAATTCAAATATAGGGTTACTGGTTTTCCTTATTTTACAGATGGGGTCGAGGATTTGGTCTTTTGGGTTCCATTTTTGGAAAGGATGGTGTATTAAACCAGCCAAACAGTGTCTTTGGACTTATATTTTATATACTACAGTTATTACTTGGTAAGTATTTATCAATACAAAAATAAGTTTGTTATATTCCGTTTAGTACTTTGTGTCTTTGCCCTGAAGTGTCTTGATGTTAAAGCATGTGTTATTTATAGAACCACTAGCGTGTACAACATTTTTGTGTTATGAAAACTTGATTCACTGAGATTTTTATTATATTATTGTTGAATTTATGTCAATTGCTGTTTAATCATGGAGAGCAGTATCTCATGATGTCCAGAAAAACCAGTCCCATTCCAGGAAATTATCACTCCCATCTTCCCTGTTAACGTTTTTCCTTATTTTATAGACTCAGTGGCCTTGAAAAATATCATATATTAAGGGGACATTAACAAGAAACCATATTCATAATCCCATTACCTTTACATATCCACTATTTCCACAGTCTTCTGCTTTTAAAAATAATTTTTGGGCTGGGTGCGGTGGTGCACACCTGTAATCCCAGCACTTAGGGAGGCCAAGATAGGCAGATCATCTGAGGTTGGGAGTTCGAGACCAGCCTGGCCAACATAAAGAAACCCTGTCTCTACTAAAAATACAAAATTAGCTGGGCGAGGTGGTGCATGCCTGTAATCCCAGCTACTCATGAGGCTGAGGCTGGAGAGTCACTTGAACCCGGGAGACGGAGGTTGTAGTGAGCTGAGATCGCGCCATTGCACTCCAGCCTGGGCAACAAGAGCGAAACTCCGTCTCACAAAAAAGAAATAAATAATAATAATAATAATAACTTGGGGCCAGGTGCAGTGGCTCACACCTGTAATCCTAGGACTTTGGGAGGCCGAGAAGGGCAGATTACTTGAGCCCAGGAGCAACATGGTGAGACTCTGTCTCTGTAGAAAATACAAAAATTAGCCAGGTGTGGTGGCACACACCTGTAGTCCCAGCTACTTGAAAGGCTGAGGTGAGAGAATCACTTGAGTCCAAGAGATGGAGGTTGCAGGGAGCCGAGATCACACCACTGCACTCCAGCCTGGGGGTCAGAGCAAGACGCTGTCTCAAAAACTAATAATTTAATGTGAACTGTGTTTCAACATAGTGTCGTTTATCCTAAGTGTTATTGTTAACATCTAGGTTTCACTCCTTTTACTTCCAAATAATGCTGCAGTGATCAACTTTGTTTAAAGACCTCCTGCTCCTTCCTTCCTTTGAATTATCTCCACAAAATAAATTTCCAAGCATAGTATCAAAAAACACAGATATTTTCAATTTTAATCAGTGTTACCAATTTGCTTTTCCCTCAGTTCTTTGGTTTCCCTGAAGCTCCAGCGGTCTTTATTTTTAAGACATGCTTTGTAAAATTTCTTTTTTTTTTAATTGTAACGATAATCTTCACCTGGAAAAATTGCTAATAGTTACACATTAGTACCTATTACTTTAATTTTTACTCTTTTTAATTTCCTTTTATTGCCCATTTAGCATTTAGTTATTGGATCCCGATACTAGTACATTTTTATATGTGTTACAAACATTTTATGCATTCTTTATCCTTTTTTGTTAGTGTTATGAATTTGTATTGTATTAAGTTTTTATACTTTTAGAGTTAAATCCATCTGTTGATGCCTTTGCATTTTATTTTTCTTCTTTTTTGTAGATCTTGTTGCATACCAATGCTTTTGTATTTTAATTGTTAATATTCCATTACCTGTCAGCTCTTCTGATTTGGTTCATTAAAAATACATGTAACTCTTCTATCTGAAATTGATTTGTTATGAGGCAAATTATAAATCTAAATCATCCTCAGTAGTTCTGTCGAGTTTGCCCAGTTCCATATCTATGTATTTATCTTGCAGAAGTAGAAAGATGTGTGCACAAGGATATTCATAGCAGTACAGTGTAAAATAGCAAAAAAAAAATGGAGGTAGGTTACAAATAGATAATGGTTGAATAAATTAGAAAATACTATGAAATACTATGTAGCCATTAAAGGAAAAAGGAGATCTATGTTTATATCCTAGAAAGATAAAGACACTATTTAGTGAAAAAAGCAAATTTTGGTATAATAGGTATAGGATAAACGTGTTTGTATACATGCATGTAAATGCATAGAAAAGGGTCGGGTGGTTGGGGAGGAGGGAGAAATTTCACTAGGTATTCTGCATGTTTCCATTTTGCTGGATTTCTAGAGAAGAATATGAAGTATAAGCCCAGATGCAAGATGTTTTCCTTTAAAGGCAAAGAACCTAAGAACAGCCTTTGACTAGATTAACTCTTGAAGATAGAGGTGTGACAGCCAAATTTTTGTTTTACCATTAATTTAATGCCATGGTATATACATATTTTAAATCATATTTATCACATGTGTTTTTTCATTCGCATTTTTTGACTCGCATTTAGATGCTTCACGTGCCTTTTAATGTTGGTGTCTTCATGGGAGGCACATTTGAACTAACCTAGCAATTTCCAGAGCACAGCATCTGTACTCCCTTCTAACCTGTTTGAGACACAGCATTTTTAATTTAATTTTTTCATAGGTAATCCATTCACGTGGTTCAAAAGTTTTTAAAAAGGACCGGGCACAGTGGCTCATGCCAATAATTCCAGCATTTTGGGAGGCCAAGATGGGTGGATCACGAGGTCAGGAGTTCAAGACCAGCCTGGCCAACATGGTGAAACCCCATCTCTACTAAAAATACAAAAATTAGCCAGGTGTGGTGCCGCACACCTGTAATCCCAGCTACTTGGGAGGCTGAGGCAGGAGAATTGTTTGAACCTGGGAGACAGAGGTTGCAGTGAGCTAATGTCGCACCATTGCACTCCAGCCTCGGTGACAGAGCGAGACTCCTTCAGGAAAAAAAAAATATATATATATATACATATATAAAATGTTACACAAAGAAAAATCTATCCCACCCCTTCCCTTTATGCCTGGTTTCCAGTGCTCCTCAGCCCCGACTGGTAGCTTGTTATTGTCTCTTTATGCATATACGAGAAAGTACAAATACACAATCTTAATTTTCCTCCTTTTTAAAATATAAAAGGCAGATGCTATACCCACTGTTCTGCAGCTTGCATTTTCTTTTTTTGCCTGATGAATATATCATGGTGATTTTTCCATATCAGTATATTAAATGTCTTCATTCTTTTCTACAGCTGCAGAATAATCCATTGCATAATTGTACCATCATTTATTTAGAGTTACAGCACATTTTAAATTCCACTGGGAATTTGACCCTGAGCCAAACGTACCTAGCTGCATTACAGTAGCATTTAATGGATATCTGGTATTTATACACTATTCTAAGTGCTTTAATCCTGCATTATCTCAGCTCATTTAATTGCCCAGCAGTCTTAAGAAGTAGGCATGATTGTTATCCCAATTTTACAGTTGAGAAAAGAAAGGCATAGAGGAAGAAATAAGTTGCCCGTATCATTCTGAAGTTAACTTTCTTAGGTAAAATTGTGACCACATTAATTTCGAAATGTTAGTTGTTTAGCATAGGTGAAGTCAGCAAACTTTTTCAGTAAAGGGCCTGGCAGAAAATAGGCTTTGCCAGTTGCCGCAGCCACTCAACTCTTCTAGTATGAAAGCAGTCACAGACATTACGTAATGAATGACATTACATAAATGAATGAGCATGGCTGGGTGCCAATAAAACTTTATTTACAAAAGCAGGTAGCTGGCCAGATTTGCTAGTCCCTGCAACAAGTAATTCAGCAGCACCTTAGTCTTGAAGTGCCCTATGAAAGCATCTAGGCCCGTGGCTGTGCGGCAGCCGGCCCACAGGCGTCTTCTTGTTGCATTTTTTTTTTTGCCAACAGGGCCCAGGATTTCAGCTCTTTAACTGACTTCTTTATACCTGCTCCCACCTGTTATTTTGTTCCTGTTTCTGTTATCCTTATCCATGAGTCATTGGGTAGGAGGGTAGTTTAACATGCTCTGCCTTCTCTGTCCTTGAAAATAAATGCACATATTCTCTATACTGTTGCCTATAAGAAATTAAAAACAATACATGTGAAGATAGAGTCCAGAATTCAGGTGCCTTTTTTTTTCCTTTTTTTTTTTTTTTTTTTTTTTTGAGACAGAGTTAAGACTCTGTCGCCCAGGCTGGAGTCCACTGGTGCAATCTTATCTCACTGCAACCTCCGCCTCCTGGGTTCAAGTAATTCTCGTGCCTCAGCCTCCCTTGTAGCTGGGGTTGCAAGCGTGCAATACCATGCCCAGCTAATTTTTTTTTTCTCTTGTACTTTTTAGTAGAGAGGGGCTTTCACCATGTTGGCCAGGCTGGTCTCAAATTCCTGACCTCAAATGATCTGCCTGCCTTAGCCTCCCAAAGTCCTAGCATTACAGGCATGAGCCACTGTGCGTGGCTTCAGGTGCCTTTTTGTATTGAGAGCCTGGATTTAGCACACATGTCCACCATTTTTCTTGATCAGGTTTGACCCACATGCAGCCAACGGGCAAAATGTGGTTTCCCTTATCCACCAGGGTGAGCCCTTCCTGAAATGTTTATCAAGAGTTTCTTTTTCTCTCTTCAGCAGCTTGTTGGTGTAGTCACCTCTCATTGTGGATTTTTAATCAATTTGATCTAAACATGGAAAAGCAAATTTTACTTTCCACAGATGGGCAGGATGTAGTGAAAGTCCAGAGAAGGTTCTCACCAAATGTGTGCAGCTCGGAAGAAAAAGGTTGTGGTCCTCATGTCCCGTTATTCATTTGGTGTCTTGGGGCTGTTGATGTTACAAGTCAGCTTCATTGCTTAATGTGATTGTGAGATTGCATGTTTTCTTTGTGTGCATATTTTCAACTAGGCTAGTTTGTGAAATTAGTAATGTTTTACCTGAAAGATTGAGAAATCAAAAACATCACAGCTATAAAACTGGCATTTGGCTGGGTATGGTGGCTTATGCCTGTAATCCCGGCACTTTGGGAGGCTGAGGCAGGAGGATCACCTGAGGTTAGGAGTTGGAGACCAGCCTGGCCAACAAAAAATCAGCCAGGCGTGGTGGCACGTGCCTGTAATCCTGGCTACTTGGGAGGCTGAGGCAGGAGAATTGCTTAAACTCAGGAGGTAGAGGTTGCATGAGTTGAGATTGTGCCACTGCACTCCAGCCTGGGCGGTAGAGTGAGACTCCATCTCAAAAACCCCAAAACCTGGCATTATCAACTGCAGAGTCAACCTGTATAATTTTAACAAAACAGAGCAGTATTTCTGTTCTCAATTTTCAGAGTTGGCAGGAAGATCAGTATTCAAACACTGCAGCAAGTCACACAGTGTTATTCCTTGTCACTCAGAAAGCCTCTCTCCAGCACCAAGGCCTGACTGAGCCTGCGTCTCTTCTCTTACAGGCATGACAGCAAGCGCTGTGGCGGCTTTGATCCTCATGACGTCCTCCATCATGTCGGTCGTGGGGTCCCTGTACCTGGCCTACATTCTGTACTTTGTGCTGAAGGAGTTCTGCATCATCTGCATCGTCACGTACGTGCTGAACTTCCTTCTTCTCATTATCAACTACAAACGACTAGTTTACTTGAACGAGGCCTGGAAGCGGCAGCTGCAACCCAAGCAGGACTGACGCCCGACAGACTCCACCCTAACAGTCTCAAGCCCCTTTCCATTCAGTTTATTTTGCAGCAGGTTTTTATTATTATTATTATTATTATTATTCACAACAGACACTTTCCCTAAGAATCTCAAACTGATTTTTAAAAATCCGGTAAATTAGAAGGGGCCCTCGCTATTTTCTGTGTCAGTCTTCATTTTAAATATGGATACAAAAAGGATACGCCGAGCCAATCAAAGACAAGCTTTAACTTTACTTTGAAGTGTTTCTGAAATGATAAAATGTAGCCCTAGCCCCCTGCCCTCAATTGTAAAGTGAGCAACCATTGCTAGTAATTCTTTAATGTGTATAAATTCAATTTCAGGTATAACAAATGTGATCATGACATGAAAATATTCTAGAATAGATACTGTATTAAATATTGCCATGTTTACAATATGTAATATGTTTTTAGCCGATGGATTTAAACATGTAGATTCAACTAGAATCCATTTGTGATATTTGTAAATAAAGGTAGAAATATTAGATCCATTTCTGCAGAACTTACTGTACAGTTTAGTTGGAGTGTAGCACTGAAGAACTGTCAGCTCAGCGTTGACTGAGGAGATAGTGAAAATAGCCTATACACAGCATCTTGTGAAAAGTACTGGCAGCCGTGGTTGCAGCAAATAATAGGGCAAAAAAAATAATAATAGGGTGGTCGGTTCCCTTTCATCTCCCTCTTCTGAAAGGAAAAAATTGAATTGGAACGTTCAAGTCCAGTTTGTGTTCAGTCATAAAACTGGGCCAGTTGTTAACCTTACAGAATGAGTCATGTGGCCAGACCTTCAAGTCCAAGGCCTTCAGACACTAAGGATGGGAAAATGGGTATTTTTCTTTGGAGAAAAGCTGGAAATATAAACATGGCATTTTTAGGTAAAGTTTCTTCCACTAGTTGAATTTTCATGCAGATATTTTTCCTTAACGTTGGTGCCAGTCAAGCAAAGAGTATTATGATGGAAAAGACCAGTCCAAGCCCCATCGCTCCGGAGTGGGAGCCAGTGTTCTTGCTAATTGTTTCTTTCTGCACTAACCACTCAGATGTCTAATTTAATTGTTTTGCAGTCAAATACTGGATTTGTAACCTTCAGGGCTGACATGCTGCCCAGTTTGCTTCATCGGGAGAATAGCAACAGGTAGACACATCTCAAGGCTAAATCTGCTCATGTCGCCACTGCTCTCATAATGACACACATGCAGTAAGAAGACTTTTGTAAGGGGATTTGAGTACACCCAAATGAAATTGTGACAGGATGTTTGTATGGTTAACATCTGATATCAGAATGTTAAAAGTGCCTTCTGTCTTAAATCTCAAACCAAATATTTTGTGTGTTGACCTTGGGCAGAAGAAGTGTCCTTCCCTCCTTTCTTCACCGTCAGGTAGAAAACCTGCACTCTGCAGAAGGGTCCTGTGTGATCACTTAATCCTCTGGTTGAGAAGCAGCAGTAATGTTTTTGCTTCCAACCTGATTAATCATTTTATGTTGAAAATAGTCAATGAGACCAGTATCTCTTGAGTGCTTTATTTGCCTTCTCTTTGAAGGGAGGGGACGGGCTCTGCTCTGTAAACTCAAATGTGTAGAGTCAGCAACAATTCCGTAGCTTCCAACTGACTCAGAATTGATGCAACGTAGGTCTTCTGGCCCGAGGCAGGTATCAAGTCCAAATCATAATGAACTTTTCACCAGTTTCAACCAGTTTCTTAAAAGAGAGCTTAAGTCAAGATTTCATCAAGACTTGTGTTTTCCCATGAATGTGAATCTTTCAATGGCTGTTGGAGTATGTATGTACTGTTCTTGCATTCTGAAGTAGTTAAAGAACTCTAGAAAGTACTGATTGGCCATCTGGTGTCTATGGAGAAAGAAGTCCTCACGTTTGAGGGCTGTACAGTGAGGCCATCTTGTAGCAGCGCATCCAGCTCTACCAAGGCAGTCCTCTGGTTCTTTTTTCTAAGCTACAGTGGAAATGGCCTAATGGTTAAAACTGTGGTATACATGACATCGGTTGTGCTAAACAAGTTCCTCGTGTCCCAATATCCAATGGTTTTTCATCCTATTTTGTATCAATCAACAGAGTATAGTTAAAGCTTGTCTTGATGTTGCATTCTTGCAAATGTCTTCAACTCTTACCTGAGAAAACATGGCAAAATGGTCAGCCAGACCCTTCCAGTTTTTCCTTTGCTTTTCTAAGCCTCGGGGAAACCACTGTTTCAGTTGTATAAAAACTTTTGCCACATTCCTATGGCCCAGTCGAATTAATACCCTTTTTCTCACTGAGAGAGGAACACGTACTGCCTGTCATAACAGCATTGTAATGCCAGTGTCTCAGTAACAGAATCCTGGTGGGTGTTAATTGGGTGTTTTTTGCCCTGGAGAATTCAGATTCCTTTCTATACCTCCGATTCTGCCCAGAAGAGGGGGGGAATCACCAGTGTTACAAAATTAGAAGATTGTTTTGCCTGTTTTAGACTGAATATTTGAACACTGCAGCATTACTAGCCACCAGTGTTAAAGGACAGATGAGGGGAAACATTTGTTTTTAGCAGTAATTCCATGCCTCATCTTTTTTAAGTGATTTGTTCCAAATGAAGCCATTTATTGACTTGATGTTCACAAATATCATTTGAAGAAATAACAGGAATTGGGGTTAGATGATAAATTCTAGGGAATCTAGGTGATTTGGAGGATTTCATTTGTTTTGCATTACAGCTAGTTGCTCTCACTAAAGGTAAATTTCCGGTGAAATAACTCAGGTTTAACTAGCTGTGTGCCCAGAATCACTGTTCCTTCATACATGTGTCCTCTCCTTAAATTCATTACTTTCAAATGATGTTCAAAGCATTGACTATTTTCATTCAAAGAAACTACATTCGGCCGGGCACGGTGGCTCACGCCTATAATCCCAGCACTTTGGGAGGCCGAGGCGGGTGGATTACCTAAGGTCAGGAGTTCAAGACCAGCCTGGCCAGCATAGTGAAACCCCATCTCTACTAAAAATACAAAAATTAGCCAGGCGCAGTGGCACACCCCTGTAATCCCAGCTACTCGGGAGGCTGAGGGAGGAGAATTGCTTGAGCCCGGGAGACAGAGGTTGCAGTGAGTCAAGATCATGCCACTGCACTCCAGCCTGGCCAACAGAGCGAGACTGTCCCCCCCCCAAAAAAAAAAGAGAGAGACTGCATTCAAAGAGGACCAAGACTACAGTGAAATTAAAACTGTTTGCTGGCTGGGCATGGTGGCTCACACCTGTAATCCCAGCACTTTGGGAGGCCGAGGCGGTTGGATCACCTGAGGTCAGAAGTTCGAGATCAGCCTGACCGACATAGTGGAACCCTGTCTTTACTAAAAATACAAAAATTAGCTGGGCATGGTGGCGGCACCTGTAATGCCAGCTCCTCCAGAGGCTGAGGCAGGAGAATTGCTTGAACCCAGTAGGTGGAGGTTGCAGTGAGCCACAGTTGCGCCATTGCACTCCAGCCTGGGCAATGAGTGAAACTCTGTCTCAAATAAAAAAATAAAAATAAAAACTATTTGTTGACTTTTGTTTTTCATTTAGTTTTGGAAAAGACTATTTGCAAAAGTACAGAGTTATCTTCAGCAATTACTTCACAACTTAGATTGGTACCAAGAGTGACAGGAGATCTTGTCTTGGAAGATCATTATTAGATGCCAACAAGGAGACCCACTGTGATTTCTGGTAACCTATTTGGGGAAAAAGACCTAATGACCTAATATGCAATTTCTGTCCTCGTGTCTTTTTCTCTAACACACAGTCATGGGTGAAACATTTCAGACACCTCAGGCAGCACTTATGGTTTCTAATTGTGAGAACTACCCTTCCATCAAACAAAAAGGGCAAGGGTGGGAGCCCCGGCTACTTGGTTAAACATTTTTTACTACAAATTCGCCCAGAAAAGGTGAAATATTTTGTTATAAAACTGTATTAAGCATGGCCTAAGTATTTATTAGGTATATGATCTGTGTAGTATGTTCCATCAGAAATATTTCTTACTAGTGCTTTAAGCTCCAGAGTAAACAGTCATTTAAAATGGAGTTCACTGGGCAGGTTTCCCCTTTAATCTAGATAGAAATACTCTTTATCAGAGATTTAAGGCACTGTTTTGCTAACTGGTAAATAAAACCAAATGTAAATATGTAAGAATGTTTATTTGTTGCACATAACTTTTTTGGTATAAAATAAATGTAGAAGTTACCTGTGGAAGTTGTGCTCCCATTATTCTTAAACTGCAGGGTTGCATTCCAAAAGAACTGAAACGAAGTCTTTTTAGACTCAGTAGGAGCCTTATATTCTTGAAGTCAATACTGTAACCTCATTTCTAAGGTATACAGGGTTGATTCTTTTTCTCTTAAATCATATGTAACTTGCAGAAGATTCAGAGTCCTCAGACCTCTAGTTCTTGGAATTCCTGTAGGTTTACGGTGTATGTGATTGTCAAGAATTAATGACAAAAATGTGTCACTGCCTACAGTTCTGTGAACACTCAGAATGTATTAATGAGCTGTTTTTCCATAGTTTTACTTTAGCTTACCTTGAATACTCCCTGTATAATCCTCTAAAAAGGTAGCATCGGCAAGAAAGATGAATCCGTTGGAAATACAGCTGAGCCATACTTCACGGAATAGAACAAGTGTGTTCTGTGCTGGAGCTCAAGACCTGTGGAAAGGGACTGCCCCCACTGGGTGCAATGGCTCATGCCTGTAATCCCAGCACTTTGGGAGGTAGAGGCGGGTGGATCACTTGAGGTCAGGAGTTCAAGACCAGCCTGGCCAACATGGTGAAACCTGCCTCTACTGAAAAATACAGAAAAATTAGCCAGGATTGTGGTGTGCGCCTGTAATCCCAGCTATTCAGGAAGCTGAGGCAGGAGAATTGCTTGAACCAGGGAGGCGGAGGTTGCAGTGAGACGAGATCACGCCACTGCACTGCAGCCTAGGCGACAGAGGAAGACTCCAGCTCAAGAAAAAAAACAATGGACTGCCCCTAATTTGTAAACCATTTAAATGTGTCTATTACATTTAACTTTTCTTAATGTTTGTCAACTAAAAGTTTTATTCATTATACTTTGACATACTGGAACACAAAACTTGATTCCTTTGAAAAACTAAAGAGAAGTTGATAAAAAAAATACAGAAGCTCTAGATTCCTAATTGGAACTGACTACACTCATTTTTAAAAAATGGACGATGCCTAATAAAACCACATGAAATTAACTTTATTCTTTCTTTCATGGAGCTTGCACAGGAAAGCTAAAAAGGAGGGTCTGTGTGGAGACACGGGGCTCAACCACAAGAGAGGGGAAAATCAAGTTCTATAGCAAGAACCATATTGGAGGCCGGGCACAGTGGCTCACGCCTATAATCCCAGCACCTGGGGAGGCTGAGGCGAGCAGATCACCTGAGGTCAAGAGTTCGAAACCAGCCTGGCCAACATGGTGAAACCCCATCTCTACTAAAAATATTTTTAAAAATTTAGCTGGGAATGGTGGCAGATGCCTGTAGTTCCACCTACTTGGGAGGATGAGGCAGGAGAATTGCTTGAACCCCAGAGGTGGAGGTTGCAGTGAGCCAAGATTGCGCCACTGCACTCCAGCCTGGGCGACGGAGCAAGACTGTCTCAAAACAAACAAAACAAACTGTATTGGTTCATTGTCTTTCAACTGACTGGACACCAAAAGGAGTATTTTTCCAAAGCGTATACTTCAAATCAGAATTGATGCACCATCCTTGCCTTACTGGAGCCCAGGAAGAGAGGGAGGACAGATTCCTTAAGGAAAGACTGTGCTCTGGGAGGGGGCAGGTAGCGTCATTTTGGGGTGTAAAGGCATGGAATGCTGATTTGTAGGCAAAGTTGTTTAAGGAGGTCCTGTCACATTCAGTGGCATCCGTTATGATAAAGCCAATAGGCTTTTACACTCATCTGTCCATTTCTGTCAAGACCCTATGGCTGAGGTCAAAACAATGTTCTGGGAGAACCAGTTACCTCTAACCTTCCAATTCAGACACTGCCAGCTTAACTATGTAGAAACTGGCACACAGACCCTGTTAAGTGCTGCAACAATGACAGCGTTTCTATGAATTTGTTGGTACATGTGGGACTTTAGCTCATCTGAGGAGTCGAACAGCAGCTGTGAAAGTCTTCTACTCACTCCCTGTCGAGGCTGGCCTGGTTTGCTACACAAACACGGTGGCCCTAGGACCATGGGGCTATTCCTGCAGACGCCCTCGGGAACCAGCTGCTCTGAACGTGGTGGGGGTGTTGGAGCAGCAGTTTCTCAAAAGTCCACACACAGTTAAAGCTCTGAAAACAGCACGACGCACAGAAATGATTTCAGATGCTTTTCAGTAGCCACTTTCATGCCAACTCTTTATTTCCATAATAGAAAATCTTTTATTTCCACCTTTAGTGTTCCCTGCTAGAATAGATGACCACAAAACCCAGGCCAGAAACGTTCTGGTCTGCCGTGAACAGTCCAGGAGGCACTTGTTCTGCTGCTGTGGAAGTCGCCCTGACTCGGGGAGGAAGGGACACGCAGGTGGTATCAGTCTTGCTCAAGTAAACAGGCTGTTTTCCAAACATTGTGACTTGGCTACTGAGTGGGGATACCTGGTTTCATTGGCAATCTTCCAGTATCTCTCTCGCAAAAGGAACGCTGCACTTTTTGGTTGTCTCTGCCGAGTGAAGATCCCCTTTTTATTCCCCAGCACTCTCGTCGGTGCTACAAAAAAAAAAAAAAGACACAAAGCGATTCAGATGTCTTCTGATGGGTCAAGTTAGAACCAGTCTGGAGCTAAGGTAGGCACTAAATAGAAATGTCTTTTTTTTTCTTTTTTCTCCCTGTTGCCCAGGCTGGAATGCGGTGACACAATCATAGCTCACTGCAGCCTCAACCTCCTGGGCTCAGGCAATCCTCCTGCCTCAGCCTCTCCAGCACCACCATGCCCGGTAATCTTTTATTTTTATTTTTTAGTAAAGACAAGGTCTCATTATGTTGTCCAGGCTGGTCTCAAACTACTGGGCTCAAGCAATCTGCCCTCCTTAGCCTCCCTAAAGTGCTGGGATTATAAGCACAAGCCACCATGCTCAGCCAAATGTCCTCTTACAGTTTCAGGATGCTTGCTCTGAAGTGACAATTTATGGGTTGAAATATTTAAATACCACTGCTCTGCCCAAACACCCAGGTTCCCTGGTGTGTTAATTTCTAGTTTTCTAGTCTGTTAGGGGAAAAAAACCCAAAACAGTGGCCAGGTGTGGTGGCCAACGCCTGTAATCCCAGTGCTTTGGGAGGCTGAGGCAGGTGGATCACCTGAGGTCAGGAGTTCAAGATCAGCCTGGCCAACATGAGGAAACCCGCCTCTATTAAAAATACAAAAACTGGCTGGGCACATTGGCTCATGCCTGTAATCCCAGCACTCTGGGAGGACAAAGCAGGCGGATCACAAGGTCAGGAGATTAAGACCAGCCTGGACAATATGGTGAAACCTCATCTCTACTAAAAATACAAAAATTATACAGGCATGGTGGTGGGTGCCTGTGGTCCCAGCTACTCAGGAGGCTGGGGCAGGAGAATCGCTTGAACCCAGGACGCAGAGGTTGCAGTGAGCTGAGATTGTGCCACTGCACTCCAGCCTGGGCGACAGAGTGAGACTCCATCTCCAAAAAAAAAAAAAGCACTAAAAGTTTATCTTTTATTTGCAAACTAAGGTTTACATGCTGGGTACCCAGCTGTCTGGTAACTGGGTAGGCAGAGGGCTAGGGGTATCTGGGACAGTTACCCTTGAAAAGCCTTGGGCCTTTCTGAAGAGATAGCGCCTAGTGGGAGCCAGGGTCCTGACCAGCCACAGGTCCCTGCGTGGGACCTACTCATGGAGTTCAAAGTCCGCCGGGGCTGACGTCCAGCTTGGCAGCACCCACCACTGGTGGTCATTAGGCCTGAGCTGAGCCTGGTGGAGGAGCACAGCTGGCAACGACCTGTCAGGGCTGTGCTCTCAGGACATTCTCTGTCCCCAGTAAGACCACCACTAAATGGAAATGTTAAATGGAAAGGGGGCTTTCCCCACCAAAAGGTTCAAGACTGTTTCTTCCATAAGTGAACACAGGCATCGCCAAGTACTTCATCAAATGCAGCCCTTACGACACCAACAAGGAGGTGGCATTATCCCCACTGGACAGGCTTATGAAAAGCTTAGGTGACTTGCCCAACGTGATGCAGCTCATTTCTTTTTTCTTTTTAAGACCGAGTTTCAGCTGGCCATGGTGGCTCATGCCTGTAATCCCAGCACTTTGGGAGGCCCAGATGTGCGGATCACCTGAGGTCGGTAGTTCAAGCCCAGCCTGACCAACATGGAGAAACCCCGTCTCTACTAAAAATACAAAATTAGCCGGGTGTGGTGGCGCATGCCTGCAATCCCAGTTAATCGGGAGGCTGAGGCAGGAGAATTGCTTGAACCTGGGAGGTGGAGGTTGCAGTAGGCTGAGATAGCGCCACTGCACTCCAGCCTGGGAAACGAGCAAAACTCCGTCTCAAAAAAAAAAAAGAGTCTCACTCTATTGCTCAAGCTGGAGTACAGTGCTGTGATCTTAGCTCATTGCAACCTCCATCTCCCAGGTTCAACAGATTCTCATGCCTCAGTCTCCCAAGTGGCTGGCATTACAGGCATGCGCTACCACACCCGGCTAATTTTGTATTTTTAGTAGAGATGGGGTTTCTCCATGTTGGCCATGCTGGTCTCAAACTCCTGACCTCAGGTGATCTGTCCACCTTGGCCTCCCAAAGTGCTGGGATCACAGGCTTGAGCCACTGCGCCCAGCCTGCAGCTCATTTCTTACCGCATAAAGCCTCGCACCTCTCCACAAAACTGCCATCAGGGATGTCCCCAGAAACCATTTATCACAGGTGCCACGCAGAGGACAGCTTCCTGTTCTCCTTTTCCCTTTACCTCTTCCTTCTCACCTCATCTTGTTCATTCATTCATCCGTATTCCATTCTCACTCTTACGCTTTACCTTTCAAAGGCCTGTCTTTCCCTGTAAGTAATGTATTATAATTCCCACCATTACCACATGCTTCTCCAACCCACCAAACTGCTATCTTCAGTTTATGGTAAGTCCATAAACTAAGAAGAAATGGGACACATTCATTGCGAACTTGGCAGCCCCTCATCCATCCTCACAAGACACCGCAGATGTTATTCTCTTTGAAGACCAATCTTGTGTTTTAAAGACAAGTCTCACTCTGTTGTCCAGGCTCTTGTGCAGTGGTGCAATCATAGTTCACTGCAGCCTCCAACTCCTGTGCTCAGGTTATCCGCCTGCCTCAGCCTCCCAAGCAGCTGAGACTACAGGCACACACCACCACGCCTAGCTAATCTGTTTATTTTTTGTAGAGATGGGGTCTTGCTATGCTGAACAGGCTGGTCTTGAACTCCTGGCCTCAAGCGATCCTCCCACCCTGACCTCCCAAAGTGCTGGGATTACAGGCGTGAGCCACTACACCTGGCCTGAAGACTTGTAAATGCTGCCAAATTCAAGATGCGTTGAAACTCACCTGTATTTGATAAGCCTGCTTTTCGCAAGTAATATACAACAGACTGAAATACCTTAAGTTTCTCAGGCTTTGTACCCTTCTATGGAATAATGAGTGTATCCCAAAAGTAAATCCATGATGAGGTCCCGTTTTTCGTTCCTCCTTGGCTACAAAATAGACAAGGAAAAGGCAAGCCAGCCATTTCCGATTCACTATAGCTGACTCTCCTGTTTGCTTTTTGACCGTATTTGGGAGGCGGGGGCCTGATTGCTTTCCTACTTCCTAAACACAACTTACTTTTCCTAGAAAATTCTCAACGCAACCTACATGGATTAAACCAGCTTCCCCAACTTTGTTTCCAATATTCTTACAATTGAAATGGCCAGAATTGGAAAGGCAACCTGAAAAAATGAGGACGGGTACGTTATCCCATGAGCCAAACTGCCACTTACACTGTTCAGTCATGAAATCGGCAAAATTCCAAATGAGCTCTCCAACCACGTATTTTCTGCGTTTTTGATCCAGACCCAGATGGTACTGCTCTAGCAGACTTTTCTGGTACTCTTCAGTGAACATCAGAGGTGGATCCTAGGATTCAAGGCAAAGAGAATGTAAGAGTCAGAACTGGCAGAATTGTAAATGTTAGATAAAAATAAAGATCCACTTGATGGTGACCAAAATATCTGTCTTCACAGGGGGCTATAGTGACTGCAGGACTCACTGATGCTGGGGTAAAGACAGCCAGGGAATGATGTAACCCAGAATAAAAAAGGAGGTTTAAAAAAAAAAACAACCTTAATGAGCAGCTGCTTTATTTATAAACGTAATTTGACATTCGTTTCACATTACTTTTCCACCTCTATCTGCTGGTACAGTCTTAAGGCTAAACTACACTACAGGCAAAAATATGTCTTTCAGTCAGGTGCAGTGGCTCATGTCTGTCATCCCAGCAATTTGGGAGGCTGAGGTGGGAGGACTGCTTGAGCCCAGGTGTTCAAGACCAGCCTGGGCAACATAGCAAGACCCCATCTCTACAAAAAGTACAAAAATTAGCCAAGCCTAGTGGCACACATCTGTGGTCCCAGCTACTTGGGAGGCTGAGGTTGGAGGACTGCTTGAGCCCCAGAGATCAAAGCGACAGTGAGCTGTGTTCACACCACTGCACTCCAGTTTGGGTGACACAGTGAGACCCTGTCTCTAATAAATATATATATATATATAAAAATTAAATTAAATTAAACTCAACCAAACCAGGCTGGGCATGGTACCTCAGGTCTGTAATGCCAGCACTTTTGGAGGTCGAGACAGGAGGATCACTTCAGCCCAGGATTTCAAGACTAGTCTAGGCAACACAGTGAGACCCAGTCTCTACAAAAAGTCAAAATATTAGCCAGGTGTGGTGGCGCACGCCTGCAGTTCAAGCTACTTGGGGCTAAGGAGGGAGGATCGCTTGAGCCCAGGAGGTTGAGCAGTGAGCTGTGATTATGCCACTGCACTCCAGCCTGGGCAACAGAGTGAGGCTGTCTCAAAAAAATTTATTTAATTAAACTAAATCAATTCAGTTATCCTAGTCATATATCAAGACCTCAGTAGCCATGTGTAGCTAGTGTGTACCATTTCAGACAGTGCAAATATAGAACATTTCCATCATTGCAAGTTTGTTTTTTTTTATTTTTTGAAACAAGGTCTCACTCTGTCACCCAGGTGGGAGTACAGTGGTGCAATCATAGCTGAATGCAGCCTTGACCTACTGGGCTCAAACAATCCTCCCACCTCAGCCTCCCAAGTGGCTTGGACTACAAGCACTCATAACCATGCCCAACTAATTTTAAATTTTTTGTAGAGATGGGGTCTATGTTGCACAGACTGGTCTCAAACTCCTGGGCTCAAGAGATCCTCTGACCTTGGCCTCCCAAAGTGCCAGCATTCCAGGTGTGAGCCACCATGCCCAGCACTGCAGAGGTTCTATCAGCACTGACCTAGACCCTCTCAAGAGTTTCTTAAGAATTCAGAGCTAGGGCTTGGCACGGTGGCTCATGCCTGTAATCCCAGCACTTTGGGAGGCCAAGGCGGGCGGATCACTTGAGGTCAGGAGTTCAAGACCAGCCTGACCAACATGGTGAAACCTCATCTCTACTAAAAATACAAAATGAGGTGGGCGTGGTGGCGCATGCCTGTAATCCCAGCTACTCGGGAGGCTGAGGCATGAGAATCGCTTGAACCAGGGAGGTGGACATTGCAGTGAGCCGAGATCGCGCCACTGCACTCCAGCCTAGGCAACGAGAGCGAAACTCTGTGTCAAAAAAAAAAAAAGAATTCAGAGCTGGTTACCTTTTCAAAGAGGATGCGCAAGCAAATATATCCAAGAGCCACTTCCCCTACTTGACTAGTTTGCAGAAGTGGCATTCTGTAAGCACGATAAATTTAAGGGTGCAAACAGAACAGCGCAGTCCACTGTGGGTGGCTGTTCCCTGTGTGTCAACCAGGAGCTGTGACAAACAAGTGTGAGCTGGCTGGGGTGGGAATGAGGGGCTGGATGGGGTTCAGGAATCCACAGGAAAAAAAAAACCTCACAAGACAAACCAACATATCTTTGGTGAGGAGGACAAAAAAATGAGATAGATTAAAAAAATGACGACAGGCTGGGCATGGTGTCTCATGCCTGGATTCCCAGCACTTTGGGAGTCTGAGGCAGGACAATCACGTAAGGCCAGGAGTTCTAGACCAGCCTGATAGACTCCATCTTTACAAAAAAATTTAAAAATAGGCTGCACATGGTGGTTCATGCCTGTCGTCCCAGCTACTCAGGAGGCTGAGGTGGAAGAATTACTTCAGCCCTTTAGTTCAAGGCTGCAGTGAGCTATGATGACACCACTGCACTCCAGCCTGGGCAACACAACAAGACCCTGAAAAAAAGAAAAAGAAAAAAAGGCTAGCACAGTGGATCATGCCTGTAATTCCAGCACTTTTGGAGGCCAAGGCAGGAAGATCAATTGAGTCCAGGAGTTTGAGACCAGCCTGGACAACATAGCAAGACCCTATATCTAAAATATGAAAATTAAGAAAAAGGATATTTTAGTTGGTGATTATGGTGCCAACATGGGCATTCCAGGCAGAAGAAACAGCTCAAGCAAGAGCAGGAGAGCAAGCGAGGGCAGTGGAAACAGATCAGTGGCTGGGATAGAGGGGAGAAGGGGATGAAAACCCAGGAGAGAGCAGAGGACACTGAGTGTCCTGACCAGAGGTTAGGGCTTTGTCCTGTGGGCCTGGGGGAGCCAATGACAGGACTCCCAAAATTTTCAACTGTGGCTGGTGCAGAGGCTCACACCTGTAATCCCAGCACTTTGGGAGCCTGAGGCAGATCACTTGAGGCCAGGAGTTCAAGACCAGTCTGGGCAACATGGCAAGACCCCATCTCTACAAAAGTAAAAAAATTAGCCAGGCGTGTTGGCATGTGCCTATGGTCCCAGCTACTCAGGAGGCTGAGGTGGGAGGATCACTTGAGCCCAGGAGGTTAAGGCTGCAGTGAGCAGTGATCGCACCACCACACTCCAGCCTGGGTGACAGAGAGATCCGGTCTCAAAAACAAATACAAATTTGGATCTGTTAGAAAGACCACTTGGGCACGGGTGATAGGAGGCTATCTGGAAACAAAGCCAGTAAGGAGGCCACCTCTGAGGACCAAGTGAGTGGGGCACAGGCCTGGCTGTTGGCGGTGAGGGAACGTGGACGGGGCCGTGGGAGGAGAGCCCAAAGCTGAAGCGAGGGGAGCAGTGCAGTGGGCGCAGGTCAGGCTGGAGGAGGTGAGTGACATCTCTGCCCTGAGAGAACACACAAGCAGAAAGCTCAACACTGCTTACCTGGTGAAACCCTGCAATCGTTTCTGCTCCATACTCGCTCTGAATAATGGGCTTCTGATACTTCTTATACCAGTTCTCAAACTGGGTGGCCAGCTGCAGCTGAATCAACTCCAGGTGCCCGTAGTCGTGATACCAAGAGTAGTAGCTGTTCAAACAGATCACATCCACATACGGAGCCTAGGACCAGAGCAGCAGAGCCCGTTCAGCACTCAGTAGACAGCATGACTCAGCATTCACACACTGCGGGGGCTCCTCTGGCAGAGAAGGTAAGGGGGATGTAATCCCAGCACTCTGGGAGGCTGAGGCAGGAGGATGGCTTAAGACCAGCCTGGGCAACACAGCAAGACTGCAGCATTACAAAAAATAGTAGTAAGAAAATTAGCAGGGCACGGTGGCTCATGCCTGTAATCCCAGCACATTGGGAGGCCAAGATGGGAGGATCACTTGATCCCAGGAGTTCGAGACCAGCCTGGGCAACATCACAAGCCCCCATTTCTACCAAAAAAAAAAAAAAAAAAAAACCTAGAACGGGAACAGCTGCCTCCTGGGGCTGAGAACGTCCAAGTGTACCAATTTAGATCCTGAAATTACCCTGCCATAGGCAAGAAACATGGTCACAAAGTGGCCCAGAGGAGGTAGGCCTGGGACTCCACACTGACACTCATGACGTGCGCCGCTGGGAAGGGCTGTGAGAGGCACAGCAGCTGCCAACGCACAGCCCTCAGCCAAAGCCCAGGGCCCCCACCACTGGAACTGACTCCTCTCCAGGCAGCACTCCCATCACTGGGCTTCCCCTCACCTTGCCCTGGAGAAGCGCTGCCACCCGAGGGGCCGATGCAGTCATTCTCACAGAAAATCTTTTGTTTTGTTTTGGAGACAGAGTCTCGCTCTGTCGCCCAGGCTAGAATGTTAGTGGTGCGATCTCAGCTCACTGCAACCTCTGCCTCCCACCATCAGGTGCTTCTCATGCCTCAGTCTCCCGAGTAGCTAGGATTACAGGCGTGCGCCACCACGCCCAGCTAATTTTTTGTATTTTTGGTAGAAATGAAGTTTCACCAGTTGGCTGGGCTGGTCTTGAACTCCTGATCTCAAGTAATCTGCCTGCCTCGGCCTCCCAAAGTGCTGGGATGATAGGTGTAAGCCACCATGCCCGGCTGTCACAGAGGATCTTGAGGGAGCTTTCACAAGGCAGCACTGTGGACTGCAGAGGGCCAGAAAAGTCACTCCAAGGAGCAGGGCGGTGACGACCGAGTAGGACCACCCCAAGCTTCAGCATAGCGGTGCTTACAGCTGAGCAGCAGGGGCTTCTGTGTCCAACTGGCTAGTTTCTAATGCGTCCTGAACACATTTCTTTCTAGTAAAAATGCTGGCCGGGTGTGGTGGCTCACGCCTGTAATCCCAGCACGTTGGGAGGCCAAAGTGGGCAGATCACCTGAGATCAGCAGTTTGAGACCAGCCTGGCTAACATGGCAAAACCCCATCTCTACTAAAAAATACAAAAATTAGCTGGGTGTGGTGGCATGCACCTGTAATCCCAGCTACTCAGGAGGCCGAGGCAGAATTGCTTGAACCTGGGAGGACGAGGTTGCAGCGAGCTGAGATTGCACCATTTCACTCAAGCCTGGGCAACAGAGCAAGATTCCATCTCAAAATAAATAAATAAATAAATAAAGAATGCTAATGTCAGCCAGGCACTGCAACTCATGCCTGTAATCACAGCACTTTGGGAGGCCAAGGCAGGAGATCACTTGAGCTCAAGACTTTGAGACCAGCCTGGGCAACATAGAGAGATGCCACCTCTACAAAAAGATATAAAATTAGCTAGGCGCAGTGGTGAAAACCTGGAGTCCCAGCTACTCGGGAGGCTGAGGCAGGAGGATCACTTGGGCTCAGGAATTCAAGGCTGCAGTGAGCTGTGATTGCACCACTGCACTCCAGCCAGGGCAAGAGAGTAAGACCTTGCCTCTACAAAAGAAAAAGAAAAACTCAAGTTCCAACCCTGGACGTACTAAATCAGGACCTCAGAATGCAGAGATCTGGCATTTCATAAAAACTTCCCCTAGAGATTCTCATCAGCCAGGTGTGGGCCAGATGAACTCTAAGCTCCCTTAAATCTTTGATGTTTTATGAGTCTATTAAATCGAAGTGCAAAAAATGCTGAGTCCAAACTGAGCAAACAAATCCCATCTCCCTATGCCCAGCCTCCTTGGATTGAGAAAGCCACACTGCCTGGCGAGTAAGCAGGGGGAGAATTCTCATTAACCCAAAGACCATCTGTGAAAACAGACTGGCTGCGGCCGGGGTGTGGTGGCCCACACCTGTAACCCCAGCCCTTTGGGAGGCCAAGGCAGGAGGATTGCTTGAGCCCAGGAGTTGGAGACCAGCCTGGGCAACATGGCAAGACCCTGTCTCTATCTTTTTAAGTAAAAAAGAAAATGAAATAAAACCCAGACTGGCAGCGCATGGTTCTTCCTGGCTGTTCCCATGACCAGGCTTCAGGACAAGCCCAGGCAAAGGCAGGGAGAAGTGGGGTGGGGACCCCCAGGCTCACCCCCTTGTCTGCTGCATAGTTAGAGTTGCTCACAAAGGTCACAGGCCGGGAGGGGTCCAAGGATTTGGTGTGAGCGATCACCATCCTGTCCACAAAAGGCAGAAGAAACAGGTTCCATCAGTCCAGGAATGGCTCAGACACCCTCCCATCCTCTCTGTCCCATCTTCCACCGCCAGAACACAACACGGGGCCAGGCACGATGGTTCACACCTGTAATCCCAGCACTTTGGGAGGCCGAGGTGGGTGGATCACTTGAGGTCAGGAGTTCAAGATCAGCCTGGCCAACATGGTGAAACCCCAACTCTATCTACTACAAATACAAAAATTAGCGGCCAGGCGCAGTGGCTCACGCCTGTAATCCCAGCACTTTGGGAGGCCGAGGCGGGCAGATCACAAGGTCAGGAGATCGATACCATCCTAACACGGTGAAACCCCGTCTCTACTAAAAATACAAAAAATTAGCCGGGCGTGGTGGCCGGCGCCTATAGTCTGAGCTACTCAGGAGGCTGAGGCAGAAGAATGGCGTGAACCCAGAAGGAGGAGTCTGCAGTGGGCCAAGATCATGCCACTGCACTCCAGCCTGGTCCACAGAGCAAGACCCTGTCTCAAAACAAACAAACAAAAACAAAGGGGAAAAAAAAAAAAGCATGGAGCCGCTGCTTTCTTCCCTAACTTGAGATGTATTTTACATAAGGGCATATGATCCTCTAGTCCTAGACCGAGCTCTCTAACATCACTCCTTCTACCCCCATCTCCGAATCCTATACCCCCAGAGGAGCAGCCACTCTTCCAGGTACACAGAGCTGAGGTCACTAGGCTGGACACTGGCAAAAATGAGGTTGACGCCCTGAAACAGCTCTTGAACACAGGAGGTGGATGGATGCAGATTTGGGAGGGATATTTATTAATGCATCAAGCAAACGGAGTGCAGGCTGGGAGGCAGGCATGGGGCTAGGTGCGAGGTGCTCAGCAGTGACTCAAATCTAAGTCCACAGGTCCTGGGCAGTGGGAGTGGAGACGCATGCAGAGAAATGGTGCAAGTGCCGGGCAAGGCGGCTCACGCCTAGAATCCCAGCACTTTGGGAGTTTTACCAGAGACCAGGAGTTCAAGACCAGCCTGGGCAACATAGCAAGACCTTGTTTCTACAACAAATTTAAAAATTAGGGGCGGGCATGGTGGCTCACGCCTGTAATCCCAACACTTTGGGAGGCCGAGGCGGGTGGATCATGAGGTCAAGAGTTTGAGACCAGCCTGGTCAACATGGTAAAAGTCTATCTCTACAAAAAAATACAAAAAAAACCTAGCTGGGCATGGTGGCATGCGCCTGGAATCCCAGCTACTCATGAGGCTGAGGCAGAAGAATTGCCTGAACCCAGGAGGTAGAGGTTGTAGTGAGCCAAAATTGCACCAGTGCTCTCCAGCCTGGGCAACAAGCAAGACTCCATCTTGCGGAAAAAAAAAAAAAAATTTAAACTTAGCCTGACATGGCCGCACACACCTGTGGCCCCAGCTATTTGGGAGGCTGAGGCAGGCAGATAACCTGAGGTTGGGAGTTCGAGACCAGCCTGACCAACACGGAGAAACCCCATATCTACTAAAAATACAAATTAGCTGGGCGTGGTGGCGCATGCCTGTAATCCCAGCTACTCGGGAGGCTGAGGCGGGAGAATCACTTGAACCCAGGAGGCAGAGGTTGTGGTGAGCCGAGATTGTGCCATTGCACTCCAGCCTGGGCAACAAGTGCAAAACTCCATCTCAAAAAATAAATAAATAAATAAGAAGAAATGGCCCTTAGAAGGGAAGAAAAACCCAACAGAGGGACCCGTCTGTGCTCAGAGCTCCTGGCACCTGCCCGAGGCCTCCACAGTACAGACTGTTTTTGTTTTTGTTTTTTTGAGAGACAGAATCTCACTCTGTAGCCCAGGCTGGAGTGCAATGACATGATCTTGGCTCACTGCAACCTCCACCTCCTGGGCTCAAGCAATTCTCCTGCCTCAGCCTCCCAAGTAGCTGGGATTACAGACGCCCACCTCTGTGTTCCGCTAATTGTTTTATTTTTAGTAGAGACAGGGTTTCAATATCTGTTGGCCACGCCGGTCTCAAACTCCTGACCTCAGGTGATCCACCCACCTTGGCCTCCCAAAGTGCTGGGATTACAGGCGTGAGCCACCGCACCCAGCCTAGACTGTTGTTGAAGCCTGTTTTCCTCTTCTCTTTCCTCAGTTCATTTCTTCTTTTACGCCCTCCCCCATCATTGCTCTGCCTATCCGAAGGCTGTGGCTGGCACAGATCAGAAAAGAACCCCCTAGCCTCAAGTTCCAAACCCACACTCTCCAACAGCCAGGCTCTCAGATGGGAAACTTCAAAGCCTGTGACAGCCTGGCTGAACCTCTCCAGCCTGGGTGGCTCCCTCCAAATCCTGCCCCAGAAAACAGGCATCTCCTCTGGCCACCTCCCAAAGAAGCCTCAAACACCTGCTCCTGGAAGCCTGTACTCTTCCCCTTCGCAACAAAGGGCCTGTCCACCCAGTCCTGCTGAGCACACCCCTGTGCCCCCAAGCTCTGAATTGTCCTTGGCCCAGGCTGCAACAACTTCTCAGAGCCTTCTGCCTGCTGCAGACTTGGCTCAGCCCAAAGCACTGCATGAAATTGGGGTGTGCTGTATGAGTCAAGAGGCATTTCTACCACCTCTCCTGCTTCTACCCCAAGTGAAAAATCCAACTCTGAACGCTGAGTTAGAACTGCACGATTGTAAGGAAGAAAAGGGGGCCAGGTGTGGTGGTTCACACCTGTAATCCCAGCACTTTGGGAAGGTGAGGCAGGAGGATCACTAGAGGCCAGGAGTTCCACGCCAGCCTGGCAAACATGGTGAAACCCAGTCTCTAATTAGCCGGGCACGGTGGCTCACGCCTGTAATCCCAGCACTCTGGGAGGCCGAGGTAAGTGGATCTCCTGAGGTCAGTAGTCCAAGACCAGCCTGGCCCAACATAGTGAAACCCCGTCTCTACTGAAAAATGCAAAAGTTGGCCAGGCGTGGTAGCTCACGCCTGTAATCCGAGCACTTCAGGAGGCCGAGGCAGGCGGATCATGAGTTCAAGAGATCGAGACCATCCTAGCCAAAATGGTGAAACCCCGTCTCTGCTAAAAATACAAAAATTAGCAGGGTATGTTGGCGTGTGCCTGTAATCCCAACTCCTCAGGAGGCTGAGGCAGGAGAATCACTTGAACCTGGAAGGTGAAGGTTGCAGTGAGACGAGATTGCGCCACTGCACTCCAGCCTGGCCACGGAGTGAGACTCCATCTCATAAAAAGGAAAAAAGGAAAACTTAGCTGGGCGTGGTGGCATGTGCCTGTAATCCCAGCTACTCGGGAGGCTGAGGCTGGAGAATCACTTGAACCTGAGCGGCAGAGGTTGCAGTGAGCTGAGATCATGCCCCTGCACTCCATCCTGGGCAATAGAGGGAGACTGCATATCCAAAAAATAAAAAATAAAGCAAAAATTAGCTGGGCGTGATGACACACATCTAGAATCCCAGCTACTTGGGAGGCTGAGACAGGAGGATCACCTGAGCCTGGGAAGTCAAGGCTGCAGTAAGCCAAAACTGCACCGCTGCACTCCAACCTGGGCAACCAGAGTGAGAACCCATTTTGAAAAAAAAAAACAGCCCCAGCACAGTGGTTCATGGGTGCCTGTAATCCTAGCTACTCAGGAGACTGAGGCAGGAGAATCACTTGAACCCAGGAGGCAGAGGTTGTAATGAGCGGAGATCACCCCACTGCACTCCAGCCTGGGCCATATAGTGAGACTCCATCTCAAAAAGAAAAAAAAAGAACAAAAAAGAAAACCACAATTTGGGTGGGTAGATATTTGGTCCCCTGAACTATCTGGGTATGGACGGCCTTCCCATTGGGCTGGACACGAGGCCGATCTTGAACAGCACATGCCCACCGAGGCCAGCCACCTGCCAGGGTCTCCTTCCCACTCTAGCCGAGGGCAGGGAGGGAGCACTCACTTCAAGTAGTAGCCAGCAGATTCTAGGTGGGACGCAGGCTCGTTGGCCACAGACCACATCACGACCGCGGGGTGGTTCTTGTCCCTACGCACCACTTCTTCCATCACCTGCATGTGGTGATGCAGAGAAACGTTGTTGAAGAACTGCCTGCGGGCCAGGAGGGAAGGGACAGAGGGTCACGGTGACGCCCCCGGGCTGGGCAGGCGGAGCAGGTGCACAGCAGAGACTCACGGCAGCGCCAGGCCCACGCCGGGACACTCATCGATGACCACAATCCCATAGCGGTCACACATCTGCATCACTTCCTCTGCATAGGGGTAGTGGCTGGTACGGAAAGCGTTGGCACCAAGCCAGCGAAGCAGGTTGAAGTCCTTCACCAGCAGCGGCCAGTCGAAGCCCTTCCCTCGGATCTAGGAGATAGCAGAGCCAAGTGACCCCTGTCCCTGTCGAAGCTGCACTTCCTCTGAGAGCCAGGACCCTGGAGAGCCACCCCATGAGCCCCCTCTCCATTTGGAGCCATTTGCCTCATTGCCCTGAGCTGCCCTCAACTGCAGGACACAGGGAAGGCGAAAGTGGAGGGTGACCAGAAGCAGCCCCGACAAGGACCCAGGAGCCCCAACACACGTCCGCATCCTCATGCTTGTTGACACCGTGGAAATAGAAAGGTTTCCCATTGATGAGGAACTGGCTCTTGGTGACAGCCACAGTGCGGATCCCCACAGGGAGTGTGTAGAAGTCAGACACAGGCCCCAGTGACGTCTGTGCAGTCAGCTGCACCTATGACAGCCAAAGCACCAGGTGTGAGCACCCCGACAGCCTGAGCCCCATCCGGCCTGCCCTCCAGCAGGAAGGCCCCTCGTGCACCCCAGCAGCTGCCTCTGGGCCTGTAAGCAGAGATGCAGCAATCAGAGGTTCTGCCCTACCCTGGCTGACCCTGGGAACCTGCCCTTCAAAACATGGCCTTCCCTTTGACAAGACAAGGTGGCTCATGCCTGGAGTTCCCACACTTTGGGAGGCTAAGGCAGGAGGATCACTTGAGTCCAGGAGTTGAAGACCAGCCTGCTGACAGACTGAGACCCCATCTCTATAAAAAAAAAATGTTTTTCTTCTGAGACAGTCTCAGTCTGTCCCCCAGGCTGGAGTGCAGTGGTGTGATCTCAGCTCACTGCAGCCTCTGCCTCCTGAGTTCAAGCAATTCTCCTGCCTCAGCCTCCCGAGTGGCTGGAATTACAGGTGTTCGCCACCATGCCCAGCAAATTTTCATATTTTTAGTAGAGATGGGGTTTCACCATGTTGGCCAGGCTGGTCTTGAACTCTTGGCCTCAAGTGATCCACCCACCTCAGCCTCCCAAAATGCTGAGATTACAGGCATGAGTCACTCTGCCCAGGCTACAAAATTTTTTTTATTTAGCCAGACATGGTGGCATGTGCCTGTAGTCCCAGCTACTCAGGAGGCCAAGGCAGGAGGACTGCTGCAGGCTGAGAGTTCAAGGCTGCAGTGAGCTGTGATCAGGCCATTGCACTCCAGCCTGGGTGACAGAGTGAGACCATCTCAAAAAAAAAAAAAAAAAAGAAAATGGGCCTCCCACCAAGGGTGAGAAACATCAGAAAGCTCAGAGGACCATGCCTGCCCATCCACCTGTCTTGGGCTCCTGCTGAAGCCAGGGTCACCACATGGGGGCAAAAGACCTCCCTTAGGCATGTCCCAAACCACCATTACCTCCAATGAATACAGATAGGCAGGGCGTTCGTGCATCAGGTACGGCCACCAGAGGCTGACACCTGGCACCTTAAGTTGGCCCTGGGTCCCAGTCCCATTCGCCACGACTTTGTTTTCTGCATCCAAAAGACGCACTTCCAACTTGAACAGGTTACTGCCCTTGACAGAGATCTGGTAATTCACCAGCCCTGCAAGAAACAAGAGAGACCAGGGCTGAGGGAGGGACACGACCTGAGTCACACAAACAGGAGCGCCCTGCAGCCACCGCTGCCAGGCAGCCATTTGTTTCTGTTGCTTTTTTTAAATTTAATTTCTTATTTTTTTTTTTTGAGACGGAGTCTCACTCTGTCCCCCAGGCTGGAGTGCAGTGGCATGATCTCGGCTCACTGCAACCTCCACCTCTGGGGTTCAGGTGATTCTCCTGTCTCAGCCTCCCAAGTACCTGGGATTATAGACGTGCACCACCATGCTTGGCGAATTTTTATATTTTTAGTAGAGATGGGTTTTGTCATATTGGCCAGGCTGGTCTTGAACCCCTGACCTCAGGTGATCCACCCGCCTTGGCCTCCCAAAGTGCTGGGATTACAGGTGTGAGCCACCGCACCCGGTGCTTTTTTTAATTTAAAAAAAGATTTTGGCCAGGTGCAGTGGTCACACCTGTAATCCCAACACTTGAGGAGGCTGGGGTGGGAGGATCGCTTGAGACCAGGAGTTCAAGACCAGCCTGGGTAACATAGGGAAACCACTTCTTCCCTAAAAATACAAACAATCAGCCGGTCGTGGTGGTGCGTGCTTGCAGCCCCGGCAGCCCCAGCTACTTGGGAGGCTGAAGTGGGAGGATTGCTTGAGCCAGGAGTTCGGGGCTGCAGTGAGCTATGATCTTGAGGCAGGATAGGTAGTCAAGGAAGTGACCGTGTCCCTCAGACATGCCAACCACGGCACTGAGACACGTGACGTGTGAACAAGCATGTACAGCTACTACGCATGTGCAACCAGAGGACGGCCCAGAACGTGCTTACAGTAACACCTCTTCCCAGCTCCTTAGGAATTCATCACGGAAGACTCCCAGAAAGGGAGTTTCCCCAGTAATAATCGGTGCTGTCTCATCCTTACGAGCAGCCTGTCCTGAATTCTGTGTCTCAGGGTGAACTGTGCATTTTGCACTTCACTATTTTTTTTGAGATGGGGGTGTCACTCTGTCACCTAGGCTGGAGTGCAGTGTTGCAATCTCAGCTGACTGCAACCTCCACCTCCCGGGTTCAAACAATTCTCCCATCTCAACCTCCTGAGTAGCCGGGATTGCAGGCTCACACCACAATGTCCAGCTAATGTTGGCTAAGCTGGTTTGAACTTCTGAGCTCAAGTGATCCACCCATCTCGGCCTCCAAAAGTGCTGGGATTACAGGCATGAGCCAGTGCACCCAGGCTGTTCTAAACTTAACTTCCAAAATACCTTTCCTTGGCAATAAATTGCTCTATGGTGCATTGTCTTTGCTGTGGGATTCTTTTTTAAATTCTTTTTTATTCATTTATTTTATTTTATTTATTTATTTTTTTCTTAGATAGGGTCTCAGTATGTTGCCCAGGCTGGTCTCAAACTTTGCAGCTAAAGCGATCCATCCACCTTGGACTCCCAAAGTGCTGGGATGACAGGCATTAGCCACCACACCCAGCCTAAATTCTTTTAAACTTAGAACCGCGGCCCCACAACGGCTGTCAATAATCTCACCACTGCACTCCAGCCTGGGCCACAGTGCAAGCCTCATCTCAGAAAAAGAAAAAGATATATATATATTTTTTTATTTTTATTTTTTGACATGGAGTCTCGCTCTGTCCCCTAGGCTGGAGTGCAGTGATGCAATCTCAGCTCACTGCAAGCTCTGCCTCCCAGGTTCACGCCATTCTCCTGCCTCAGCCTCCCGAGTCGCTGGGACTACAGGCCCCTGCCACCATGCCCGGCTAATTTTTTGCATTTTTAGTAGAGACGGAGTTTCACCATGTTAGTCAGGATGGTCGCGATCTCCTGACCTCGTGATCCCCCCACCTTGGCCTCCCAAAGTGCTGGGATTACAGGCATGAGCCACCGCGCCCGCCCTGAAAAAGATATATTTTTAAAAAGAAAAAAAACTTAAAACAAAAATTTTTCTTAAATACAGACCGAGCGCTGTGGCTCATTCCTGTAATCCCAGCATTTTGGGAGACTGAGGCGGGTGGATCCCGAAGTCAGGAGTTGAACCAGCCTGGCCAACATGGTGAAACCCCATCTCTACTAAAAATACAAAAATTAGCTGGACGTGGTGGCACACGCCTGTAATCCCAGCTGCTCAGGAGGCTGAGGCAAGAGAATTGTTTGAACCCGGGAGGCGGAGGTTGCAGTGAGCCAAGAACACGCCACAGCACTCCAGCCTGGACAACAGAGCAAGACTCCATCTCAAAAACAAAAAACAAAAACAAAAAAAACAGGGTATCCCAGCTGGGCACAGTGGCTCACGCCTGTAACCCTTGCATTTTGGCAGGCCGAGGAGGGTGGATCACCTGAGGTTAGGAGTTCAAGACCAGTCAGGCCAATAGAGTGAAACCCTGTCTCTACTAAAAAAAAATAGAAAAATTAGCCGGGCGTGGTGGCGGGTGCCTATAATCCCAGTTACTCGGGAGGCTGAGGCAGGAGAATCGCTTGAACCCGGGAGGCAGAGGTTGCAGTGAGCCAAGATCACGCCATCGCACTCCAGCCTGGCGACAGAGCGAGACTCCAGCTCAAAAAAAAAAAAGAAGAAAAAAAGAAAGACAGGGTCTGCGTCTGTTGCCCAGACCAGAGTGCAGTGGTGTGGTCATAGCTCACTGCACCCTTGACATCCCAGGCTCAAGTGATTCTCCTGCCTCAGCAGCTGGGACTACCGGCACACATCACCATCCCTGGCTAATTTTTTAATTTTTTGTGGTGATGGCCTCACTATGTTGCCCAGGCTGCTCTTGAACTACTGGCCTCAAGTGATCCTTATACCAGGGCCTCCTTGCAAAGTGCTGGATGACAGGCATAAGCCACCATGCCCGGCGCCCCCCCCACCGAAGCTGCCTGTTCCTTGAGCACGATGTGTAGCAAGGGGAGATGGAGTGAGAGTAGCACCATAGAGAAGGGACAGGATTGCCACCCCGAGCTGTGTGACGTTAGGCCAGACCCCTCTTCTCCTAGCGAGGTCAACCACACGGGTGATTTTGGGAGCCCGTATCCGCTCACACAGGCTGAATTTTAGCTTCATAGGTGGAAGGGAATCTGTGAGGGTGTAGAGATGCTGGGAGCACCTTTTTCCTGGGAGAGCTTTCCAAACAGGGAACAAACAGAGCCACCCTGGGCCCCGCTGAGAGGATCCTACCAGAAGCCCTCACCACTGTCTTGCTCCACGCTGGTGGTGACGGTGATGTCATCGATGTAGGTGGTGGGTGTCGTGTACAGAAGTACAGACCGCTGCAGTCCAGCGTAGTTGAAAAAGTCAAAATATGTGTTCTGGACAAAGTAACCCTTGGGATACCTAGGATGGGAGGACTGTGGTTTGCTGGGCCCTTGCTCTGGGTCCCCTGACCTCAGCTCACAGGCCTCCCTGGCCTCCCCAGATCCAAGGCCTCCACTCTGTGAAGGCCACCCAGTCCCTACCAGGAAGACCACAGGGTGGGGCGGGAAGGTGGGTGTGTGCAATGGAGGCAGGATGGTACCCACTTGGAGGTGTCAGTCAGGTATTGGATGGTCCCTGGTGGCAGGGTGGTGGGGGTGAGTGTGTTGTTGATGGCGATAGTGATTCGGAGCCGGGAGGGCAGGGGCCCCACCTGGACCAGGTTGCTGATGTCGGCCTCGAAGGGGAGGTAGCCCCCCTCATGCTCTAGCGTGTCGACCCCATTCACCCACTGCAGACACAGGAGATACGGGGAGGGGGCTGCAGGTCAGGGCATGAGGAGGCGCCCTACTATCGGGCACTCCCTCACATAACCTGCAGCATGGGGCTCCGGGGCCTTCCAGCCAGACGGGAAGAATGACATCCCAATGGGGTAGATCAGGCTACCTATCCCCCTATACAGGGCACAGCCCCCAGGGCAGGGCAGGGCAGGACCCCCCACCATCCCACCCCAGCATACATGCCGTGGGTGGCAGCTGGAGGTCCCATGCTGTTCAGCAGCCGTGCCCCCCCACCCGCCCTGCCTGCTCCTGGCCGCACTGACCACGATGGCATAGGAATGGGCACTGCCAATCCTCAGCACCACTCTTGTGCGCAGGTCCTGGGTCCATCGCTCCGGCAGGATCACCTCCCGTTCGTACCACACCCAGCCGACAAAATGCCGCAGACGCCAGTCCTGGCTGATGTCATTGAAGCTGGAGGGAACTGGCATGTCCACGGTGGGGCCTGACTGTGGAGAGAAGAGCCGGGCTCAGCTCCTAGGCCCCCAAAAGGGTCCAGGACCAGTGTGCTGCACGGCTGTGCCCCCAGGCCTAGCACAAGCCCTGACACATAGCGGGGATTCTTGGCAGAAAGGACAGATAACTTGCTGATGACAGGTCAACTGCCAGGGCGATCTGTGCACCTGGGCCAGTGGGGCCAGGAGTTCCTCCTCAGAGTGGATGGGGCACAATATCTCCTGAGACAGGAGCAAGCCCAGGGCCACATCCCAGCCAGAGGCAAGAAGGTTCAGACCTGTGACTAAGAGGCAGATGGCCACTGCCTGTCACAGGGAGGAAGGCTGGTTGGAGGAATGGGGGGAGCTTTGCTTAGGACACTGTGAGTGGGGTGCACACTGGCACCCAGCCCCCTCCTCTTTCCCTCCTGTACTGAATGCTGCAAAGTCAGAATAAGAGGATGTAGACCAGGCAAAAGCCGCCCAGACCTCACCCAGTTCCACTTCTCTGCAGATCACATCCAAGTCAGGAGGGGAACAGGGGTGGCGTCCTGGGCCTGATGTCATGTCCTGTCCTCTATGTGAACCTTGAAAACCAAGGGACTTCCTGCCTCGGCAGAGCTGACCTCAGGACATCTAAACTGTCACCTTCTCCCGATCCCCGGGCCCAGCTCTGTGCAGTGCATGCCGCTGTGGCCAGAGTGTGTGGGTGGCTCATGCCAGTAATCAGCGCTTTGGGAGGTCAACGTGGGAGGATGGCTTGAGGCCAGGAGTTCGAGACCACCCTGGGTAAATAGTGACACCCTGTATCTTTTTTTTTTTTTTAAGTTTTTTTGCCTTTTTTTTTTTTTTGGAGACGTAGTCTCACTATGTCGCCCAAGTTGGAGTGCAGTGGCATCCTGATCTCAGCTCACTGCAACCTCTACTCCCGGGTTCAAGCAATTCTCCTGACTCAGCCTCCCAAGTAGCTGGGATTACAGGCATGAACCACCACACTTGGCTAATTTTTATATTTTTAGTAGAGATGAGGTTTCACCCTGTTATGTTGGCCAGCCTGGTCTCAAACTCCTGGCCTCAGGCGATTCGCCCGCCTCCACCTCCCAAAGTGCTGGGATTACAGGTGTGAGCCACCGAGCCCAGATAATTTTTTTTTTTTCAATTAGCCAGGCGTGTTGGCACCCCCTAAATTGCAAGGCTGGGGCGGGAGAATCGCTTGAGCTCAGAAGTTAGGCTGGCGCCACTCCGCCCCAGCCTGGGAAACAGGTGCAAACCCAGTCTCAAAAAAATTTTTAAAAATTAAAAATAAATATTGAAAGGAAGGATACTGCACAGACTCAGCCTTTACCTCGGGAAAGGGCTCGGCAAGAGCCTTTTCTCCTCCTGCCTAATCCGCCCCGGCCCTCCAGGGTGCTCCTGTTCCCCCGTCCCCCAAGCCGGCGCCCCCAAGCCCGTTGACCTTTAACCTCCTGCGGGCCCCAGCTCGGAGACGCCCAGGGGAAGAAGTCTGCGGGGGGCCCGGGCTCCCCTACTCCCACCGCCGGGCTTTCGGGCGCCTCCCGGCCCTGCCCCGAGATCGCACCTCCCACAGCGGCCGCCGGTACCACTGCTCCTCGAAGCCCCGGCGTCGGTTGTCAGAGAAGTCGGCGCGGAAGCTCCAGAGGCCGTCCAGCTCCTTGCACTCCCGCGACGGGCTCTCCTGGGGGTACAGCATCCCGCCCTGCAGCCCCAGCGCGCAGCCCCACAACAACGGCCCGAGCGCCGCCCAGGCAACCGCCGACCCCCGGGCCATGCTTCCCGGTCCCCCGCTCGGCCACCGTCTGCGGCGCTAAGAAAAGCGCGGGAGGTGCCCGTAGGGCGGGTCGCGTGACGCGCCGGTGTCGTGATGCGCCTGAAGCCATCCGCGCCATCTTGGTTGAGGACGAGTGCCAGGCCTGGAGGGGCGGGGCCGGGCGCTGCCCGGTAGGGCTTGTGGCTGGAACCCCAGGCTAGGCCTTTGGGGAAACGGGACCCTCACCCTCAGCCCCAGCCGATAAGGGCGAGGTCTGCTCCCCACCCCGACCCAGGCTGGACGATCCAGGGCCGCAGGCCAGAACAGAACCCCTGAGATCGGTGGGATCCCCCTGTTTCTTCAAGGAGCACCTCCACTTGCTTTTCCCAGCAGGAATTCAAGGAGGCCCCAGCGGCGCCTCTTCCATGCCTGTCTGATGCAGCCTCTTGCAGGGATGCACGTCCTTGGGATGCGGCCATAGCCTTGACCCTGGGCTTCTGGAGCCCTGACCTTAACCCAGGGGCCAAGAGCTCCCTCTTGGTGTTGCAGGCACATAAAGATGCAGGGAGAGAGGCCAGGTGCACTTTGGGAACCCGAGGGGGGCAGATCACTTGAGGCCAGGAGTTCGAGACCAGCCTGGCCAACGATAGTGAAACCCCGTCCCTATTTTGTAAACATACAAAAAAAAAAAAAAGAATTAGCGGGGCGTGATGGTGCGTGCCTGTAATCCCAGCTACTCAGGAAGCTGAGGTAGGAGAATCGCTTGAACCCGGGAGGCAAAGGCTGCAGTAAGCCGAGATCGCACCACTGCACTCCAGCCTGGGCAACAGAGCGAGACTCTGTCTCAAAAAAAAAAAAAAAATTGCAGGGAAAGGGTGCCCTGCGGGACCCCAGTTTACTCCAGTAGGGAAGGCACCGTGTGGGAGAGGTAGAGGAGGAGATCTGGAGACAGCAAAGGAGACATAGATTTATGGAGGGGACTTTCATACAGGGACGGTGCAGTGGCCATTGCTGGACATGAGAACCACTACCATTTGTAAAAAGCATGCAGCTTACATAACATTTTCAACTAGCATCCTCGACCTGTTACTGGTGGAGTTCCGGGTGGTGAATCCCTACACATCAGCAACAACCTCAATTCTTGCCTCCTCAGAAGAAAGAATTGCACTGAGGGGCATAAGGCAGAAAGCCAGAGGGAGGTAAGCTGCAGAGCAGTAGTAAAAGCTTGTTAAAAAGCAGGCCAGTGCTGAGCGTAGTGGCTCACACCTGTAATCCCAGCACTTTGGGAGGCGGAGGTGGGGGGATCACGAGGTCAGGGGTTTGAGACCAGCCTGGCCAATATGATGAAACCCCATCTCTACTAAAAAATTAGCTGGGCATGGTGGCATGCGCCCGTAGTCCCAGCTACTCGGGAGGCTGAGGCAGGAGAATCGATTGAACGCGGGAGGCAGAGGTTGCAGTCAGCCGAGATCGCACCACAGCACTACAGCCTGGCGAGAGAGCAAGACTCAGTCTAAAAAAAAAAGCAGGCCAGGCACAGAGGTTCAGGCCTGTAACTCCAAACTCCAGCACTTTGGGAGGCCAAGGCGGGAGGATCACTTGATATCAGGAGTTTGAGACCAACCTGGCCAACGTGGAGAAACCCCATCTCTACTAAAAATACAAAAATTAGCCAGGCGTGGTGGCAGGCACCTGTAATCCCTACTATTTGGGAGGCTGAGGCAGGAGAAATGCTTTAACCCAGGAGGCAGAGGTTGCAGTGAGCTGAGATCACGCCACCGCACTCCAGCCTGGGCTACAGAGTGAGATGCCATTTCAGGAAAAAAAAAAATATTAAAAAACTTTAGAACAGGAAGGAAAGAAGGAAAGTACAACTTGGAAGAGGGCCAAGTGGGTGATCTAAGAAACCAAGTGCCTTGGCCAGGTGCGGTGGCTCACGCCTGTCATCCCAGCACTTTGGGAGGCTGAAGCAGGCAGATCACCTGAGGTTGGGAGTTCGAGACCAGCCTGACCAATATGGAGAAACCGCATCTCCATATTTAGCTGGGCATGGTGGCACATGTCTGTAATCCCAGCTACTCGGGAAGGCTGAGGTGAGAGAATCGCCTGAACCAGAGATTGCAGTGAGCCGAGATCACGCCATTGTACTCCAGCCTGGGCAACAAGAGTGAAACTCCTACAAAAAAAAAGAAAAAGGAAAACAAGTGCCCAGCTTGACCTCTTGACTCAGGGTTTCATAGATTGGCATCCTTCCAGGATCTTGCCACTCCTGATTCCTTAGCTGGGGCTCTGAACATACATTCTTAGACCATAAAGTCATTCGCAGGGTGCACAACAGTTACGGATGTCAGGTGCCTCTGCCATACAGAGGGAGCCCTCATGTCCTAGGAAGCTGGCCTGGACACAATTGTTTGTATGATTACTCCCCCACCCCCTTTTTTCATGCTCACCAAATCCACCTTCTGAAAATGGACCTCAATACTGGAAATGGAGTCCCCAGCATAGTGAAAATAAGTACATTCTGGGAACTGACAAGGCCTAAAGGCTCTCTCCCAAATGTTTACATTGTTTTTTTATTTTCATATTTTCTTTTTTTAAATTTTACTTTTATATTTCATTAGTGAAATCTTGACATGCTTAAATTAGAATACAGTTCACTGTTTATGAGGCAGCTTTAGGCCAAATTTAACAAAAGTAAGAAAAAGTAGGATGCAGACGTTTATACAGTATGTAAAAATCAGTAATTCAGGCCAGGGGCAGTGGCTCACGCCTATAATCCCAGCACTTTGGGAGGCTGAGGCGGGCAGATCACCTGAGGTCAGGAGTTCAAGACCAGTCTGGCCAACAAGGTAAAACACCATCTCTACTAAAAATACAAAATTTAGCCAGGCATGGTGGCAGGTGCCTGTAATCCCAGCTACTAGAGAAGTTGAAGCAGGAGAATCACTTGAACCCGGGAGGTGGAGGTCACAGTGAGCCAAGATCACACCACTGCACTCCAGCCTGGGGGAACAGAGCAAGACTCTGTCTCAAAAAATTAAAAAAAGAAAAGAAAAGAAAAAAGAGTGAGAATCACTAATTGCCACGAGAATGGCACCATGCCATTCATGAGGGACCTGCCCCTATGACCTAAACACCTCCCACAAGGCCCCACTTCCAACATTGAGAATCAAATTTCTTTTTCTTTTTCTTTTTCTTTTTTTTTTTTTGAGACAGAGTTTCGCTCTTGTTGCCCCAACTGGAGTGCAATGGTGCCATCTTGGCTCATCACAACCTTCGCGTCCCAGTTTCAAGCAATTCTCCTGCCTCAGCCTCCCGAGTAGCTGGGATTACAGGCATGCATGCCCGGCTAATTTTGTATTTTTAGTAGAAATGGGGTTTGTTCATGTTGAGGCTGGTCTCAAACTCCTGACCTCAGGTGATTCGCCTGCCTTGGCCTCCCAAAGTGCTGGGATTACAGGCGTGAGCCACTGGGCCCAGTGGGGAATCAAATTTCAACACAACACTTGGTGGGGCCAAACAAACCATAACCAAACCACAGGATAGGTACTATTATTACTACCATTTCTCAAATGTGGAAACTGAGACACATGAAGGTTCAGTAACTTTTCTAACACCACAGAGCTAGTAAGATGCAGAACTGGGAATCTGACCTAATCAATCTGTTTCCAAGTGTTTATGCTGTCACTCTGAATCACTCTGCCATACCACCTGGCAAAGGCTTTTTTTTCTTGAGAAAGTGTCTTGCACCCAGGCTGCATCACAGTTTACTGTAGCCTCGACCACCTGGGCTCAGGTGATCCTCCTGCCTTAGCCTCCCAAGTAGCTGGGACTACAGACACATGCCATCACACCCAGCTAATTTTTAAAAAAATTTTTATTTATGTATTTTTTTTTTGAGACGGAGTCTCACTCTGTCGCCCAGGCTGGAGTACATTGGAACAATCTCAGCTCACTGCAACCTCCGCCTCCCAGGTTCAAGCGATTCTCCTTCCTCAGCTTCCTGAATAGCTGGAATTACAGGTGCATCACCATGCCTGGCTAATTTTTGTATTTTTAGTAGAGACGGGGTTTCACTATGTTGGCCAGGCTGGTCTTGAACTCCTGACCTCAGGTGATCTGCCTGCCTCGGCCTCCCAAAGTGCTGGGATTACAGGTGTAAGCCTTCATGCCTGACCCTATGTCCAGCTAATTTTTACAACATTTTGTTGGCCAGGTGTGGTGGCTCACACCTGTAATCCTACCACTTTGGGAGGCCAAGGCAGGTGGATCACCTAAGGTCAGGAGTTCAAGACCAGCCTGGCCAACATGGCAAAAGCCCATCTCCACTAAAAATACAAAAATTAGCCGAGTGTGGTGGTGCACACCTGTAATCCCAGCTAATGGGGAGGCTGAGGAAGGAGAATTGCTTGAACCTGGGAGCTGGAGGTTGCAGTGAGCTGAGATCACAGCACTGCACTCCGGCCTGCGAGAAGGGAGCAAGACTCCATCTCAAAAAAAAAACAAAACATTTTTTAGTCTGGGCATGGTGGCTCATGCCTGTAATCCCAGCATTTTGGGAGGCTGAGGCAGGTGGATCACCTGAGGTTGGGAGTTTGAGACCAGCCTGACCAACATGGAGAAACCCTCATTTCTACTGAAAATGCAAAATTAGCCAGACATGGTGGTGCATGCCTGTAAACCCAGCTACTCGGGAGGCTGAGGCCGGAGAACCACTTGAACCAAGGAGGCGGAAGTTGGAGTGAGCCAAGATCTCACCATTGCACTCCAGCCTGGGCAACAAGAATGAAAGTCTGTCTCAAAAAAAAAAAAAGTTTGTATTCAGGGTTTCACTATGTTGCCTAGGCTGGCCTTGAACTGCTGGCCTCAAGCAATCCTCCCAGCTCAGGCTCCCAAAGTGTTGAGATTACAGGCATGTTACCCAGGATAATCTCGATCTCCTGACCTCATGATCCGCCTGCCTTGGCCTCCCAAAGTGCTGAGATTACAGGAGTGAGCCACCATGCCTGGCCTGATCTGTTTCTTTTTCAGAGACACAGATACTATCCAACATTTTTCTTTTTTCTTTCTTTCTTTCTTTCTTTCTTTCTTTTTTTTTTTTTTTTTTTTTTTTTTTTTGAGACAGAGTCTCACGCTGTTGCCCAGGCTGGAGTGCAGTGGTACAATCTCAGCTCACTGCAACCTCCACCTCCCAGGTTCAAGCAATTCTCCTGCCGCAGCCTAATAAGAAGCTGGGATTACAGGTGCTCACCACCACAACTGGATAATTTTTGTATTTTCAGTAGAGACGGGGTTTCACCATGTTGGCCAGGCTGGTCTCAAACTCCTGACCTCAGGTGATCCTCCAGCCTTGGCCTCCCAAAGTGCTGAGGTTACAGGCATGAGCTGCCATACCTGGCCAGCCATTCAACATTTTTCTGATATCTTTGTTTTAGCTGTTGTGTTTTGCTGAATTAAAGCATCTGAATTTGGTAAGCATTTGTAAATCAAAGAAAATTACTGAAGCGTGTCTCAGTCATTTTTAGAGGTCATTTTGTGAAAGTTGAGGATGCAGTGGGAGGAAAAAAGAAATAAAAACCACAGGAAATATTTGTGATGCATGCTTTTTTTTTCCAAAGACGGTCTGGGGACTTCAATATTTAAAGGGAAAAAGAGGCCGGGCTGGGTGGCTCATGCCTGTAATTCCAGCACTTTGGGAGGCCTAGGCAGGCGGATCACCTGAGGTCAGGAGTTTGATATCAGCCTTGCCAACATGGTGAAACCCCGTCTCTACCAAAAATACAAAAATTAGCTGGGTGTGGTGGCACATGCCTGTAATCCCAGCTACTCGGGAGGCTGAGGCAGGAGAATTGCTTTAACCCAGGAGGCAGAGGTTGCAGTGAGCCGAGATCACACCACTGCACTGCAGCTTGGGCAACAGAGCAAGACTCGGTCTTAAATAAATAAATAAATAAAGGGAAAGAAAGTGAGTAGTAGGGGAAGGCAAAATAAAAAAACAAGTGGGGAGGGAGAACAAATTGAAGCGCCAAGTGATCGTGTTCCTTTGAGTCTTTGATCAGCGTTTACAGAATCTACATTTTACATGTGGAAAGAAAAGGGTGGAGAAATAGTCAATTATGCATTTATCTTGAGCTCAGTGAATATGCATTTTTTTCATGAGATAAATAAACATAGAGTACAGGAAGCAGTCAGATATGCTTTTGTCTCCAGTGCACAGAGGGATGACTTTTAGTTCTGTCCTTTGTCCTTTACCTGTGAAGACAAGTTTTTCATTTATGCTGTCAGGGTGAAATTCAACAGCACTGTTTTGCCCAGGCATGGTGGCTCGTGCCTATAATACCAGCACTTTAGGAGGCCAAGGTAGGTGGATTGCATGAGGCCAGGAGTTGGAGACCAGCCTGGCCAACATGGTGAAACCCCATCTCTACTACAAATAAAAAAATTAGCCAGGTGTGGTGGTGCATGCCTGTAATCCTAGCTACTCAGAAGGCTGAGGCAGGAGAATCACTTGAACCAGGAGGTAGAGGTTGCAATGAACTGAGATGGCGCCATTGCACTCCAGCCTGGGCAACAGAGCAAGACTCTGTCTCAAAACAAAACAAAACAAAACAAAACAAAACAAAACAAAACCAGAACTGTTTTAGATGAAATTCAAGAAATTAAACAGAACTGTTTTCCTTTCACATATTCAATGTCAGTAACTCATCTTTCTGGGTTTGAGATACTGAAAGAGCAATGTCTGGCCTCATCCAAACCCTGGTAGATTTATCACCCAAGAAATTTTGAATATCAAGACCCTACCCTCTTCCCTGAATAATGACTGTGAAAGGAAAATAAATCTCAGGACCACCAACTCACTAAGCCAAAAGCAAAAGTCAAGCTGGAAACTGGATCATGCAAACCTGCCTCTCCCATTTTATTCCTAAATAGATAGCTACAAAGATTTTTTTTTTTTTGAGATGGAGTCTCACTCTGTCACTCAGGTTAGAGTGCAGTGGCGCAATCTCTGCTCACTGCAAGCTCCGCCTCCTGGGTTCATACTTTGGGAGGCCAAGGCAGGCGGATCATGAGGTCAGGAGATCAAGACCATCCTGGCTAACACGGTGAAACCCCATCTCTACTAAAAATTTAAAAAGTTAGCCAGGCATGGTGGCACACGCCTGTAATCCCAGCTACTTGGGAGGCTGAGGCAGGAGAATTGCTTGAACCTGGGAGGCAGAGGTTGCAGTGAGCTGAGATCGTACCACTGCACTCCAGCCTGGGTGACAGAACGGGATTCTGTCTCAAAAAAAAAATAGAGACAGGGTCTAGCTCTGTCACCAAGGCTGGCATGCAGTGGTGCAATCGTAGTTTGCTGCAGCCTTGATCTCCTGGACTCAAGTGATCCTCTCATCTCCACCTCCTGAGTAGCTGGACCATAGGCATGCATTACCATGCCTGGCTAATTTTTTTATTTGTAGAGATGAATTCTCACTATGTTGCCCAGGCTGGTCTCAAACTCCTGGCCTCAAGCAATCTTCCTGCCTTGGCCTCCCACAGTGCTGGGATTTCAGACAGGAGCCACCACGATGGCCACATAGGCAAGATTCATTAAATCATTGGTCACTGGTGATCAACTCAACCTTCAGCTCCTCCCTATCTCTGGAAATATGGGGGCAGGGGGCTGAAAGTTCCAATCCCCTAATCATGAGGTTGGTTCCCCTGGCAACCAGGCCTCATTTTGAGGCTATTCACGAGGCCCCAGAGATCAGTCGTCTCATTAGCATCCACAAAGACACTTACCACTTTGCAGATTTCAAGGGTTTCAGGAGCTGTGCACCCAGGAAACAGGGACAGAGACCATATATGTGTGTTTGTGCATATATGTATATATGTTTGTGTGTGTGTATTCTTTTTGTGTGTTCTTCCTTCTTTTACACTGTAGTTTTCAGATCTTACAAATATATATTATTATTTCATGTTTATATTATAAAAGGAAAATAAAATCTCGGGACCTCAGACTCACTATTCTACAGGGAAAAGTCAAGCTGGGAACTGGGTCATGCAAACCTATCTCCCATTTTTTTTTTCTAAAGAGATAACTACAGACCGGGTGCGGTGGCTCACACCTGTAATCCCAGCACTTTGGGAGGCCGAGGCGGGCGAATCATGAGGTCAGGAGATCGAGACCATCCTGGCTAACATGGTGAAACCCCGTCTCTACTAAAAAAAAAAAAAAAAAAATTAGCCAGGCATGGTGGCAGGTGCCTACAGTCCCAGCTACTCGGGAGGCTGAGGCAGGAGAATGGTGAAACTGGGAGGCAGAGCTTGCAGTGAGCTGAGATCGCACCACTGCACTCCCGCCTGGGCGATAGAGCGAGACTCCGTCTCAAAAAAAAAAAAAAAAAAAGAGATAACTACAAAGATAAAAGACTACATACCTCCCTCCGAATTTGCTCCAAGAAAATTCCTTGTGGGCCTCAAGATATTGACCCTAAAAGACTTCTGTTGAGACTGGGTGTGGTGGCTCACGCCTATAATCCCAGCACTTTGGGAGGCTGAGGGAGGTGGATCACCTGAGGTCAGGAGTTCGAGACCAGCCTGACCAACATGGTGAAACCCCATCTCTACTAAAAATACAAACATTAGCCAGGTATGGTGGTGGGTGCCTGTAATCCCAGGTACGTGGGAGGCTGAGGCGGGAGAATTGCTTGAACCTGGGAGAAAGAGGTCACAATGAACCGAGATCATGCCACCGCACTCCAGCCTGGGCGACAGAGCAAGATTCTGTCTCAAAAAAAAAAAAAAAAAAAAAAGAGTTCCGTTGAATTTCACCCTGATAATGTCAATGGATAACTTATGTTCACAAGTGATGGACAAAGGACAGAACTAATTGTCACCCTTCCACCCACCTGAGACAAATCTACATCTGGCTGCCTCCTCTACTCTATGTTTATTTATCTTATATAAAATGCAGATTCACTAAGTGCAAAATTAATGCCCAGGTGACTGTTCTTCTACCCTCTCCTTCCACATGTAAAATGTGGACTCAGTAAACACTGATCAAAAGATCCGAATGCAATTGCTTTCGAATGCAACTCTATTAGATATATACCTTCTCTTTTTTCTTTCTTTGCTCTTTCTCCTACTGCCCGCTCTTTTCCCTTTATTTATAGAAGTCCCCAAACCCTCTTTGGAAAAAGCACAGATAGCAGATGTTTCCTGTACTTTTGTGTGTGTTTTTTTTCTTTCCTGGATACGCCCTTAACATTGGCAAAATCAACTAAAATGATTCAAGACTCACCTCAGTCCTTTTCTTTGGCTTGCGATATAAATGGAATCATAGAGGCCAGGCACGGTGGCTCACGCCTATAATCCCAGCACTTTGGGAGGCCGAGGCGGGTGGATCACCTGAGATCAGGAGTTCAAGACCAGCCTAAACAACATGGCAAAACCTTTTCTCTACTAAAAATACAAAAAATTAGCTGGGCATGGTGGTCCCGCCTGTAATACCAGCTACTTGGGAGGCTGAGGCAGAAAGAATTGCTTGAACCCGGGAGGCGGAGGTTGTAATGTGCCAAGATCATGCCAGCGCACTCCAGCCTAGGCAACAGAGTGTGACTCCACCTCAAAACTAAATAAATAAATAAACAAATGAAATCATATAATGTGTGATTATTTGCCTCTTAATGTTTTAAAATCAAACATTTACACTGTAATTCTGCTTTGTACCAAAATTCATCAGAAACAATTTTCTTAGCACTGTGATTTTATTTTCAAAATTAGCTGAACATTATAGCAAAGCTAAGTTACAATTTTCTCCTGCCTTCCCTGAAGAAAAGCCCTGAGGGATTTTGTTTTATTTTGTTTTTAGGTTTTTTATTTATTTATTTATTTATTTATTTATTTATTTTGAGACACAGTTTCGCTCTTGTTGCCCAGGCTGGAGTGCTGTGGTGCGATCTCAGCTCACTGCAACCTCCACCTCCCGGGTTCAAGCAATTCTCGTGACTCAGCCTCCTGAGTAGTTGGGATTACAGGCATGCGCCACCACACCTGGCTAACTTTTGTATTTTTAGTAGAGATGGGGTTTCACCATCTTGGCCAGGCTGGTCTGGAATATCTGACCTCATGATCCACCCACCTTGGCCTCCCAAAGTACTGGAATTACAAGCGTGAGCCACTGCGCCAAATGTTGCCATCTCTTTTCCATTAGTGGAAGCATGTCTGTTGCACTGGGACAGGAATTAAAAGAAATTAAAGAATGTGTAAGCAGAAACTCAGTTGTATGTGAGAAAACCCAATTCCCCCTTAGAAAGAAAGAGCTGGAGTCCTTTAAAAATTAACTGGCTGCTTTTCTGTGGCTAGTGAGCCTTATCACTCCTCCTTTCCCAGGTTTTGTGAAGACCCTGTTTCTCTTTTCTTTCTTTTTTTTTTTTTAAGGGTGAGAAGGGCAGGGTTTATTGGGCAAGAAGGAAATAAAAAGGGAAACAGGGACTCTCAGCAAAGCGAGAGTTCTGCTGGTAGGCTCACTGCCTCACAGATTGAATTCCCAGTTACCACTCCAGAACAGGGGAAGCCAGAATCTTCCCCTCTGCAAATGGTGTGAAATTCCATGGCTCCACCCCAGTGCACATGCCTCCCTGTGCACAGGCCGGTCGAAGGTTCTCGGGGAACCCCTTTATACTTGGCTGTCTCACTGGGGTCAAGCAATCCTCCAGCCTTGACCTCCCAAAGTTCTGAGATTACAGGCATAACCTACAGCATCCAGCCTCCAGTACTTTTATCATTGGTGTTTCTGTGAGATTTCTTTATATATATATATATATGTATATATTATACTTCAAGTTCTAGGGTACATGTGCACAATGTGCAGGTTTGTTACATATGTATACATGTGCCATGTTGGTGTGCTGCACCCATTAACTCATCATTTACATTAGGTATATCTCCTAATGCTATCCCCCCGACTTCCCCCACCCCACAACAGGCCCCGGTGTGTGATGTTCCCCTTCCTGTGTCCAAGTGTTCTCATTGTTCAATTCCCACCTATGAGTGAGAACATGTGGTGTTCGGTTTTTTGTCCTTGTGATAGTTTGGTGAGAATGATGGTTTCCAGCTTCATCCATGTCCCTACAAAGGACATGAACTCATCCTTTTTTATGGCTGCATAGTATTCCATGGTGTATATGTGCCACATTTTCTTAATCCAGTCTATCAATGTTGGACATTTGGGTTGGTTCCAAGTCTTTGCTATTGTGAATACTGCCAATATCCCTGATGAATATTGATGCAAAAATCCTCAATAAAATACTGGCAAACCAAATCCAGCAGCACATCAAAAAGCTTATCCACCATGATCAAGTGGGCTTCATCCCTGGGATGCAAGGCTGGTTCAACATACGCAAATCAATAAACATAATCCAGCATATAAACAGAACCAAAGGCAAAAACCACATGATTATCTCAATAGATGCAGAAAAGGCTTTTGACAAAATTCAACAGCCCTTCATGCTAAAAACTCTCAATAAATTAGGTATTGATGGGACGTATCTCAAAATAATAAGAGCTATTTATGACAAACCCACAGCCAATATCATACTGAATGGGCAAAAACTGGAGGCATTCCCTTTGAAAACTGGCACAAGACAGGGATGCCCTCTCTCACCACTCCTATTCAACATAGTGTTGGAAGTTCTGGCCAGGGCAATCAGGCAGGAGAAAGAAATAAAGGGTATTCAATTAGGAAAAGAGGAAGTCAAATTGTCCCTGTTTGCAGATGACATGATTGTATATCTAGAAAACCCCATTGTCTCAGCCCAAAATCCCCTTAAGCTGATAAGCAACTTTAGCAAAGTCTCAGGATACAAAATCAATGTGCAAAAATCACAAGCATTCTTATACACCAATAACAGAGAAACAGAGAGCCAAATCATGAGTGAACTCCCACTCACAATTGCTTCAAAGATAATAAAATACCTAGGAATCCAACTTACAAGGGATGTGAAGGACCTCTTCAAGGAGAACTACAAACCACTGCTCAATGAAATAAAAGAGAATACAAACAAATGGAACAACATTCCACACTCATGGATAGGCAGAATCAATATCGTGAAAATGGCCATACTGCCCAAGGTAATTTATAGATTCAATGCCATCCCCATCAAGCTACCAATGACTTTCTTCACAGAATTGGAAAAAACTACTTTAAAGTTCATATGGAACCAAAAAAGAGCCCGCATTGCCAAGTCAATCCTAAGCCAAAAGAACAAAGCTGGAGGCATCACGCTACCTGACTTCAAACTATACTACAAGGTTGCAGTAACCAAAACAGCATGGTACTGGTACCAAAACAGAGATACAGACCAATGGAACAGAACAGAGCCCTCAGAAATAATACCACACATCTACAACTATCTGATCTTTGACAAACCTGACAAAAACAAGAAATGGGGAAAGGACTCCCTATTTAACAAATGGTGCTGGGAAAACTGGCTAGCCATATGTAGAAAGCTGAAACTGGATCCCTTCCTTACACCTTATACTAAAATTAATTCAAGATGGATTAAAGACTTAAATGTTAGACATAAAACCATAAAAACCCTAGAAGAAAACCTAGGCAATACCATTCAGGACATAGGCATGGGCAAGGACTTCATGTCTAAAACACCAAAAGCAATGGCAACAAAAGCCGAAATTGACAAAAGGGATCTAATTAAACTAAAGAGCTTCTGCACAGCAAAAGAAACTACCATCAGACTGAACAGGCAACCTACACAATGGGAGAAAATTTTTGCAATCTACTCATCTGACAAAGGGCTAATATCCAGAATCTACAAAGAACTCAAACAAATTTACAAGAAAAAAACAAACAACCCCAACAACAAGTGGGTAAAGGATATGAACAGATGCTTCTCAAAAGAAGACATATATGCAGCCAACAGACACATGAAAAAATGCTCATCATCACTGGCCATTAGAGAAATGCAAATCAAAACCATGATGAGATATCATCTCACACCAGTTAGAATGGCGATCACTAAAAAGTCAGGAAACAACAGGTGCTGGAGAGGATGTGGAGAAATAGGAACACTTTTACACTGTTGTTGGGACTATAAACTAGTTCAACCATTGTGGAAGACAGTGTGGCTATTCCTCAGGGATCTAGAACTAGAAATACCATTTGACTCAGCCATCCCATTACTGGGTATATACCCAAAGGATTATAAATCATGCTGCTATAAAGACACATGCACACGTATGTTTATTGCAGCACTATTCACAATAGCAAAGACCCTGTTTCTTTAGCTATGCTGCTGCAAGGTCACTAGACAGATAACCTCAAGTCATAAAACATGTTTTTCCTTGAAAAGTAAGAAAGTATGTAATGCATGTCTCAGTTAATTAAATAACTGTCTTTGTTTCTCTCTTCTGTAATATGCTTCCCCCTGCACAGATCTCCCCCGACCCCATGAAATGCTTTTTTTTTTTTTCTGAGACAGAGTCTCACTCTGTCCCCTATGCTGGAGTGCAGTGGCGTGATCTTGGCTCACTGCAACCTCCACCTCCTGGGTTCAAGCAATTCACTGCCTCAGCCTCCCAAGTAGATGGGATTACAGGTGCCCACCACCATGCCCGGCTAATTTTTGTATTTCTAGTAGAGATAGGGTTTCACCATCTTGGCCAGGCTTGTCTTGAACTCCTGACCTCAGGTGATCCACCTGCCTTGGCCTCCCAAAGTGCTGGGATTACAGGCATGAGCCACTGCACCGCACCCATGAAATGCTTAAAAGGCAACTTAACTCTTTATTCGGGGCTCAATCCTTTGGATGTTAAGCCGACTGGGCCGGTGCACCAAAATAATAAATATCCTCCTCAATCCAGTCGGTCTCTCTGATTCCTTATCAATCCTACCACATTTCCTTATAAAAAATATACTCGGCTGGGCATGGTGGCTCATGCCTGTAATCCCAGCATTTTGGGAGGCCGAGGCGGGCAAATCACAAGATCAGAAGATTGAGACCATCTGGGCTAACACGATGAAACCCTTTCTCTACTAAAAAAATAAAAAAAAAAATCAGCCAGGTATGGCGGCAGGTGCCTGTAGTCCCAGCTACTGGGAAGGCTGAGGCAGGAGAATGGCATGAACCTGGGAGGTGTAGCTTGCAGTGAGCTGAGATCGCACCACTGCGCTCCAGCCTGGGCAGCAGAGCGAGAGTTCATCTCAAAAAAAAACAAACAAACAAACAAACAAAAAAAACCCTATTTTCCTTGGATACTTTTCACACAGTCACCTGTATTATATTTAGTAGGTCAATTATGTATATTGATCAGAATTCTTAACACTTCCTAACTTTAATTTCCAGTGAAAATGAGGTTGTAGGCAATTATGGACTACTTGTCATTTAACAGCATTCTCTAGTAGATTAGCATACTTATTAATACATCATTTTATAATTTTTTTCTGCGACAGGGTCTCACTGTGTCAGCCAGGCTGGAGTACAGTGACATGATTATAACTCTCACTAAACCTCAAACTCTGGGGCTCAACAGACCCTCCTGCCCCACCCTCCAGAATAGCTGGGACTACAGGCATGCACCACCACACGGTGCTAATTTTTGTAGTTTTAGTAGAGATGGGGTTTCACCATGTTGGCCAGGCTGGTCTCGAACTCCTGATCTCAGGTGATCCACCTGCCTCGGCCTCCCAGAGTGCTGGGATTACAGGTGTGAGCCACTGCACCCAGCCTCATTTTCTTTGACTTCACTTTGTTGTGGTTCACTTTATTGCATTTCTTAACTTTTTTTAATTAAAAATATAATTAATATTTGACACAATTGAGATGGAGTCTCTCTATGTTGACCAGGCTGGTCTCGAACTCCTGGCCTCAAGCAGTCCTCCCATCTGAGCCTCCCAAAGTGCTGGAATTATAAGCTTGAGTCACCGTGCCTGGCCCATTTCTTTCTTCTTTTTTTTTTTTTTTTTTTTTTTTTTGATGGAGTCTCGCTCTGTCATCCAGGCTGGAGTGCAGTGGCACGGTCACGGCTCACTGCAAGCTCTGCCTCCCAGCTTCACGCCATTCTCCTGCCTCAGCCTCCCAAGTAGCTGGGACTACAGGTGCCCACCACCATGCCTGGTTAATTTTTTTTTTTTTTTTGTATTTTTACTAGAGATGGGATTTCACTGTGTTAGCCAGGATGGTCTTGATCTCCTCACCTGGTGATCCACCCGCCTCAGCCTCCGAAAGTGCTGGGATTACAGGCATGAGCCACCCACCCGGTCCCTTTTTTTTTCTTTGAGACAGAGTCTTGCTCTGTCGCCCAGGCTGGATTGCAGTGACTCGATCTCGGCTCACTGCAACGTCCGCCTCCTGAGTAGCTGGGATTACAAGAGTGCGCCACCATGCTCGGCTAATTTTTGTAATTTTAGTAGAGATGGGGTTTCCTCATTTTGGCCACGCCGGTCTCTAACTCCTGACCTCGTGATCCGTCCACCTCAGCCTCCCCAACTGCTGGAATTACAGCCGCTGCAGTTCAATGGCACGATCTTGGCTCACTGCAAACTCCGCCTCTCGGGTTCAAGCGATTCTCCTGCCTCAGCCTCCCAAGTAGCTGGGATTACAGGTGTCCATCACCAGGCCCGCCGAATTTTTGTATTTTTAGTAGAGACAGGGTTTCGCCATGTTGGCCAGGCTGGTCTTGAACTCCTGACCTCAAATGATCCTCCCGCCTTGGCCTCCCAAAGTGCTGGGATTCCAGGCATGAGCACTTTTAACATGCTGGGGAAAATGATGTCTGGACCGTGCAACTTGGTGTTGTGTTACTGTCATTCTTCTATTTACTGATCGCCTATGACTTGATTTACTCTACAGAATCTTGTTAGAACAGATCATTCTGGGCTCTGTGTCAGACAATATAGTGATAACCATGTAAACAATATATACTGATAGAACCAAAAATTTTGATGTAAGTACAAATTATGGTATAATTGGGAGGGGGATAGGGAAGTGAAAGTCTACCAAATCACAGTCTAGTTTAGCATACAGTGCTAGATGATCCAAAAATAATAAGTGGCCAGGCCTGGTGGCTCATGCCTGTAATCCCAGCACTTTGGGAGGCTGAGGTGGGAGGACCACTTGAGCCCAGGAGTTCGAGACCAGCCTGGCCAACGTAGTGAGACCTCATCTCTACAAAAAAAATTTAAAAATTAAAAAATATGAATAAAAATAATAAGGCATTTTTGTGAAAAGAAATTTATGGGTAAATATTGAGAGAAACCACTAAAATGAGTTGCTTCTAAGGAGGATACCTCAGGGGTCAGAAGAATGCTGCTTTTTGTTCCAAGTCTTGTAGCACTATCTGATTTTTTTAAACTATATATAACTGTAATAACATTAAAAATAATGAAAACAAAACAGCAACTTACCAAATAAGTTTACAAATCTTCCACTAAGTTCCTCCGAACATCTTATATGCACCCTTCTAAGCCTCGCAAATGTTTCTCCCACCTTTTTAGACTTTCCAAGGTTCATTCTTCCTTTTTAATGGTCAGGAGTTTGAGACCAGCCTGGCCACCATGGTGAAACCCCACCTCTACTAAAAATGCAAAAAAATTAGCTGGAGGTAGTGGCAGGCACCTGTAATCCCAGCTACTCAGGAGGCTGAGGCAGGAGAATCCCTTGAACCCGGGAGGCAGAGGTTGTAGTGAGCAAAGATTGCACCACTGCACTCCAGCCTGGGCAACAAGAGCGAAACTCTGTCTCAAAAATAAATAAATAAATAAGGATAATTTTAAGATTATTGTTTTAAAGAATAAATTTGATATTCTTAAAAGTGGCAAAAGCAAGATAATTGCATATTTATGGTAACAAAAGTTTAAATAACAAAGAAAAAAGCAAATGATTTCCAAAATATCTATAACGAATCAGTAAATAAAGGTAATCAAAAATTTAACTTACTTAAGGCTGGGCCCGGTGGCTTGTGCCTGTAATCCCAGGACTTTGGGAGGCCAGGGTGGGTGGATCACTTGAGGTCTAAAAAATTCAAAAAATTAGCCAGGTATGGTGGAACATGCCTGTGGTCCCAGCTACTCGGGAGACTGAGGCAAAAGAATCACTTGAATCCAGGAGATAGAGGTTGCAGTGAGCCGAGATCGCGTCATTGCATTCCAGCCTGGGCAACAGGGTGAGACTCTGTCTCAAAGAATAAATATAAAAATAAATAAAAGAACTAAAAGTAACTCTCAAGGGATGAGTATGTAGCGGTGAAGATGAAACAAGAAAGGCATAATTATTAAAGCTGGGTAATGGGCACATGGGTTTTTTTGTTTTGTTTGGCCTGTTTGTTTTGTTTTTATTTGGCTTTTCTCTTTACCATAGCAAAACAATACATGGGGGTTTATTACACTTTTCTGCTCACTTAGTGTATATGCATTTGAAGTTTTTTAGTATAAAATAAATTAAAAAAAAAATTCACGCTGGTAATCCCAGCACTTGGGGAGGCCAAGGCAGGTGGATCTCCTGAACTCAGGAGTTCAAGACCAGCCTGGGCAACATGATGAAACCAGGCTCTGCCAAAAATACAAAAAATTAGCCCGGCATGGTGGTGGGCACCTGTAATCCCAGCTATCCAGGAGGCTGAGAAAGGAGAATTACTTGAACCCAGGAGGCAGAGGTTGCAGTGAGCCGAGAAAGTGTGACTACACTCTGGCCTGGGTGACAGAACGAGACTCTGTCACAAAAAATAAAAATAAAAATAAATAAAAGAACTAAAAGTAATTCTCAAGTGTTGAGTATGTAGAGGTGGAGATGAAACAAGAAAGGCATAATTATTGAAGCTGGGTGATGGGTACCTGGGATTTTTTGTATTTTTGTGTGTGTTTTGTTTTTATAATACCTTTTCTCTTTACCATAGCAAAATGATACATGGGTGTTTATTACACTCTTCTCTTCACTTTGTGTATATGCATTTGAAGTTTTCTATTACATAGTAAACTTTTTTTTTTTAAAGAAGCAATATTTAGCCAGCCACAGTAACTCACACCTGTAATCCCAGCATTTGGGGAGGCCAAGACAGGTGGATCACCAGAGCTCAGGAGCTCGAGACCAGCCTGGGAAACATGGTGAAACCCTATCTCTACTAAAAATATAAAAATTAGCCAGGCATGGTGGTGGACGCCTGTGGTCCCAGCTACTTGAGAGGCTGAGGAGGGAAGATTGCTTGAGACTGGGAGGTGGAGGTTGCAATGAGCGCAGATCGCACCACTGCACTCCAACATGATTGACAGAGTGAGACCCCATCTCAAAAAAAAAAAAAAAAAAGCAACATTCTGGCTTACAATATTAGAAAGTCAAAAGATAATATTTAGGGCTGGATGCAGTGGCTCACACCTGTAATCCTAGCACTTTGGGAGGCCGAGACGGACTGATGACCTGAGGTCAGGAGTTCGAGACCAGCCTGGCCAACATGATGAAACCCCATCCATACTGAAAATACAAAAATTAGCTGGGCATGGTGGCAGGTGCTAGTAATCCCAGCTACTCAAAAGGCTGAGGCAGGAGAATCACTTGAACCCAGGAGGCAAAGGTTGCATTGAGCTGAGATCATGCCACAGCACTCCAGCCTGGGCGACACAGTGAGACTGTCTCAAAAAGGAAAAAAAAAGAAATAGCAATGTAAACATATTATTTAGAAATGTGGAGCTAAATAACAGTGAAAACAGTTAACAGACATCAAAGTGGATGCCTCTGGGATGAGAACTGACTTGGGGAGGGCTGGAGGAGGGAACATCTCTGTATTAGAAGGCTTTGATTTTATTTTATTTTGAAACCTTATGCATGTATAACTTTGATAATATATTCATTTGTGGATTGCCACATTGTTTTCGAGGAAAATACCCATGTGTTCTTACATGAATAATCAGGCATAGACCAGTGCTTTGAATATATAAAAATTCTGTTTAGCCATGATAATTTTGGCAGTATGCCATTTATTTCTGTTGCCAAAGGCAGTGATTTAAATTGGAATTCCTGCCTGGGATGAGTAGGGCTAAGAGGTTTGATTACATATAGTTTCCCCATCTGTACTCTGGCCTCCAGCAGTTTGTTCTTTATGCAGCAGCGAAGAGTGATCATAAATAAGCTTATCTCACTCTCCAGTTTGAAAGCTACTAAACGTCTTTCATAGCAATTAGAATAAAATTCAAACTCTTCGGCATGGCCTACACACAAGGCCCTAAATAATGTAAATGATTGGACTCGCTCCCAGTTCTCCTGTCACTCTCCTCAATCACCATGCCCCAGCCTCAGTGGCCTTCCTTGGCACACCCACAGCTCATTCCTACCTCAAGGCCTTTGACTTGCCATTGCTCATGAGACCGATTGCTTACCATCACTCAGGATCTCATTCAAAACTTCATTCCTGGAAAAGGTCCTTCCCGATCATCAAGCTAGAGGAGCTTGCTGCACCCCTTCTCTGCCCACAGCTATGGATCTCCAAGTGTGGGCTTCAGACCAGAAGCGTCAGTGTTGCCTGCAAGCATTTCATTTTGTGTTGTGTTTTCTCTGGAAATGCAGAGTCTTAGGCCCCACCACAGACCCACTGAAGGAAAAGCTGCATTTTAACCAGACCCCAAAGTGATTGTGCTTTAAAAATTTCAGAAGCACTGATCTAGAGTTTCCCCTTCTAATTTTCCTGTGTATCTGTTACAAGGTGTGTCCATTGCTGCAGGTAATCTGGAATGTGTTTACATGTTTATTGTTTCTCTTCCCTAAATAGAATTTAAGGTCCACAAGGGCAGCACCTCGTCTGGCTCGTTCACTTCTGGATCCCCGGCACGTAGCGTCAGTGCACACAGTACATGCTCAATAAGTATTTAGATGAGTGAAAGAATAAATGAATATAATGGAAATTATTTTATGTTCTTTGAAATGTATAACTGAAGGCTGGGTGTCATAGCTCGGCCTGTAATCCCAGCACTTTGGGAGGTCAAGGTGGGGGGATTGCTTGAGTCCAGTATTTCGAGACCAGTCTTGGCACATGGGAAAGCCCCAACTCTACAAAAAATACAAAAAAAAAAGGATTGTATAATTGTACAATAAAATTTCATGGCGGCTGGGCGCGGTGGTTCACGCCTGTAATCCTAGCACTTTGGGAGGCCAAGTTGGGCAGATCACAAGGTCAGGAGATTGAGACCATCCTGGCTAACATGGTGAAACCCTGTCTCTACTAAAAAAAATACAAAAAATTAGCCGGGCGTGGTGGTGGGTGCCTGTAGTCCCAGCTACTCTGGAGACTGAGGCAGGAGAATGGCATGAACCCGGGAGGCGGAGCTTGCAGTGAGCTGAGACCGTCCACTGCACTCTAGCCTGGGTGACAGAGCGAGACTCCGTCTCAAAAAAAAAAAAAATCTTCATGGCTTTCACTTGTTTGTAAAATCGGGGTGATTTTTCTCTCCCAACATCACTGTTACACAGGGGTTTCATTCTGTATCTTGGGCATCGAGTGCCATTAAACTATTGTGGTCCGTGGAGAATCACTTATTTATCCTTGTTTTGGGGCAGTTTGTCTTCAGAACCAAAGTTTAGATTTTGTTTAGAGTGTTTCTCTACTGACTTAACACCATAACTGGTTATTTATTTTTTAGCATTTAAGAAGCACTCTCGTTCAAGCCAGAGTTAACATTATCTTTAAAGGTTTTGTTATTCACAATGAATGTTAGCTTGTTATTTGTATCAAGTTTTATCAAATCAGTATTAACAATTTAAAAAAGAAAATCAGGTTTTAAAAATATTAAGTCATATCCAAGATTTAAAGTTAAATTGCAAATAAAAACTGATAGGGCATATAATGTATCCGGTTTTTTACTTCTGAGATAGGATTCTAGGAAAGACCTACAGTTTCTGATATCGTCCTGCATTTTTTTTTTGAAGTGGAGTTTTGCTCTTGTTGCCCAGGCTGGAGTGCAGTGGTGCAGTCTCGGCTCACTGCAACCTCTGCCTCCTGGGTTCAAGCGATTCTCCTGCCTCAGCCTCCCAAGTAGCTGGGATTACAGGCACGCACTACCATGTTGGGCTAATTTTTCGTATTTTGAGTAGAGACAAGGGTTTCACCATGTTGGCCAGCCTGGTCTCAAACTCTTGACCACGTGATCTGCTCACCTCGGCCTCCCAAGGTGCTGGGATTACAGGAGTGAGCCACGGGCCCAGTCCTACATTTAAAAAATACATTCCCAGTATATTTCTTAATGCATATCCTGGTGAAATTTGTGAAGAAACAACTTTTCAATCTATATTCTTTGAGTGAATAAATAGCACCCCTTACATCTATGGCTTTTAACTGGTGGCAGTTGTTTCCCAGTGGACGTTTGGCAATGGCTGTGACTGCATTTTTGGTAGTCACACCTGGGGTGGAGGAGTACTGGCAGCATCTAGTTGGGGGAGCCCCGGGGTACTGTTATGTAATGCACAGAACACCCCACAGCACAAAGAATTATCTAGCCCAAAATGTCAGTAGTCCACTGTTAAGAGACAGTGGACAACTGTCTCCTTCTGCATAGAGAAGTCTCCTTCTGCAAATACTAATGCCATTGGAAAACGAATACTTTGCCCTACCTTCTGGAGAAGAGAATATATAGAAATTGGCAACTGAGAGATTCAGATGGGTATACTGGCACCTTTAGATATGTTCATTTTAGATGATTATTTCTAATCAGAAATCTAGTGACTGGCCTCCCTCTCTTTGGGGCAAATCACTCTCTCAACACAGGACATTTAAGACATTTCACAACTTAGTTGATTTTAGAATTGGATAACGTTCTCAAATAATGATACATTTTTTAAAATAGGGAAATTCAAATATAGGGTTACTGGTTTTCCTTATTTTACAGATGGGGTCGAGGATTTGGTCTTTTGGGTTCCATTTTTGGAAAGGATGGTGTATTAAACCAGCCAAACAGTGTCTTTGGACTTATATTTTATATACTACAGTTATTACTTGGTAAGTATTTATCAATACAAAAATAAGTTTGTTATATTCCGTTTAGTACTTTGTGTCTTTGCCCTGAAGTGTCTTGATGTTAAATAAAAGCATGTGTTATTTATAGAACCACTAGCGTGTACAACATTTTTGTGTTTTGAAAACTTGATTCACCAATATTTTTATTATATTAATGTTGACTTTATGTCAATTACTGTTTAATCATGGAGAGCAGTATCTCATGATGTCCAGAAAAACCAGTCCCATTCCAGGAAATTATCACTCCCATCTTCCCTGTAAACATTTTTCCTTATTTTATAGACTCTGTAGCCTTGAAAAATATCATATATTAAGGGGACATTAACAAGAAACCATATTCATAATCCCATCACCTTTATATATCCACTATTTCCACAGTCTTCTGCTTTAAAAAATAATTTGGGGGCTGGGTGCGGTGGCTGATGCCTGTAATCCCAGCACTTTGGGAGGCTGAGGTGGGTGGATCACGTGAGGTTGGGAGTTCAAGACCAGCCTGACCAACATAAAACCCATCTCTACTAAAAATACTGAAAGGGTGGCCTGCCCCTCCACACCTGTGAGTATTTCTCATCAAGTGGGACAAGAGACTGAGAAAAGAAATAAGACACAGAGACAAAGTATAGAGAAAAAAAAGTAGGCCCAGGGGACTGGTGTTCAGCATATGGAGGACCTACACCAGCACCAGTCTCTGAGTTTTCTTAGTATTTATTACTATTTTTACTATTTTAGTGAGAGGAATGTGGCAGGAGAGCAGGGTGATAGTGGAGCGAAGGTCAGCAAGAAAATGTGAGTAAAGGAATCTGTGTCACAAATAAGTTTAAGGGAAGGTACTATGTCTGGATGTGTACATAGGCCAGATTTATGCTTTTTTCCACTCAAACATCTCAGTGGAGTAAAGAATAACAAAGCAGCATTGCTGCCAACATGTCTCGCCTCCCACCACAGGGCAGTTTTTCTCCTATCTCAGAATCGAACAAATGTACAATCGGGTTTTATACCAAGACATTCCCTTCCCAGGGGCAGGCAGGAGACAGAGGCCTTCCTCTTATTTCAACTGCTAGAGGCCTTCCTCTTTTACTAATCCTCCAGGGCACAGACCCTTCACGGGTGTCAGGCTGGGGGATGGTCAGGTCTTTCCCATCCCATGAGGCCATATTTCAGACTATCACATGGGCAGAAACCTTGGACAATACCGGGCTTTCCAGGGCAGAGGTCCCTGCGGCTTTCCGCAGTGCATTGTGCCCCTGGTTTATTGAGATGGGAGAATGGCGATGACTCTTACCAAGTATACTGCCTGTAAACATTTTGTTAACAAGGCACATCCTGCACAGCCCTAGATCCCTTAAACCTTGATTCCATACAACACATGTTTTTGTGAGCACAAGGTTGGGGCAAAGTTACAGATTAACAGCATATCAGGGCAAAGCAATTGTTCAGGGTACAGGTCAAAACGGAGTTTCTTATGTCTTCCTTTTCTACATAGACACAGTAACAGTCTGATCTCTCTTTCTTTTCCCTTCATATCCCCCTTTTCTTTTTGACAAAACCGCCATAGTCATTATGGCCTGTTTTTGTTGGTCGTTGTCTTTTTGGAGCTGTTAGATACACCTGTAAACTAACAACAGACAGAACAGGCATGCAAGGATTAATACAAATTTACAATAGTGGAACTTTTGATAGTTTTAACCCAAGTGACGAGGTTAAGATTTGTGAGGCCATCAACAGCTTTTACAATTGTCTTAGTTTTTGGTACCAAATTTAAATGGGCTTTTGATGCCTTAAAAATTTGGTTTTTTAATTTTGAAATATTTAAAGTAAGATTATTTTTTCTGTTTTGTAGATGGCGTTTAACCATGTCCCATTGATGTTCAGAGTCATTATAGGCTCGGGGTGTAATACAAAAATCTGACGTATTTCAGTCACACTGTAACTGAAAAAGATATTTCAAGCTCATGGAGCCTATCTCTCATTTAAATGACAGTTTGTCTAAGATTATTAATTTGGTTTGCCAATTTTGGATCTATTTGGGTCTGAGAATTGCACAATTTTGAGGAATTCTTTTGCCAATTATTTACATATTTAGCAGTTTGAATAGAAGAGTGTAAAGCAATTCCAGCAGCCGCAGCAGTAGCTGTGACTGCAATAAGACCCATAATCACATAATTAAAGTAAAAATGAATCTTTTGGATCTAGTTAGAACTTTTTTTAATACTTTTGTTAAAATACGGACAGATGGGGAAGACTCTCATGGTCGGTCTATGGACACAGGGATCCACATGCCCTCTCTTGCCCTCACTAGCAGAATATGGTGCTGCCAATTAAAAGTTGAATCAATGCAAGTAAACAATCTACAATTTTCACAGGTTATAGTTTGGGAATCTGGTTTAATAACTGTGTTTTTTACAACTAGTATATAAGGGGGTTTTACACAACTTTGTAAAGGAATTGTTAAATTGGAATTTAGGTTGATAGTATAATATGGCTTACGACTTTTTGGTTTTATAGCTTGATTTCCAGACCAAATTTTAACGTGGTGCAAAGCCACAGTAAGTTTTTATAATTTTGGATGTTTAGGACTAGTAACAGGACGAACTAACTTTGGTTGAGGTGATGAAATTCTCTTTTTACCCCATTTTTATGGATAGGGTGATTTAAACCTTTATAAAACCTGGTCTTGCCTTTTAGTTAAATCACTAATAGAGGCTGGATGAATGGGCCAGATGGATGGGGCCTGTGAACATGAGTGAGTCTGGCCTGTACAATTATAATATAATTGGCCTCGAGGGGCCCAGTTTATAATAGTTTCCAATTTATTGTTTTGTAATACCACAGCAGTATCAGTCACACATTTTTTCCAAACTAAGACTTTTGGGCCTTTTGATTTTTTGGGAATTTCTTGGGGCAAGGCTTCCCCTTACGCCTAAATTTTAATGATCTTTGATAAGAAGAGTCCTGTAAATTATTTATCTGTGGCTCCAGTGACATTTCACTTACCATGTGATAAGTAAATCTACTGGTGGCACTGACAGTAGGTACTTCTACCCACCAAATTTGGGTTGTAGGCGTTAAGCATCCTGGTGCCTTTTCTAGGCAAATAGGGGGATAATAATACCCAATGGAAATATTTATTATTATTTCTTTTTTTTTTTTTGATTGGGCACGGCAACGATCATCTGTGGGGCCTGGTACCCACGCACTATTATTAACATATTCTTTAATAGGATTATTTATCCATGTGACTGCCCAAATTAAGGACAGGAAAGGCACATAGGCCCAGTAAGTATAATTAGCTGCAGCTGTTTCTGCAGACATGAGGAGACTTACCACCGTTGATACAATTATCAAAGCTGTAACCAGTATATTTTCTAGAGTTTGTATTACCCTTGTTTTTTTAGGCTTTTTTTAGCTAACTGTGTCAGCTTCTTTAGTGGACCCCAGGTCGGCAGCTCCGCTTTTTTGGTGGATGACAGCTTTATCTGTTTTTTTGATATTACCATTTTGTTTACTTGGGGAGTCGATGATGCTTGATTGTGGGTTTTTTGTTTTTGCAGAGGCGCTTTTTTTGCATCTTCGATGGGTTTATTGTAGAACTTTAAATGTCTAGTGGGTATTCAAACAGGAAGCTGATTTTTTTCTGGTGAAACACAAGTAGTCCCAACTACGGAAGGCAGAGGACAAGGGGGGTGAGGCAGGAGGATCACTTTAGCCTAGGAGTTGGTGGCTGAAGTGAGCTATGATCGCACCACTGCACTCCAGATTGGGTGACAGAGCCACATCCTATCTCTAAAACTAAAAAATTAAAACATACAAAATCATCTTGTTTGGTCATCTCTTAGAAATGGATGAATTCCTTTTCGAGATGAAGATTTAATGTTTCCCAGATTTCACCTATTATCTTAGTAAACAAAACGGGGACTTAAAGAGGCAGGAGTTAATAAACAGAAATACAGGTACAGTGCCTCTGCCCTGAAAGCACTTAACCCAGCTGGAGAAAAAAGACAAATACATGCAAATTTTCACAACAAAAGATCTGAGTGACAGATATAGTGATCATCTGCCTCAAAGAAAGACACAGCTCATTGCTGAAAGGGTGGCCGAACAGTGTGGACCCTGAAAGACTACAGAACTTCAGAGGAGATCAAATGACTGCAGTGACCACCCCTGTGCAGGCGACAACTTCTACATTTCTCTCTCAATTTGACCCTGGAGCTGCAGATCCATCTTTCCAATCAGCTCAGTAAGTATTTACTGCGTTAAAGAGCTTCTGGAGTGAAAACATGAAGAAGCCATGACTCCTGCAGCCATGTGTTGGGGGAAGCAGAACACTTACCCACTCTCCCTGAGCCTCAATTTCCTCATCTGTGAAATAGGAATGATAACAGTACTTACTATCTTATGAGAGGATTAAGAGGGATGAAAATCTTCCCAGAGGCTGCAGCTACCATTTATTGCTTGCTTTCCATGTGCAAGTACATTGAATCCTCAGATTTCACTGACACTGAGATAGCAAATAACTTGTCCACAGTTGCAAAGCTAGTAAATGGCAGAAAAGCTCCTGTTCTTGGCCATCTGCTTCTACTGTACATGTGATAATGGATCGAAAGTGTCATAATGCCATCTGTCCCACGATAGTTTCTCCATAAATGGCAGTCATTATTAGGGCAGTTCTAGTCAATTTCTACTGCTTGTAGAATGTTTACTCCCCCAAATGTTTACTCTAGACTCAAGAAAGGAGACTCCACAGAGATGACCCTTGCACTAGACCCTGAAGGCTTTTCAACACAAAAGGGATGGAAGGGACAGACAGCCAGGGCAGGAACAACACAAAGACATGCCCAGAGGAAAGAAAGCTCCCGGAGTTTCAGGAAACAGCTAGAGAGGGGTAGGACATGGGGTGAAAAAGTCATCTGGGACAAGATCGAAAGGGCCCTGACTATCAAGAGGCTGGGTGTGACTTGGTCAATATAGGAGAACAACCAAGGAAGAGGGGCATGTTCTGGCTGGTGCTGGCAGCGATTCTGGAAGACCCAAGAAAATGGAGGCAGACAGTGAGGAACGCACTGTAACACCCTCTGGGTGAGCAAGAGTAAGGTTATGAAGTTGGCCAGCAGCGGCAGGCATGCCAGTAAGTGTCTAAACAGGTGAAATGCTTCCCGTTACCCTCAGGTAAAGTCAACAGGACCTGTGTAGATTGTGTCGGGGGAGGAGGAGTGAAGGAACAGATAGTTAAGGTTAGGTTGTTTAGAAAAAAATACATTATTTAGGCCGGGCACGGTGGCTTACACCTGTAATGCTAGCACTTTGGGAGGAGGTCAGGAGATCGAGACTATCCTGGCTAACACGGTGAAACCCCGTCTCTACCAAAAATACAAAAACTTAGCCAGGTGTGGTGGTGGATGCCTGTAGTCCCAGCTACTCGGGAGGCTGGGGTAGGAGAATTGTATGAACCTGGGAGGTGGAGCTTGCAGTGAGCCGAGATTGCACCACTGCACTTCAGCCTGGGTGACAGAGCGAGATTCCGTCTCAAAAAAAAAAAATTATTTAAAATGAAATTTGAGTTTGCAGTACCTTTATACCTCTGAAGACGTTTCTGTCAAAAGTGTGTCTTAAAAAAAAAAAGCGTGTCTAGTTTGAGGCCTAATTTGGTCTAGAACTAAAGAAAAAAACCAGCACTAGATTTAATTGCAAGGAGTTATATGAAACTGTGGAGTGGATATTATGCTCCAAAAACCAACTGTGGAGTGAGTGAAGACCAGGACAGAACACCATAAAGTGCCTCCATTTAAGAGGCCAGGAGAAGCCAGGCCTCCCCTGGGATTATAGGCACATGCCACCATGCCCAGCCAATTTTTATATTTTTTTAGTAGAGACGGGGTTTCACCATGTTGGCCAGAATGGTCTCGATCTCCTGACCTCGTGATCCACCTGCCATGGCCTCCCAAAGTGCTGGGGTTACAGGCATGAGCCACCGCGCCCGGGGTTAACCAAACCTCTTCTTTTTTTTTGAGATGGAGTCTTGCTCTGTTGCCCAGAGTGGAGTGCAGTGGCGTGATCTCGGCCCACTGCAACCTCCGCCTCCGAGGTTCAAGCAATTCTTCTGCCTCAGCCTCCTGAGTAGCTGGGACTACAGGGGTGTGCCACCATGCCTGGCTAAGTTTTTGTATTTTTAGTAGAGACAGGGTTTCACCGTGTTAGCCAGGATGGTCTTGCTCTCCTGACATTGTGATCCACCCACCCTGGCCTCCCAAAGTGCTGGGATTACAGGCGTGAGCCACCGCACCCGGCCACCTCTTTCATTGTCTCTACTTTCTCCCCTTGCTTCTCAACTCCCTGCACCCTAGCTCTTGCCCAAGCGATCACCAAAAGTGTTCTTCCTTCAAGGGCCTGGTGCCTCCACATGGACAAATCCAGCGGTTGCTCCTCGGTCCTACTCCATCTGACACTGCTGATCATTCCCTCCTTAAAACTGCCTGCCCTCGGGGCTTCCATGACATCTTCTCTTTCAATTCTTTTCTGATATTTCCGACTCTCCCTTCTTCATCTCCTTCTGGATTTTCTCTTCTCCCACGAGGCTCTGGCACTCTCATGGTGCTGACTTTCATCCTCTGACCCTCCTACTGACGTCCTCACCCAGGCCTCACAATGTCAGCTACCACTACAAGCTATAACCAAGAAGTCCATGCTTTCTGGAGACAGAGAGAGGAGAAGGACCAGAGAGCAGCAGACCAGAGGTGGGGATGGGCAGTGGGGTGGGTGAGGTGGGGGAAGTGTGCGTGGTTAATGGGTATGAAAAATAGAAAGAATGAATAAGGTCTAGTATTTGATAATCCAACAGGGTTACTATGGTCAGCAATAATTTCATTATACATTTAAAAATAACTACAAAAGTATAACTGGATATGTTTATAAGACAAAGGATAAATGCTTGAGGTGATGGCCACCCCATTTACCCTACTGTGATTATTACACATTGTATGCCTGTATTGTAATATCCCATATACTGGCCAGGCGCAGTGGCTCACGCCTATAATCCCAGCACTTTGGGAGGCTGAGGCGGGCGGATCACTAGGTCAGGAGATCGAGACCATCCTGGCTAACATGGTGAAACCCTGTCTCTACTAAAAATACAAAAAAATTATCTGGGCGTGGTGGTGGGTGCCTGCAGTCCCAGCTACTCGGGAATTTGAGGCAGGAGAATGGCTTGAACCTGGGAGAGAGAGGTTGCAATGAGCTGAGATACGCACCACTGCACTCCAGCCTGGGCAACAGAGCAAGACTCCGTCTCAAAATAAAAAAAGGAATATCCCATATACCCAAAATATATACACCTATCATGTACTCAGAAAAATTTAAAAATTAAAAAACAGCCATGTCCTCATGCCATGTGACCTGAGCTTCACACATTTGTGGCCGACTGCCTGCTAGATTTCTCCACCTTGACATCTCTGACATGCCATGAACTTAACACGCCCCAGAGTGACCCTACAGCCTTCCCAACAAACCAGCTCTTCCCATTGTACTTCTCTTCTCGGTGAAGTGCCAGGCACCCAGGCCAGAAATCTGAGGGTCCTCCTTGACTCCTCCTTCACCCACTGCACATATTCAGTCACCAAGTATCAATGATTACACTTCTTTCAGGACATCTAGGCTAGGCGTGGTGACTCATGCCTGTAATCCCAGCACTTTGGGAGGCAGAGGCAGGCGGATCATTTGAGGTCAGGAATTTGAGACCAGCCTGGCCAACATGGTGAAACCCTGTCTCCACTAAAAATATAAAAATTAGCCGGGCATAGTGGTGGGCGCCTGTAGTCCTAGCTACTCGGAAGGCTAAAGCAAGAGAATCTTTTGAACGCGGGAAGAGGAGATTGCAGCGAGCGAGATCGCGCCACTGCACTCCAGCTTGGGCAACAGAGCAAGACTCCAACTCAAAAAAAAAAAAAAAAAATGCTGGGCTTGGTGGCTCACGCCTGTAATCCCAGCACTTTGGGAGGCCAAGGCGGGCGGATCATGAGGTCAGGAGATCGAGACCATCCTGGCTAACACGGTGAAACCCCGTCTCTACTAAAAAAATACAAAAAATTAGCCAGGCATGGTGGCGGGCACCTGTAGTCCCACCTACTCGGGAGGCAGAGGCAGGAGAATGGCATGAACCCGGGAGGTGGAGCTTGCAGTGAGCCAAGATCGTGCCACTGCACTCCAGCACTTCAGCCTGGGCGATAGAGCAAGACTCCGTCTCAAAAAAAAAAAAAAAAAAAAAAAAAAGATACCTATCCCTTCCTCACCATTTCTACAGCCCACTCCAACCTCTTGGTTAGAGGATGATGGCCTTCATCTTCAGTGGGCTGCCACTTTTTCAATCTATCTGCACTCATACAAATAAAGTCTCTTTTAAAAGACAGAAACATAGTCATCTCATTATCCTGCTTGTAATCCTCCCACTGTCCTCACAGGTTGTAGTCTGAACTTGAATTTCCTTAGTTCAGCCCCCAGAACCCTCTGAAATCTGGTCTTTGTCAGTCTCTATAGCTTTGTATGGCCCTACTTTGCACTCATATCCCAATTGACCCAAACTGCAAACACCCTACAGAAAAGCACGAGGCTACTTCCTGATCTCAGGCCCTACTTGGCACATGGTGTTTGCTGACACTTCAGTGTCTCTCCACCGTGTCCCTACCATAGCACCTCCACTGTGTTCATCTTTGTGTCCCCAACAACCAAGACAAAGCTGCCATGAGGTAAACGTAATCTGAAGCATACATGAGAGAAAGAGCTAGGGAAGCCCCGACTTGCAAAAGTTCATGGGAGAGAAAGGGGAAAACTCTGGGGAGATACGGGGCAGGACTCCACTCTCTGAAAGCAGCCAGGGTACCCGACTGCAGACACCAGGAAACCTACAACTCATCCGTCGACTCTGAGCTTTGCTGGTCCCAGAGGAACATATTCCAAATACGTTGTCAACTCCCAAGAATAATCTGTGCCCAGAAGAGTCCTTTTTAGGGATGCAAAGTTATTTATGACCCTATCTAAGCTGGGTCTTGAAGGCAAGTCCTCTTGCTATATTCCCGGCAGACCTAATCCCAACCCTAACACAGAGCTGTATACTTTAGGGAGGAGATGTCAGTATGAGAGCTGGGGCTACAAGCCAGGCTGCAGTTCTTTGGGAACTAGGTGCCTGAAGCAAAAACTAAAATGATTAAAGAGCCAAATGCTTCAGAGGAAGTAACATGCTGTAGAAAAAAATGACACAGAGCCAGGTGCGCGGTGGCTCACGTCTGTAATCCCAGCACTTTGGGAGGCCAAGGCGGGTGGATTCTTTGAGGTCAGGAGTTCAGGACTAGCCTGTCCAACATGGTGAAACTCCATTTCTACTAAAAAAAAAAAAAATTAGCCGGGCATGATGGCAGGCGCATGTAATCCCAGCTACTCAGGAGGCTGAGACAGGAGAATCACTTGAACTGGGGAGGCGGAGGTTGCAGTGAACCAAGATCACGCCATTGCACTCCAGCCTGGGCAACAAGAGCGAAACTCCACCTCGAAAAAAAGAAAAAATGACACAGGACATCGTATCACAGTGACTTGCAGTTGAGTCCCAACACTACTGCTTTGCTGAATAAGGTTATAAAGTCAAACAAAACATGGTTCCTACCCTACCCGCAAGGTCTCTCTGGTAGTGGAGGTATTTAAGCAAGTTAATAGAGCCCCAGCTTGTACTAACAGAATCAGACCCATTAAGGGCTGTTATCTTGAATCTCCTCTCCCTGAGAGAATGGCAGAGAAAAATTCTGTTGTGAATATTCAAACACCAGGATTAAAGACGCTTCAGGAGTTCCTGTTGTAAGTGTAATGTCTTAAGCTGCAACTAGCACACAATGGTCCAGGTCTTGATGGCTTTGGTCAAGCAGCTCCCTGGGTCACGGGACACTGAGGCTGTTTGAACTGCAAGGGCTGCAAGTTCCCAGAGAAGGAGCCAGGCCCAGCCACAGTGAAGAAGCCTGCCTCTCCCTCTACTGGCTGTTGGACAACAACACTGCCTGTAGCGTTTGCTCTTGGCAGTCATGGAACCAAGTAATTAATGAAAGGGTTGAGGTTAAAAGGTTTAGAAAGCCTTTTAAAAAGATTTTTGGCCAGGCGTGGTGGCTCACCCCTGTAATCCCAGCACTTTGGGAGGCTGAGGCAGGCGGATCATGAGGTCAGGAGATCGAGACCATCCTGGCTAACACAGTGAAACCCCATCTCTACTAAAAATACAAAAAATTAGCTGGGCATGGTAGCAGGTGCCTGTAGTCCCAGCTACTCGGGAGGCTGAGGCAGGAGAATGGTGTGAACCCGGGAGGCAGAGCTTGCAGTGAACCGAGATCGCGCCACTGCACTCCAGCCTGGGCGACACAGCGAGACTCCGTCTCAAAAAAAAAAAAAGAAAAAGATTTTTTAAAATCCTCGATTTCAAGATCACAAGTGGAAAAAAGGAGTTGAAATTAATCCTTCTTGAATATTACAGTCTGCTTTAAATTTATATAGATTATGGCCAATCATGAATCAGCTTGCAAGACAATGCCTATTTATGTGTAGGTTTTTTGAACAGTCTTTGTCCATATTTATAGTGGAAAAGATGTTGGGCTTAGGAAGCAATACATCAGCCCAGACAAAGAGCTGAAAAGAGGCCTTAGAAATCAACTGTTAGGACTTCTGCTATAGGACAAGATGGAGAAAGCCCACGAAAGCCTTTCTCTCTGCATAGATTACAATGAGAAATTTTGAGACAGCTGGGCGCAGTGGCTCACACCTGTAATCCCAGCACTTTGGGAGGCTGAGGCGGCGGATCACCTGAGGTCAGGAGTTCAAGACAAGCCTGGCCAACATGGAGAAACCCCATCTCTACTAAAAATACAGAAATTAGCGCTGGTGGCATGCACCTGTAATCCCAGCTACTCAGGAGGCTGAGGTGGGAGAATCACTTGAACCCAGGAGGCAGTGGTTGCAGTGAGCCGAGACTGTGCCAATGCCCTCCAGCCTGGGCAACAGAGCGAGACTCCGTCTCAAAAAAAAAAAAAGAAAAAAAAGAAGAAGAAATCTCCAGACAAAATACACAAAAATATACCTGAGGACTCTGAAAAGCAAATTAAAAGCAGGTGGCCTGGGAGGGAAACAAAACCTGAGAACCATTTGGGGTGGAGGATGAATCTGAGTTTCTTGGGGCTTTTTTCCCTCTTTTCTCTCAGGGCCTCAATCCTGGTGCAGCTGTGGTGGCCTCTATAGAAAGCTCCAACTCCAGGAGAAACCCAATCTTTCTGGCCAGGGAACTGAGAAAGGCTGGAGACCTGGGAGGAGCTCACAACTCAAGGGCAGCCCCCAACACAGGGACCAGCAGCAGGCATAGCCCGGAAGGGAGCCCTTGCTCTCCAAAGTGCCCAAGAGTCATTTTTTCCTTTTCCACTTTCCCTGCTCTGCTCCAAGGACAGCTCTAGTAACAACCACACACAGGCAGGCAGGTAAACCTTTGAGAGACACTGGGAACAACCACACCTAGGCAGGCAGGTAAACCTTTGAGAGACATTCAGAACAACCACAAACAGACGGGCAGGCAAACCTTTGAGAGAAACTCAGAACTTGTGGCTAGAGGACCAAAAAAGGGATCTCATGTGAACCAGAGTACGAGCGGGGGAGTCCCAGAGAGGAGAGCTAGAGAAGGGGACTCCTCCAAACTTGAATATCAATCAACACAAATCCTAGGTTCACCTGAGCTATTTATGTGCAGAACAGCACCAAAACAGCAAGCATGGAACAGACCCAGCACAGCAAAGACCCCGAGTGAGAAGGGAGCAAGTTCCACCGCCAGTCCAGTCCCATATGCAAAGACTCAGAGTGGCAGGGCAAAGGTTTCAAAAACCAAATGACACTGAAATCCTTGCCCCGACTTGAAGTCCGAACCTAATTGGATTGACAGTCTCCTAAAACACAAACCAGAGGCTTTTAACAGGACCCAGAGTCCAAACAATATAATACTCAAATGCCCAGGATACAATCTACAATTACCTCGACCACGAAAATATGACTCATTCTCCAGGGAAAAGGTAATCAACAGATGCCAAGCCCATGATGACCCAGATGTTAAAATTATCAAGATTCTGCTACTATAACAACCGGTGGTAAAAGTAAACATTCCTGAAATGAATGGAACAATACTAGTTCTCAGGAAAGAACAGAAGTTATAACAAATAACCAAATGGAAACTTTAGAACTGAAAAATACCTGAAATGAAAAATTCACTGGTAGGCTTGATAACGGAAGATGCCAGAACAATCTGTGTGTATACAGACAGATCAACAGAAATTATCCCGTTAAGACTTTGAGGCTGCAGTGAGCCTGATCGCGCCACCGCACTTCAGCTTGGGCAACAGAGTGAAACCCTGTCTCTATTTAAAAAGAGACAGAAAAAAAGAGAGAAATTATTCCATTTGAAATATAATTTTTTTTAAAAAAAGGAACAGAACCACAGAAACCTGTACAGCAGCATCAGAGGTCTACCAATCACCCAGGAGTGATTGGGTGATTGGAGTCTCTCTCTGTCACCCAGGCTGGAGGGCAGTGACACAGTCTCAGCTCACTGTGTTTTTGGAATTCAAGAAAAGGAGGAGAAAGAGTTTGGGACAGAAAAATATTTCAAGAATAGTTAAAAACTTCACAAATTTAGTAAGAAACATAAATTTACATAATCAAGAAGCTCAGTAAAGATAAATTGGGGAAAAAATGCTGAAATATATCATTATCAAATTATTGCAGACCAAAGACTTGAACAATCTTTTTTCAAATTTAATTTTATTTAAAAAAATTTTCCTTAGGCTAGTCAAGTGAAGCAGTGGGAGTAGAGAGGGAATACAAAAATCTTAAAAGCAGCCAGAGGAAAATGACACATTAGGGTTAGGGTGATAGCAGATTTTTAAAAACTTTTTTTCAATTAATTATTATTATTATTATTATTTTCTTTTTTTGAGATAGAGTCTCACTCTGTCTCCCAGGCTGGAGTGCAGTAGCACGATCTCCACTCACTGCAAGCTCTGCCTCCCGGGTTCATGCCATTCTCCTGCCTCAGCCTCCCAAGTAGCTGGGACTACAGGCACCCGCTACCACACCCGGCTAATTTTTTGTATTTTTAGTAGAGATGGGGTTTAATCGTGTTAGCCAGGATTGTCTCGATCTCCTGACCTTGTGATCCGCCCTCCTCAGCCTCCCAAAGTGCTGGGATTACAGGCATAAGCCACCACGACCGGCCCCCATCTCTATTTTTTAAAAAATAATTAATTGGGCCAGGCGCGGTGGCTCATGTCTGTAACCCCAGCACTTTGGGAGGTCGAAGCGGGTGGATCATGAGGTCAGGAAATCAAGACCATCCTGGCTAACACGGTGAAACCCATCTCTACTAAAAATACAAAAAATTAGCTGGGCGTGGTGGCGGGAGCCTGTAGTCCCAGCTACTCAGGAGGCTGAGGCAGGAGAATGGCGTGAACCTGGGAGGTGGAGCTTGCAGCGAGCAGAGATTGCGCCACAGCACTCCAGCCTGGGTGACAGAGCGAGACTCTGTCTTAAAAAAAAAAGAGATGGGGTCTTGCTATGTTGCCCAGGCTGGTCTCAAACTCTTGGCCCCAAGTGATCCTCCTGCTTTGGTCTCCCAAAGTGTTGAGATTACAGGCATGAGCCACCACACCTGGCCTGATTACAGATTTCTAATCAGAAACTGTGACAGTCAGAAGTCACTGAAATGACATCTTTAAAGTTCTGAAGGAAAAGACCAATCAACCCAGTGAAATTATCCTTCAGGAATGAAAGAAACTAATTACATTCTTGGCTGGCGCTGTGGCTCACACCTGTAATCCCAGCACTTTGGGAGGCCGAGGCAGGCGGATCACAAGGTCAGGAGATCGAGACCATCCTGGCTAACACGGTGAAATCCGGTCTCTACTAAAAATACAAAAAATTAGCCAGGTGTGGCGGCGGGCGCCTGTAGTCCCAGCCACCTGGGAGACTGAGGCAGCAGAATGGCGTGAACCCAGGAGGCGGAGCTTGCAGTGAACCGAGATTGCACCACTGTATTCCAGCCTGGGCGACAGAGAGTGAAAGAAATGATGACATCTTGGGTAGACATAAAAGACTATTTTTGTTATCTTAAGTTCTTTAAAATATGTAAGAATATAGAAAGTAAATAGGCCAGGCACGGTGGCTCACGCCTGTAATCCCAGCACTTTGGGACGCAGAGGTGGGCAGATCACGAGGTCAGCAGATCGAGACCATCCTGGCAAACATGGTGAAACCCTGTCTCTACTAAAAATATAAAAATTAGCTTGGCGTGGTGGCACATGCCTGTAATCCCAGCTACTCAGGAGGCTGAGGCAGGAGAATAGCTGGAACCAGGGAGTCCGAGGTTGCAGTGAGTCAAGATCGCGCCACTGCACTCCAGCCTGGTGACAGAGTGAGACTCTGTCTCAAAAAAAGAAAAAAAAAAGAATATAGAAAGTAAATGTTAAAACACTACTAACAGTACCTAGATTTTATGTTTCAATGTATGTAGATTATATGTTATAAATACAACAACTATAATGTAAAGAGACTTATATACATTTACTAACTGGTCAAATATTAACTCTGGACTATAAATGGTCAGGCATGCATATTATTATCCTTACAGTAACTACTAAAAATAAAAATAAACAAAAAAGATACAGCCAAAAGACTACAAATCTTTTTAGATTTATAGATACAGAAAAAGCAAGTGACAAGATTCAACACCCAATCTCAGCAATTTGAACTTCGTAAACCTGTTGAAGGACATCCATAGAAAACCTACACTAACATCATACTTAATGGTAAAGGACTGACTGTTTCCCTTGAGATCAGGGACAAGATGAGGATGTCTGCTCTCACCACTCCTACTCAACATCGTCCTGTAGGCCCCAGCTGGGGCAATGAAATAAGAAAAAGAAAAGACATACAGATGAGAAAGAAATAAAACTCTATTTGCAGACAACATGACTGTCAGCATAGAAAATCCTAAAGAATAAACTAAAAAAGTTCCTGGAACTAATAAGTGTATTTAGCAAGGCTGGAGGGCATAAGATCAATATAAATTCAGCTATATTTCTATATCAGCAATCAAGAACTGGAAATGAGCACCATTTATAATAGCACCCAAAATTATAAAATAGGTATAAATTTTAAAAAATTTGTGCAGAACCTGTACGCTACACTGTTTTCATGGACTGGAAGGCTCACTATTGTTGTTGTTTTTTTTAACCTTTGACTGATCTTAAATTATTCATATTGTTGGCCGGGCGCAGTGGCTTACGCCTATAATCCCAGCACTTTGGGAGGCCGAGGCGGGCAGATCACGAGGTCAGGAGATCGAGACCATCCTGGCTAACACAGTGAAACCCCATCTCTACTAAAAATACAAAAAATTAGCCGGGCGTGGTGGCAGGCACCTGTAGTCCCAGCTACTCAGGAGGCTGAGGCAGGAGAATGGCATGAACCCAGGAGGTGGAGCGTGCAGTGAGCCGAGATCGCACCACTGCACTCCAGCCTAGGCGACAGAGACTCTGTCTCAAAAATAAATAAATAAATAAATAAATAAATAAATAAATAAATAAAATTATTCATATTGTCAAGATGTCAATTCTCTGCCAAAACTGACCTATAGATATAACACAATCCCAATCAGAATCTCAGTAGGATTTGTTGCAGGTATCAACAAGTCAATTCAAAAATGTTACATAGGCCGGGCACGATGGCTCATGCCTGTAATCCTAGCACTTTGAGAGGTCGAGGCAGGGGGATCACCTGAGGTCAGGAGTTCAAGACCAGCCTGGCCAACACGGCGAAACCCCATCTCTACTAAAAATACAAAAATTGGCCGGGTGCAGTGGCTCACGCCTGTAATCCCAGCACTTTTGGAGGCTGAGGCCGGCAGATCACCTGAGGTCAGGAGTTTGAGACCACCCTGACCAACACGGTGAAATGCCATCTCTACTAAAATTACAAAAATTATCTGGGCGTGGTGGCACGTGCCTGTAATCCCAGCTACTCAGGAGGCTGAGGCAGGAGAATCGCTTGAATCCGGGAGGCAGAGGTTGCAGTGAGCAGAGATCACACCACCGTACTCCAGCCTAGGTGACAGAGCGAGACTCCATCTCAAAACAACAATAACAACAACAATAGAAATTGTGAAAGATGACACAAACAAATGGAAGCACATCCATTGAAGACTTCCTAATATTAAGATGTCAATACTACCTAAAGTGATTGATATATTATTCAATGCAATCCCTATCAAAATCTCAATGGTAGGCCGGGCACGGTGGCTCACACCTGTAATCCCAGCACTTTGGGAGGCCAAGGTAGATGGATCACGAGGTCAGGAATTCGAGACCAGCCCGGACAACATAGTGAAACCCCATCTCTACTAAAAATAAAAAAATTAGCCATGGTGGCACATGAACTCGGGAAGTAGAGGTTGCAGTGAGCCAAGATCACGCCATTATACTACAGCCTAGGTGACAGAGCGAGATTCTGTCTCAAAAAAAAAAAAAAAAAAAAAAAAACCTCATTGGCATTTTTCTCAGAAATAGGGAAATCCATCCTAAAATTCATATGAAATCCAAAGGGACCCCAAGTAGCTAAAACAATTTTGAAAAAGAAAAATAAAGTCTGAGTAGTCATACTTCCCAATTTCAAAACTTCTTGTAAAGCTATAGCAATCAAAATAGTGTAGTATTAGCAGAGAAACAGATATACAGACCAACAGAGTAGAGAGCCCAGAAAGAAAACACTTGCATATATGGTCAAATAATTTTGATAAGGAGACTAAGACCATTCAAGAGAGATGGATCATCTTTTCAGCAAATGGTACTAGAAAAACTGGATATTCACATGCAAAGGAAAGAAGGTGGATCCTTACCTTATGCTATATACAAAAATTAACTGAAAATGGATAAATATTTGCAGTGATAAGTATGCTAATTACCTTAATTTGAGCATTAAATATTATATACATATCAAAATATGACTTTATATGCCATAAATATGCACAATTATGTCAATTAAATCTTTTAATTTAAAATTCTTTTTAATTTTTAAATAGAGGATCAAATACTTAAACATAAGACTAAAACAATAAACTTCTTAGAAGAAAGCATACAGAAAACGCTTCATGACACCGAAATTTTGTTTTTTGTTTTTTTTTTGAGACAGAGTCTCACTCTGTTGTCCAGGCTGGAGTGCAATGGCATGATCTTGGCTCATCACAACCTCCACCTCCTGGGTTCAAGAGATTCTCCTGCCTCAGCCTCCTGAGTAGCTGGGACTACAGGCGTGCGCCACCACACCCAGCTAATTTTTGTATTTTTAGTAGAGACAGGGTCTCGCCATGTTGGCCAGGCTGGTCTCGAACTTGAGAACTCAGGTGATCCGCTCACCTCGGCCTCCCAAAGTGCTGGGATTACAGGCATGAGCCACCGTGCCTAGCCATGACACTGAATTTGATAATAGTTTATTGGATTTCTGACATCAAATGCACAAGTAACAAAAGAAAAGCGACAAATTGGACTTCATTTAAAAACTTTGTGCACCACAGGACTCTTACCAACAGAGTAAAAAGACAACCCACAGAATGGGAGAAAATATTTGCAAACCATATATCTACAAAAGGATTAATATCCAGAATATATATAAAATTCCTAAAACTGAACCAAAAAAACCTCATTCGAATTTGGAAAAAGGACCAGGTGTGGTGGCTCACATCTGTAATCCCTTTGAAAGGCTAAGGTGGGTGGATCAGTTGAGCCTAGGAATTTGAGGCCAGCCCAGGGAATGTGGAGAAACCCTGTCTGTACAAAAAATACAAAAATTAAGTGGGCATGGTGGTGGCATGCCTGTAGTCCCAGCTACTGAGGAGGCTCACCTGAGCCTGGGAAGGTCAAGGCTGCAGTGAGCCAAGATAGCACTATTGTACTTCAACCTGGGCATCAGAGTGGGACCCTGTCTCAAAAACAAAAAGAGGGAAAATGACTGGAATAGATATTCTCCAAAGAAGACATACAAATGGCTAATAAGCATGTAAAACCATGCTCAGCATCACTTATCATTACGGAAATGCAAAATAAAACCACAATAAGAGACTACTTCACACTTCATAGATGCTAGAGGGAGGGAGGAAAGAAGGAAGGAAATAAATGAGAAAAGTTGGCAGGGATGTGGAGAAATTGGAACTCTAGTGTACTGTTGTTAGGACTGTAAAATGGTGTAGCCAACAGAAAAAAATAGTATGGTAGTTCCGCAAAAAAGTTAAAAACAAAAATATTATATGATGTATCAATTTCACTTCTGTGTACCCAAAGAACTGAAAGCAGGGTCTCACAGAGATATCTGAGCCCCCATGCTCATAGCAGCATTATTCACCATAGCCAAAAGGTGGAAGGAAGTATCCATCAATGGATGTTAGAAAATCAAACTGTGGGCCAGGCGCAGTGGCTCACACCTGTAATTCCAACACTTTGGGAGGCCGACACGGATGGATCACTTGAGGTCGGGAGCTCAAAAATAAGCCTGACCATCATGGTGAAACCCTGTCTCTACTGAAAAAATACAAAACAATTAGCCAGGCTTGGTGGCGAGTACCTGTAATCCCAGCTACTTGGAAGGCTGAGGCAGGAGAATCGCTTGAACCCGAGAGGCAGAGATGGCAGTGAGTCGAGACTGCTCCACTGCACTCCAGTCTGGGCAGCAGAGCGAGACTCCATCTCAAAAAAAAAAAAAGAAAGAAAGAAAAACAAAATGTGGTTTACATATAAAATGGAATATTACTCAGCCATACAAAGGAAGGAAGTTCTCATACATTATTTTTTGAGATGGAATTTTGGTCTTGTTGCCCAGGCTGCAGTGCAATGGTGCAATCTCAGCTTACTGCAACCTCCGCCTCCTGGGTTCAAGTGATTCTCCTGCCTCAGCCTTCCAAGTAGCTGGGATTACAGGCATGCGCCACCACGCCTGGCTTATTTTGTATTTTTAGTAGAGACAGGGTTTCTCCATGTTGGTCAGGCTGGTCTCGAACTCCCAACCTCAGATGATCTGCCCACCTCAGCCTCCCAAAGTGCTGGGATTACAGGCATGAGCCACCACGCCCGGGCAAAGACATTATGCTAAATGATATAAGGACAAATACTGTGCGATCCCATTTACATGCAGTACTAAGTATAGTCAAATTCATGAAGACAGAAAATAGAATGGTCGTTGCCAGGGGCTAGGAGGAGGGGAGAATGGGTAATTTATTGATTACTGGGCACAGAGTTTCAGTTTTGCAAGATAAAATGTTCTGTGGATAGATGGCAATGATTGTACAATGTGAATTTACTTAATGCCACTGAACTGCACACTTCAATTGTTAAAATAATTTTAAAAATTAAACATTCAGATATGACTTAAAAAAAAGAAAAAAACACCGTATGGTTCCACTTGTATGAGGGAGTCAAACTCATAGAAACAAAAACCAGAACGGTGGCTGCCAGGGACAGAGGAGAAGCAAGTGCAGAATTGTTTAAGGGATACAGAATTTCAGTTTTGCAAACTGAAAAGGTCTGCATATTGGTTGCAACAATTGAACTGTACACTTAGAAATGGTTAAAATGGTAATTTTTTTTGAGACAGAGTCTTGCTCTATCACCCAGGCTGGAGTGCAGTAGCGCAATCTTGGCTAACTACAACCTCCCAGGTTCGAGCAATTCTCCTACCTCAGCCTCCCGAGTAGCTGGGATTAGAGGTACCTGCCACCATGCCTGGCTAATTTTTTATTTTTAGTAGAGACAAGGTTTCATCATGTTGGCCAGGCTGGTCTTGAACTCCTGGCCTCAAGCGATCCACCCGCCTCAGCCTCCCAAAGTGCTGGGATTACAGCTGTGAGCCACCACACCTGGCCTAAAATGTTAGATTTTGATATGTGTATTTATTTATATATATTTTTTGAGACAGAGTTTCACTCTTGTTGCCCAGGCTGGAGTGCAATGGCGCAATCTCAGCTCACCGCAGCCTCTGCCTTTCAGGTTCAAGCGATTCTCCTCCCTCAGCTTCCCGAGTAGCTGGGATTACAGGTATGTGCCACCACACCCAGCTAATTTTGTATTTCTAGTAGAGACAGGGTTTCTCCATGTTAGTCAGGCTGGTCTCGAATTCCCAACCTCAGGTGACCCGCCTGCCTCGGGCTCCCAAAGAAATGGGATTACAGGCATGAGCCACGGTGCCCGGCTATGTTATGTGTATTTTACTACAGTTTTTAAAAAATGTTATACACCAGTACAGAAGATACACATGGAAGATTTGCACACACACACGGAAGATGTTTTGTCTTCAGAGTTCACTTGGAGAAAGAGGGTGGGAGAAGTGCATTTAGTTCGTGGATTGTACCACCTGTGTGCCTGATGTAACACCAAATGGGTCCTCCAAAAGAAAGTTACTGATTATTCTAAGTGAAATGACAAAAGCTTTTGAAATTTATCAGCTCTAGAACTGACTCTAAAAAACTTGGGCTAGTTTTTTTCTCCTCTAAACTCTTGATCTATGATGTTTTCGATTTTAATAGGTTGAACTCATTCCAGACCAAGAAAAGGAACTGGACACTACAAGAACTCACAGAATATGATCAAGCCACTTTTGCCTCAAGCAAACACAAACATCAAAGGACTTCATTGATCAATTTTATAAAAAGTACTTTAACTTGTCAACCCTACTTTTCATCCAATTTGGTCTGAATTCTGGGAGTGGGGGTGATGGGATAGGTCATACAAACTGGAACTCCAAGAAAAGATTTTTAAAACCCCATTAAGTTTTGTTCCTTACTCTAGAAGGGTCCCTATGTCTAACGTTTAATTGTTTCATCTACAATACTATAATCCTCCTTTAAATCCAAACTCAGCTGAATATCAATACACGGTTGCTACGAATGGCTTTCCTCAGCTATCATTTCACCATGTGTCACTCTCTTCCTACTTAAGAGGTTAACTTACTTGGTCAACTTGTGGCTTTTCATTGCTGTGAGAAATTCTCTGACAATCTCAGGACTCTGGTGCCTGCACAGTGTTTTTGATATGTATTTTCACGTCTGGAAAAAGAAAAAAGCCAAACATAACACAAAGAACCCTGAATGAGAAAAAGGAAACGCAATGGCTGTAATTAAAATTCTAAAATTTTGTTTTAAAAATCCTGTACAAGCCGGGTACAGTGGCTCACACCTGTAATTCCAGCACTTTGGGAGGCCAAGGTGGCCAGACTACCCAAGGTCAGGAGTTCGAGACCAGCCTGGCCAACATGGTGAAACGCCATATCTACTGAAAATACAAAAAAAAAGCTGGGCATGGTGGTGCATGCCTGTAATCCCGGATACTAGGGAGGCCGAGGCAGAAGAATCACTTGAACCCAGGAGGCAGAGGTTGCAATGAGCTGAGATCGCACCACAGCACTCCAGCCTGGGTGACAGAGTGACACTCTGTCTCAATAAATAAATAAATAAATAAATCCTGTATAAAACAAGCAAAGAGGTGTTCAGGAGAACCAATCTTCATGTAATTGGAATTCCTGAAAGAGAAAACCAGTAGCTAGGACAGGAAGAATAAGTAATGAAATTTTAGGAGAAAACTTTTCTGATGTTAAAAAAAAAAAAAAAACTCACTCTGACAATTATGTTATATTTCGGACAATTTTTTTAAAGGGGGAACCCAAAGAATAAAATAAATTGCCTTGAGTCTACATGGATATATACTAATGAATAAATAAATGGGTAAGAAGAGACAACTTTTTCTTATGGAAGAATTCTAACTCATATGACCTGGGTGCAGTGGTGCATACCTGTAATCCCAGCACTATGGGAGGCCAAGGCAGGAAGATCACTTGAGCCAGGAGTTTGAAACCAGCCTGAAGCAACACAGCAAAATCTAGTCTCTTAAAAAAATATATATATAAAAATCTAATAAGCATAGAAGGAATGAGAAAAATTTTTAAATCACTATCAGGCAACTGTACCATAGTTATAATTACTTCAGGAAAGATCCACCAATGAATGCTAAAATTGGTGGTTAAAAGCATAAGCAAAGGGTAGGCTGTTTTCCTAGCCACAAAGCATCTCCCAAAAAATATTTTTTAATTACTGTGGTGGTTTTAACATATATCCACAAATTCTTTGATATCCCTCCCTTCAAGAGGTGAAGCTTAATCTCCCTCTTCCCCTTGAATATGGGCTGAACTTGGTGAATCCTTTCTAACATAATATGGAAATGAAGAAACAGTAGCTTTACAGTGGACAATCCAGGCAGATACTATCTTAACCAAATGACCAAAGTTAACAATAGTAGCCATAAGAAACACCGACATTGGCCGGGCACGGTGGCTCACACCTGTAATCCCACCACTTTGGGATGCCGAGGCGGGCGGATCACGAGGTCAGGAGATTGAGACCATCCTGGCTAACACGGTGAAACCCCGTCTCTACTAAAAAAATACAAAAAATTAGCCGGGCATGGTGGCCGGCACCTGTAGTCCCAGCCACTCGGGAGGCTGAGGCAGGAGAATGGAATGAATCCAGGAGGTGAAGGTTGCAGTGAGCCAAAACTGTGCCACTGCACTCCAGCCTGGGAAACAGAGAGAGACTCCATCTCAAAAAAAAAAAAAAAAAAGAAAGAAACATCGATATCATGTACCCTGAGATATCAGGACACGAGAAGGGGAGATCACCTCTGTGGTACTCTTCCTCAAAAGCCACAGGTTCTGTGTAATCATAAGAAAACGTCAGACAATCACAAATCAAGGGACGTTCTACAAAATACTTGACCAGCCCTTCACAAGTGTCAAGGAAGACAAAGGAAGAGTAAGGACACAGAACAAATGACATTATGGGAACATGTTAACTAAATATAAAATGGTATCCTGAGCCAGGTGCGGTGGCTCACACCTGTAATCCCAGCACTTTGGGAGGCCGAGGCAGGTGGATCACAAGGTCAGGAGATTGAGGCCATCCTGGCTAACACGGTGAAACCCCGTCTCTACTAAAAATACAAAAAATTAGCCAGGTGTGGTGGCGGGCGCCTGTAGTCCCAGCTACTATCGGGAGGCTGAGGCAGGAGAATGGCGTGAACCTGGGAGGCGGAGCTTGCAGTGAGCCGAGATCATGACACTGCACTCCAGCCTGGGCGACAGAGCGAGAGAGACTCCCTCTCAAAAAAAAAAAAAAAAAAAAAAAAAAAAAAATGGTATCCTGAACTGAATCCTGGAACTCAGAAAACAGCAGTGGGAAAACAAGGTATTCAAATAAAATTTTAGCTTAGTTTAATAGTATGTACCAATGTTAATTTCTTGGTTTTTCATGGTATAGACCATGGTTATGTAAGATGTTAACATCGGAGAAAACTATGGGAAGGGTACACAAGAACTCCCAGCACCTGTCTCTACAACTTTTATGTAAGAGAAAAATGGCTGGGCGCAGTGGCTCACACCTATAATTCGAGCACTTTGGGAGCCCAAGATCGGCGGATCACCTGAGGTTGGGAGTTCGATACCAGCCTGACTAACATGGAGAAACCCCATCTCTACTAAAAATACAAAATTAGTCAGGCGAGGTGGCGCATGCCTGTAATCCCAGCTACTCAGGAGTCTGAGGCGGGACAATCACTTAAACCTGGTAGGCGGAGGTTGTGGTGAGCCAAGATCGTGCTATTGCACTCCAGCCTGGGCAACAAGAGGGAGACTCCATCTCCAAAAAAAAAAAAGAAAAATGATTTCAAAATAAAAGGTGTTTTTTTAAAATTGATTTGCAATGGTCTGATATTTTCTCATGATTACACAGAATTTGTGGCTTTTGAAGAAGAATACAGATATAATTTGAGAGGAATTATAATTACATATTTTGGGAAGAATCTGAAACTTGAAAAATAAACAATAGCCTTAAGTGTCTAAGTCCCCAGCACTTTGGAAAGATGCGGTGAGAAGATCCCTTGAGCCCAGGGATTCAAGACCACCCTGGACAACAACAAAAAAATTAGCCAGGCATGGCAGTGCATACCCATATTCCCAGCTACTTGGGAAGCTGAGCTCGGAGCACCACTTGAGCCTGGGAGGTTGAGGCTGCAGTGAGCAGTGATTCCCTTTCAAGGAGAAGTGAGAGCAATCTTTTAGACTATTCCTTCTAACTTTGTAGCTGGCTAAACACTACACTTGACCAAACTCCTCCCACTTTTATAAACAGAATAAAAATCAGGTTACAGTAAAAGTATTCAAATCAGATAAAAGGCGATCTTGATTTCAGCAGCCAGTCGTTGGGAGAATAAACCCCCCTCCCTCAATGGTACTTTAGGTAGGCCTGGCAGAAGCCCAGCCTTACTTCATAGGTGATAGTGTTCAAGTTCTGTTGCCCAGAGCTGTGTTTATTCTTTCCACTTTCTTTACGCTGCTCTTTCAGATCAGTTAGTAAATGAAACACCCAGGAGAAGATACACAAAAGAAGTTTATGAATAAATTTGAGAAATATATCTATCTAAGGTCAGTGGTTTTGAAGGATAAACAGGAAACTGTAGTACTTCCTTTCACCCGCCCATTACGCAGCTTCCAATTCTTGGATTTGAGCAAATATGAGTCCCAGAGGCATATGACATTAAAAAAATGCTCTTTTATATAAGCCAAATAATCCAAATTCATTAATTTACCTAAAATATTTCAAATATGGCCAGGTGCGGTGCCTCATGCCTGTAATCCCAGCACTTTGGGAGGCTGAGGCGGGCGGATCATGAGGTCAGGAGATCAAGACCATCCTGGCTAAAATGGTGAAACCTCATCTCTACTAAAAATACAAAAAATTAGCCAGGCGTGGTGGCAGGCACCTGTAGTCCCAGCTACTCTTGAGGCTGAGGCAAGAGAATGGCGTGAACCTGGGAGGCAGAGGTTGCAGGTTGCTGAGATCACGCCACTGCACTCCAGCCTGGGCAACAGAGCAAGACTCCATCTCAAAAAAAAAAAAACAATTTCAAACATTTCCTATGAATATACACATCACTAATCTCCTCTGATCTCAAAAATATACTATTTGAAAGCAAATTTTCTTAAAACAAATATTTTGTTAAAAAAGAATTCTGCTTCTCTAGTATAAAAATCTAACATAGGCCAGGTGCAGTGGTGCACACCTTTAATCCCAGCACTTTGGGAGGCCAAGGCAGGCGGATCACGAGGTCAGGAGATCGACACCATCCTGGCTAACACGGTGAAACCCCATCTCTACTAAAAATACAAAAAAAATTAGCCGGGCGTGGTGGCGGGCGCCTGTAGTCCCAGCTACCCGGGAGGCTGAGGCAGAAGAATGGCATGAGCCCGGGAGGTGGAGCTTGCAGTGAGGCGAGATCATGCCACTGCACTCCAGCCTGGGCGACAGAGTGAGACTCAATCTCAAAAAAAAAAAAAAAAAAAAAATCTAACATAATAATTTCTTTCTGGAAAAGAAAAATTTTGAAGCAAGTGATAAGACAGAGTTTACCAAAAAAAGGGGAGGAAAAAATGCTATGGATTTTTAGAAGCAAACTTTCCCCACAAGGATAAAACATGCATGCATTAGAGTGCTGGAGGCAGGGGGGAATCTCAGTCTCATTCCTGTTTTAGAGATTCTACCACAGAAGTGAAGAAAATGCAGGCTCACACACCATCACTAAATACAATGCGACCCCTCTCATCTGCTGTTCCTTTCAGAAATAGTGGCATGAGATCAATGAATGCAATGTTTCCCCAATGGATAAAACACCCAAACGCCTAGCAAAGTCCAAACTGGACAAGGAGGCTCCTAAAAGCCAAAGGCTTGGCCAAAAACCATTCAACCATTTCCTTCCTGTTCTAAGCTGCAACCACTTGAGACTGAGCCTTTAGAGAGGAAAGAATATGGCCAACTCTGTTTATTCTACTACCTTCTTTTCTTTTGGGGGGATGTGGAAGGGAGGCGGTTTCTTTCTTTTTGCTGTCTTCCACTCTGGGAGCTTTTTTTAGGGGACAGGGTCCCAAAGGCTGTCTCCCAGGCTAGAGTACAGTGGTCATCACTGTAACCTCAAACTCCTGGGCTGAAGCAAACCTCCCCTCTGCCTTCCAAGTAGCTAGGACCATAGTAGGTGTTTGCTACCATGCCCAGCTAATTTATTTTTTTAAGAGCTGGGGGTCTTGCTAGGTTTCCCAGGCTGATCTCTAACTCATAGCCTCAAGCAGTCTTCTCTCCTTGGCCTTCCAAAGTGCTGAGATTACAGGCATGAGCCACAGCACTTAAGCTACTACCTTCTAGACCTCCTCTGAGTCTTCCTGAGTTTAGACTCTAGCACATGGAAAATTCACAGTCAAGGTATAAATGGTTCTTTCTACACCTGGAGTGAGCCTATCAGATGGTTTTGCTAGTGCCAAATAGGAGGCAAAAATGCTGGAATATCTTCCGTCTTACCAATCTTTTTCCTTCTTTTCCTTTCCCTGGGAACCCCACCCTAGGCCCCAAAAATTATAAATTTGTTAATTTCTACTATTCAGAAAGGTGAGTCAACTAAACTCACTTTCAAAATAACAATGTTAATACCCAAAAGACTATTTGAAGATTAAAATAACAATGTATAAAAGCATTATAAATATATAAATATATCAAGGGTGATAATTAGGAAAAAGCATAAATATTTCAATGGGAAATTTTGCAGAAACAGCTCTAAAATAGATGCTTCTATCCTATGACTACATCCCAAATGATTATCTAGAATCTTTGAGATTTACTGAAATTTGCCTGCTCTGAATTAGAGTCTTCCCAGCTTCCCTGAAGTACTACGTATACGTATAACATATAAAGCTTAGACTATTCCAAGGTCCACTAGATGGTGCCACATGTCTTGTTTTGAAGTGGAAAATTCAACTACATCCTTTTTTTTTTTTTTTTTTTTGGAGACAGAGCCTGGCTCTATTGCCCAGGCTGGAGTGCAGTGGCGTGATCTTGGCTCATTGCAACCTCCCCCTCCCAGGTTCAAGTGATCCTCCTACCTCAGTTGGGATCCCAAGGAGCTGGGACTACAGGCACGTGCCACCACAGCTGGCTAATTTTTGTATTTTTAGTAAAGATGGGGTTACACCATGTTGACCAGCCTGGTTTCGAACTCCTGACCTCAAGTGATCCATCTGCCTCAGCCTCCCAAAGTGCTGGGATTATAGGCGTGAGCCATTGCACCTAGTCTGAATTCAGTCATTTCTAACCAAAATCAATTCAACAATCTTACAAGCAAAGGGCAAATTATCAGAGAGGAAAATGTAACAGTTCAATTTACCACGTAGTTACTGAGAAGCGCAGAATCGACATCCTTCCTGAAAAAGAAAAGTAAGTTATCAGTCTGGGCTCACACCCCTTTCTGGGTATCAAATATCTGTAAAAGAATTCCCATCTGCCGGGCGCTGTGGCTCACACCTGTAATCCCAGCACTTTGGGAGGCCAAGACGGGCGAATCACATGGTCAGGAGATTGAGACCATCCTGGCTAACACAGTGAAACCCCGTCTCTACTAAAATGCAAAAAATTAGCCAGGTGTGGTGGCGGGCGCCTGTAGTCCCAGCTACTCAGGAGGCTGAGGCAGGAGGATGGCATAAACCCAGGAGGCGGAGTTTGCAGTGAGCAAAGATCACGCCACTGCACTCCAGCCTGGGCGACAGAGCGAGACTCCGTCTTAATAATAATAATAATAATAATAATAATTCCTGTCAAGTTGGGGGCCAGGCACGGTGGCTCACACCTGTAATCCCAGCACTTTGGGAGGCCGAAGCAGGCGGATCATGAGGTCAGGAAATCAAGACCATCCTGGCTATCATGGTGAAACCCCGTTTCTACAATCAATCAATCAATCAATCAATAAAATACAAAAAAAAATCAGCCGGGCGTGGTGGCAGGTGCCTGTAGTCCCAGCTACTCGGGAGGCTGAGGCAGGAGAATGGCATGAACCGGGGAGGCAGAGCTTGCAGTGAGCCGAGATCGCGACACTGCACTCCAGCCTGGGCAACACAGAGAGACTCTGTCTCAAAAAAAAAAAAAAAAAAAAAGAATTCCTGTCAAGATGTAGTAGTCCGCTTTTAGAATTTGGGGACTACCACCTAAAACTGAAACTGAGAAATGTCTTAAGTCCAACATGGTTTAGCTAGCTGTGGGCAATTTCAGAGCAGACTTGGGAACAAAGTGCTGTCCCATCCAACAGCCATGTCCTCTCCCCATTATTATCTGCCTCCCATCAGCTATTGACATCTTGGGCAGCCACGTCCTCCTGCTGAATCAACAGAAATGGCCCACTTAACACCAATGTCACCACTGGGAATTCCAGCCATGGGCAAGTATCCTGCCAAATATCCACCATGCTCCCAGGGTGTTCACCACCTACGTCAACTCAACAGGTACAGTCAGGGTGGCAAGCAGTGGCCAAAAGCCTGGTTCCCTGTGTAACAGTTAATCCAGGCAATATGCCATCTTTCCTGAGTGAAGAAACAACAATGTGATGTATATTAAATCACAATCGATCCACTCTACAATAGCATATCAGAAAGCATTGTTTTCAGCAGTCTGCAGGCAGTGGAGTATGACAAAGAATATAGTTTTGAAATCAGATTTGGGTTCACATTCTAGCTCTGCCATTTATATGCTGTGAGAGTTTTAGTTAATTACTCCCTAAGTTTTCCTTCTAAACTAAAAATGGGATGAAACTAGTATCTAAAAGTGTGGCCTGGATTTCAATCCAGCTCTTGCATTCTTTGGCTATGTGAATCTGGGCAAGTTACTTAATCTCATTATGCTTAAATTTCCTATCTATCAAATGGCAATTATAGTATCAACCTTGTAAGACTGTTCACAGGGTTCACTGGAAACATGTAAAATACCCGGAACATATTAAGTGCTCAATAAGCACCAACGTTATCATTACTACTACCTGTGCAACTACCACTACCACCAGCTCCTCCTACCTCATCAAACTGTTATGATGAAGTGAGACAACAAATTTTAAAAGTTTAGCACAGTTCTTGGTACTTGTATTAACATCTCCATAATGGAAGGTTATTATTTTTAAAAGATATTATCTCAGTTAATTGTCATTAAAAACCCTATGATGTAGAAGCTATTCGTATGATTCCTACTCTATAGACAGGAAGCCAAGGTTCAGAAATTAAATAACTTGCTCAAGGTCACACAGTAAGAAGTCTAAATAAAGTGGAAGGCAACTATGGAGTTGTGGGAAATGAGACTGGACTGGATGAATGGAAACTGGTAATGCAGAATCCTGAAAAATCAGGTAGAGGGGTCTGTGCTTGACATATTGTGCAACAGAGACCCCTGTATGTCTTAAACCAGGAGTGCAGTGAGATGATGCAAATGATGACCCAAGATTTCAAAAGCATGGGCCAAACAGATAGTTGATTTCCCAGTCAATAAATAAAGCAAAACCAACAGTGGTTCACACAGGGCTCAACCTAGGCCTTAGGTCATCAGCACAGTGATGTCAGCACTGTAATCAAATCAGCTCTGTGAAGCTTACCAAATGCTACCAGTGATTCAAGCTACGATTTCACAAAAGTGCTGCTTTGCCCAAATGACCACAAACACACTGAAGTCACAAAGAGTATCATATTTGAAAGGAATCTAACACAGGAAAGACAATGCATAATTAGTGCATGTGACAGAGCTCATTTAAAATTGAAAATGACAAATCAAACCACATGTCATCTTTGCCTGCTTAATCAGGAAATCAGCCCACTGGCTTCCTCCTATCTTTGCTTGAAATTGAGTTATAACTCCCTGTGCTCTCCAAAATATGAGGCGTTAAGACATCCCTTCCTGGAATAGTTAACTGGAGAAAAAATATGAATATTGTTTCTCTTCAGGACCAACGGATCCATCCCAGGTGCACCGTTACAATTTCATTTCCAAATCATTGCCCCTTCTCTGTCATTCAGAATATTGCACGCTCTGCGAAAATTTGTCCTTGGCCATTCCAAGTTACTATGCCACTGAAAAAGTCAATACTGTAATGTAAGAATCCAAAGAACATTCTTTGCCTCTTCTAGAACAAATATAAAGGAGGAAAACTCTCTTTCACATAAGTTTTAATGAATCTGTGTTTTGGGATCAAGAGAACAATCGATGTTTACACAGGTACTGCATTTTGCAGACTCTGGCTGACAGAAACTGATTTATTCATTGATTTTCTTTTATCAGCAAGATAATTGTTTTTAACCCAGCTAAATACTCTGACAAAATGCCAATGTATGCTAGGCCCTTCTTTATTTAACAAAAGGTCAAGAGGTACCTTATCTACCTTTTTATGAAGTCCTAAACGGGCTGTATGTGTTGTGGAATTTTTTTTTAAGGCAGTTTTTACCCTTGAGAAGTTACTGTAACCACACTAAATGACAGGTTGTTGGCAACAGGATATGGTGAAACCAGACAGACATCAACTTAATCAAGTTATCCAATTTCACAGCACCAATAATGATGTGATGCATGAGAAAGACATCCCTCAGAGCAATCCAGCCCCAAGATGTTTAATTCAAATCTATCCATGAGGATATAATCAGAGAATTCCAAATTGAGGAACAGTCTTCAAAACAACTGGGTTAGATTTAGACTCTTCAAATATCAATGTCATTTGTCACAGTGCCAATGTCACAAAAAGAAGCTAAGTAAACTTCCAGAGGAAAGGAAATTAAAGAAACATGACAACTAAATGCAATGTGTAGTTCTTCACTGGATCCTGAATTGGGAGGAAAAAGAACACTATTAGGACAACTGAAGGAATGTGAGTTTACATTGCATCTTTTTTTTTTTTTTTTTTTTTGAGACAAAGTCTGGCTCTGTTGCCCAGGCTGGAGTGCAATGGCACGATCTCGGCTCACTGCAACCTCCGCCTCCCAGGTTGAACCAATTCTCCCACCTCAGCCTCCCAAGTAGCTGGGACTACAGGAATGCACCACCACACCTGGCTAATTTTTGTATTTTCAGTAGAGATGGGGTTTCATCACGTTGGCCAGACTGCTCTCCAACTCCTGACCTCAAGTGATCCGCCCGTCTCAGCTCCCAAAGTGCTGGGATTACAGGCATGAGCCACCGCACCTGGCCTACATTGTATCTTAATAATAGTAGATATATCAGCGCTAAGTTTCCTGAGTGTGATAAGGCGACTGTAGCTACATAGAATGCCCTTTTCCAAGAAGGGGTGAAATGATCTGCTGTCTACAACTCTCTAATGGTTCAGTAAAGTAAGTGTGTGCACCTGTGTATGGAGAGAAAGCTCATGCCTGTGCAAAAGAAATAAGGGAATTCCAGGCACGGTGGCTCACACCTGTCATCCCAGCTATTCCGAAGGCTGAGAAAGGAGGATCGCTTCAGCCCGGAGTTTAGATCCAGCCTGGGCTCAAGTGTCTCTAATTAAAAAAAAAAAAAAAGAAAGAAAGAAAGCCAACCTGGCCAACATAGTGAAACTCTGTATCTACTAAAAATACACAAAATTAGCTGGGTGTGGTGGCAGGCGCCCGTAATCTCAGCTACGCAGGAGGCTGAGGCAGGAGAATCACTTGAACCTGGGAGGTGGAGGTTGCAGTGAGCCAAGATGGCAACACTGCACTCCAGCCCAGGCGACAGTGTGAGACTCCCTCTCAAAAAAAAAAAAAAAAAAAAAAAGAAGGGAAGGGGGAAGGGGGAAGGGTAGCAAATACCCAAATCAAAATGTTAACAAGTGGTGACTTCAGGTAATGAGTATAATACAGGTATTTGTGGTACTGTTTTTGCAGCTGTTTCACAGGTTTAAAATTTTTCATGCTAAGAAGTTAAGGAATATGAAAATGTAAAACTAAAATAAAGAATGCCATAAAGTTAAAAATAAAATTACTGTAACTTATAATTGAGGATGTAAAATACATTTGCCCCAAAAGTTTTTTTTGTTTTGTTTTGTTTTCTTTTTTTTCTTTTTTTTTGAGATGGAGTTTTGCTCTTGTTGCCCAGGCTGGAATGCAATGGCCCAATCTCATCTCACTGCAACCTCCACCTCCCGGGTCCAAGCGATTTTCCTGCCTCAGCCTCCCAAGTAGCTGAGATTAACAGGCATGTCCCAGCTAATTTTGTATTTTTCGTAGAGATGGGGTTTCTCCATGTTGGTCAGGCTAGTCTCGAACTCCTGACCTCAGGTGATTCCCCCCCCACCGTGGCCTCCCAAAGTGCTGGGATTACAAGCATGACCTACTGCTCCAGGTCTTCAAAAGTGTTTTAGAGCTAGTAGAACTTAATGGACACATCTAGCAATTATAAATGTACAAGCTGTAGATCTCTACAAAGCTGGAACTGTCTGCTCTACAGCTCACACTTTAGTATTATGTAATACGTTCACATGCAATCAGATTTCCAGAAACTGCTTACCTATACAAAAACTTCATATTCTCCTGTAGGACTTAGAATAGTACTTATTTTATTTACATGTGTTTAAAGCAAATACTCCAAACGCATTTTAAAGACTGTCTAAATTTATACTACAGGCAGGCAGTTACTTAATTTCCTTAAGTAATGAATTAGATGACTGAAGTTGACTTTCTAGTTGACATTTAATTTGTAAAATTTGCTTAACTTGGTGAGTCAATTAAATGGATATAAACAATTCAGTTTATTCGGAAACTGAATTCCGAATAAACAGAACAAAATGATCTCTTGGTGAACTTTCCTCAGAAGCACACACATACACAAACGGCACATGCAAACAGTGCCTATTAATTGCCACACAGTCAACTCTTACGCAGGCAACGACGAAAAGAATTGCTCAAATTCTCCTATGCCCAGCCTATGCTATCAAGTCATGCTCTGAAAAACTAAAGTCTGGTACAAGCAAACTGGGCAGCTTCTGAAGTCAATGAACAACTTAACCTGTAGCATTCTCTTGGGAGCTAGCAAACGAGTATCCTCTTTGCAGTCCTGTTACTGGGATGTTATAGTACCTATTACCCACCTTTTCTAAATATCAGTATTTCCAGCTGTGAAAAGAAAGAAATCCTGACACTACCTCAAAAAGATGGTACAGAAGATAGTGTCCATTTTCCTAATTATATATATTACATTCAAGAATAAAAGAGTGGGCTGCGGGCGCGGTGGCTCACGACTGTAATCCCAGTACTTTGGGAGGCTAAGGCGGGCGGATCATGAAGTCAGGAGATCGAGACCATCCTGGCTAACACAGTGAAACCCCGTCTCCACTAAATATACAAAAAAATAGCTGGGCGTGGTGGCAGGCGCCTGTAGTCCCAGCTACTCGGGAGGCTGAGGCAGGAGAATGGCATGAACCTGAGAGGCAGAGCTTGCAGTGAGCCGAGATCACGCCACTGCACTCCAGCCTGGGCGACAGAATGAGACTCCGTCTCAAAAAAAAAAGTGGGCTGCGCGGTGGCTCACACCTGTAATCCCAGCACTTTGGGAGGCCAAGGTGGGCGGATCATGAGGTCAAGAGATTGAGACCATCCTGGCCAACATGATGAAACCCTGTCTCTACTAAAAATACAAAAAAGTTAGTCAGGTGTGGTGGCGGGCGCCTGTAATCCCAGCTACTCGGGAGGCTGACGCAGGAGAATCGTTTGAACCCAGGAGGCAGAGGTTGCCACGAGCTGAGTTCGCACCACTGCACTCCAGCCTGGTTGATGGAGCAAGACTGTCTCAAAATAAATAAACAAATAAATAAAAAGAATAAAAGAGTTGACACAAACCTTTCCAGCCATATCAATGATCATTTATAGACAAAGTTAGCCAAATAGTAAATACCTAATATACAGAAATACCTAACTTTGCTATATAAATATTTTGCATGGTGGCACATACCTGTAGTCCCAGCTAGTCAGGAGTCTGAGGCAGGAGAATCGCTTGAACCCAGGAGGTAGAGGTTGCAGTCAGCCGAGATCGTGCCATTGCACTGCAGCCTGGGTGATAAGAGCGAAACGCCGTCTCAAAAAAAAAGAAGAAATTTCTGGTATTATTATTATTATTATGTATTAGTTACTTAGTAGGTATTTCCTCAATCAGAATTTTAAAAAGTAGCAAAAACTTAGAGGAGTTGTTCATTGTGCCTCCTCGCTTCAGGTTCTGGGAGTGTCTGATAGAGTTACAATATACAGGCATCCTCTGGTATGTATCGGAGATTGATCCCAGGACCCCCACATACACCAAAATCCGAACATGCTTGTGTCCCAGAGAGCCTTGCAGAACCAGCAGCTAGGAAGCCAGCTCTCCACATATGCAGGTATATTCTCATCCCTCAAATACTGTATTTTCATTCTCTGCGTTTGGTTGCAGATGTGGAACCTGCAGATATGGAGGGCCAACTGCATTTATTTTTTAAAATCTGCGTATAAGGAGATCCATGAAGTTCAAGCTCGTGTTGTTCAAGGGTCAACTGTATCTGCAACTCAAGGTTCTGCTAAAGATCCTAAGGAGCAGACTTCCAAAGGTCACGCCTCCTGTTGAAGACCAGGTGAGGACCAGAAGTTAGGCTTCCAGACCTTTCCACTCCAGGGCCCTTCCACTCCCAAATCACATGTCTATCTCAGGAAACCTCATTTTCCCATGAATTACTGGCTGCAAAATTCTTGATTGGTTACAGGAAGTCACTGACTACTTGGCAGAAGTGGACAGGCTGTTACAAGAACAAAAACCCCTTGATTCAAACCATTTCACTTAGGAAAATCAGAAAATATACACGCCTAGCAACTAGGATGCTAGCTAATGAATTTATACAGTCGGCTCTCCTTAGCCTCAGGTTCCACATCCTTAGATTCAACCAACCTGGAATGAAAAACATGCAAAAAAAATGTTTAAGAAAATGCTACATTGTTGCTGACATGTACTATGTAGTTAGGCCTAGGATGGCTGCCTCTACACTGAACATGGATAGACTGCTTTTTGTCATTATTCCCTAAACAACACAGTACAACAACTATTTACACAGCCTTTACATTGCATCATGTATTATAAGTTGGTTGAGAATCAAACTGGTTTTCCTCTGCTCTCACCTGACAACAATCAACACAGAAGACTTCTGTGACCAGATGCGTGGGGATTTTTCTCTATCAATAAGTAAGCCATCAATTCTGCAGCCAGCACTAGCTGGGTACCTTCCAATCCAATTCAATTCGGACACTAACTATCTGAAAACAGTGTCAGATTCCACAGGCTGAGGGCTCAGTCCCAGAAGACTGCTCCTACTTCAGACACCAGTCACACAGGTCAGGGCCTCCAGAACTTCTCAATGGCGGGCTTCAAGCTGCAGTTCCCAGGACCTCCTCTTTAGGCTTCATTAATTTGAACACTTACTTAGGTTTACTGATTTATTATAAAGGGTATTACCAAGGATACAGATTAAGTGGTGCACAGGATGAGGGATGGAGAGGGGGCACAGAGCTCTCTGCCCTCCCCAGGCATACCACCATCCAGAAACTTCCACCTGTTAGGCTATCCAGAAGTTCTCTTGGGCATTTTGTAGAGATTTCACTAGAGAGAGATTATTGAAGCATGACCAACCTCACAGTAACTGATTGGATAAAGAGTGTCATCTAACTGAGTGCAGAAACCCAGCAAGGCCCATCCAGATTCTCCTTGGCCTCTCTCTATTTCTTCCTCCTGGGTAAGGGGCACGACCCCCTCTGAAACGGGGGTCTTGTAACCTAAAATCAGACAAGATACTTCAGAGATTTCTTTACGGCCAGCTCTAAGACAGAAAGGCAGGGGATGATTAGAGGGCAAGAGACAGATCTTCTGTTTTCTGAGGCCTGCTTCTGAGGCTTAGAGTGCCCCAACATTCTAACAAAAGACTGTCCTTCACCTTTACTGCTCTGAAGCTGTTCCAAGGCCACTTCAGGAACCATGGACAAAGGACAAATACTTTAACAAAAGTTATGCTTACTGTTTTAGTCATTTAGAAAGTAACAAGGACTATGGCAGTTATGAGCCAGGAACCATGGACAAAAACTGGTATTACATGTCATGGTATCATAATAAGGCATCTAGAGATGATTTAAAGTATATGGGAGAATATGCATAGATCATATGCAAATACTACACCGTTTTATATCAGGGACTTGAGCATCTGTGAATTTTGGTATACGCAGGGGGTCCCGGAACCAATCCCCCAAAGATGCTGAGAGATGACTATATTTATGAAGCTAATAAAGTATTGTTATATTACTTTATTGAACAAGTATTTGCTGAATGCCTACTGTGTGCCAGATGCAATGCTAAGCACTAGGTGAACAGACACTGGTCCCCACCCTCCAAACAAGTAAGCATACATTTATCACTGCAACTTGTAATTATTTGAGGGAAAGTAAATCAAGGTGCTATGAGAGACAAAAAGAGCTTATGTTAGTTAGACTTACTGAAGAGGAAAGGCAACTTTGAAAAGGGACACAACCCAAGTAGAGAACAGGTGGCCAGGTGTGGTGGCTCATGCCTGTAATCCCAGCACTTTGGGAGGCTGAGGCAGGCAGATCACCTGAGGTCAGGAACTCAAGACCAGTCTGGCCAACATGGAAACCCTGTTTCTCCTAAAAATACATAAATTAGCTGGGCATGGTGGCACACACCTGTAATCCCAGCTACTTGGTAGGGTGAAGCAGGAGAATCCCTTGAACCCAGGAGGCCAGGAAGCAGAGGTTGCAGTGAGCTGAGACTGCACCACTGGACTCCAGCCTGGGTGACAGAGGAAGATTCCATTAAAAAAATTAAAAATAAATAAATAAGAAGATGAGAACAGGGCGAGGGCGAGGGCGAGGAGGAAAGTATACCAGACAGAGGGTACCGCAACGCAATGGTACTCAGGAAGTGCTTAGAAGGTTAGAGGAGAAGGAAATACCTGTCAGTGGAAAGTGTGTGTCTAGGAGGTTGGGAGAGTGGCAAGTGGTAAGGCTGGGGAGTAGGTGAGGTTTTACAGGGTCTTGCAGGTCCTGGTAATAGATGGAGATTTCCTCTAAGTGCAATGGAAAGTCAATGAAGGGTTTTATCCAGGGGTGACATGTTCCAATCATTACTTAAGATCACTCCAGTTGCCATGTGGAGAACAGAATGGAGGCTGGGGAAGAGTGAACACTCAAAGGCTATTGCTTAATCCAGCCCAGAGGTGATGGACTATAAAGCTAACAGTGGAGATGCTGAAAAGTAACTGCATTCAAAATACATTCTAGGGTGGAGACAACAGGACCACTGATGGACTGGATTTAGGAAGTGAGGAGAGAGGGCTAGATTTTTGGTCTATGCAATTGGATAGATGATGAGAAGAAGGTTAGAAACATATCTTTGGGAACTATCAGCACATAGATGGGTTAAATGACAGAGTGTGGAGAGAAAGGGTCCCAGGACTGAGCCCTAAGATACTTCAACACTTAGACATCAAGCAAGGGAGGAACGAGACCCAGGGAAGGACACTGTGAAGTAGTCCTTGATGTAGGAGGAAATATCAAAAGGGAGCATATATCACAAAGAAAAGAAAGTTTCTAGAGTTTCTGTATTAACCACTGCTGAGAGATCAAGAAAGTTGAGGCCAGAAAATCAACATCTGCATTTGACAAGATGGAGGGATCAGGTTTTTGTTTTTGTTTTTTTTTTGAAACAGTCTTGCTTTGTCACCCAGGCTGCAGTGCAGTGGCACAATCTGGTTCACTGCAACCTCTGCCTCCCGAGTTCAAGTGATTCTCCTGCCTCAGCCTCCTGAGTAGCTGAGATTACAGGTGCCCACCATCACACCCGGCTAATTTTTGTATCTTTAGTAGAGACGGGGTTTCGCCATGTTGACCAGGCTGGTCTCAAACTCTTGACCTCAGACAATTGGCCCATCTTGGCCTCCTGAAATGCTGGGATTATAGGCGTAAGCCACTGCGCCCCACTGGATCAGGTAATGTTAACAGTCATTTCTGTAGACCAGTGAGGATGAAAGCCCAACAGAATGGTTGAGAGAATGAGGGTCTAATCAGCACTTTCAAGAAGTTTTGTTGGGATGGGAAGCAGAAATGGAGTAAGAGGTGGACATGTGGCCAGGTGTGGTGGCTCACACCTGTAATCCTAGCACTTTGGGAAGCCGAGCTGGGCTGATTGCCTGAGCTCAAGAGTTTGAGACCAGCCTGGGCAACATGGTAAAACCCCATCTCTACTAAAATTCCAAAAAGAAAAAATAAGCTGGGCATGGCGGCATGCACCTGTAGTCCCAGCTACTCGGCAGGCTGAGGCAGGAAAATTGCTTGAACCCAAGAGGCTGAGGTTGCAGTGACACAAGATGGTGCCACTGCACTCCAGCCTGGCAACAGAGCAAGACTCCGTCTCAAAAAAAAAAAAAAAAAAAAAAAGAGGCTGACATGTATGTGAGGACAGGATTTTCTTAAGATGAATACACTAAAGCAGGATTGTATGCTCACAGGAAATGCTCTAGTAAGTAGGGAAAAATTAGTAATGATGGCTTATACAAGAGTAAAATATATTAATAGTTTTTCAGGTTGCAGATGAAATCCCATCAGTAGGTTGCAAAATTAATTCAGTAGGTCAACTTATTTTTATTTTTATTTTTTTTTTAGACAGAGGCTTGCTCTGCCACTCTGGCAGGAATGTAGTGGCTGGATCTCAGCTCATTGCAGCCTCCTGGGATCAAGCGGTCCTCCCATCTCAGCCTCGTAAGTAGCTGAGACTACAGGCATGAACCACCACACTCAGCTAACTTTTTTATTTTTTGCAGACACAGGGTCTCCCTATGTTGCCCAGGCTGGTCTCTACCACCCAGGCTCAAGTGATCCTCCTGCCTACGCTTCCCAAAGTGCTGGCATTACTGGTATGAGCCACACGCTTGGCCCCATTCATTTTAACAAAAAAATAAACAATATGAGAGTGTACGCCATACATTATTGTTTCATGAGCCTTTCATTTCAGTTACACAGACATATTATGTTACGTCAATAAAAAAAAAAAACTCAAAAGGAGCCAGGTGAGGTGGCTCACACCTGCAATCCCAGCACTTTGGGAGTACAAGGCAGGAGGATCACTTGAGCTCAGTATCACCTTGAGACCAGCCTAGGCTGTAGTGAGACCCTCTGTCTACAAAAACTTAAAAAAAAAAAAATGAACAGTGAGTGATGGTGTGGGCCTGCAGTCCCAGCTACCGGAGAGGCTGAAGCAGGATTGCTTGAGTCCAGAAGGTCGAGGCTGCAGTGAACCATGATTACACCACCACACTCCCACTGGTGGACACAGCAAGACTCTGTTTCTTAAGAAAAAACAAAATTAATTAATTAAAAATATAAACATCTGAAATGCCATAGTACATATAACCATTAAACATGAGGCAAGAGAACGTGAAGGAAACTGTATCAGTCAGTTCACAGAGAACACAAGTTAGGTAATACCTACAAGTTAATATCAATCATATAAAACCCACATTCGGAGTAGATGCAAAAACTTCCATTTGCACTAGGCGCAACGAACAAGCACGGAAAAGACCACGTGGAGTTAAACTGTCAGAAAACCTTTTACCCTCGCCTGTACACACCCACACACCCCGTGCTGTTTCTCCGGTCCCAGTCCTGGCTCACATCCTTCCCTTCTCCACCCAAAAACTCGCCCCTTCCCTCACAGTGTTGACTGTTCCCATCAAACTCTGAGGGCAGCTCTTCGGAGTGAGGGCTCCCCAGGGCCCGGTGGGGCAAGCAGAGCTCTACCTGGACCTGATTCGTCTCTCCTCCACCTACTTTCAGGGCGGACAGACTCAGGCCTTTACAGCCTGCTAAGTCCCGGGTCGGATACCAGGCTGGGCTCCACCCCCGCACTGTGACCCAGAAACGCTGGTAAATGAATGAGAGAAGGAGGGGGCACATTGAAAGGCAGCCGGACACGGAGGTGCTCGGCCCCGCACCCCAGACACAGGTTGTGGAGGTTCGGAGGGGCTTGAGTCCCGTTCGTCCCTGTCCCTATCCCGGGGCCCTCCCGGACAGGGCCAGCCAGCCCCCTGCCCTCACTTCCGTACGAGGGTCGCCCAGTCCCCACGGCTCTCGGCTCTCAGAGGTCCAACTGTTAGGCTCCTCGCGTACCAAAAGGGACGCGTCCAGACTAGAGTCTGGACTTCCATGAGGTCCAGACTCGTCGCCTCTGGCTGCCAGCAGACAAGGAACTTCACACTCTACAGCTCTCCCCACCGTCGCCAACAGCGCCAAAGTGCCAGCTCCGCACGCCAAGGTGCAAGCCAGGAGCGCCGCGCTTCATGCCGGGAGCTTGGCGGACTCGGAACCTCGCGCCGCAGGTTCTCCTTTCTCGGGGGTGGGGGTGTTGGGGGGGGTGGGGGCGTGTTCCTGTATCCTTCGCCCAGGCCGACTTCAGACTGCTGAGCGTTTGCGGACAGGATTATCTCGTGTTTTCTATTGTTTGTTTGTTTGTTTTGAGACGGAGTCTTGCTCTGTCGCCCAGGCTGTAGTGCAGTGGCGCGATCTCGGTTCGCTGCAGCCTCTGCCTCCCGGGTTCAAGCAATTCCCTGCCTCAGCCTCCCAAGTAGCTGGGATTACAGGCACCCGCCACCATGCCCGGCTGATTTTTGTATTTTTTATTAGAGACAGGGTTTCACCATCTTGGCCAGGCTGGTCTTGACCTCCTGACCTCGTGATCCACCTGCCTCAGCCTCCCAAAGTGATGGGATTACAGGCATGAGCCACCGTGCCCGGCCACCTGGCTAATTTTCTTTTTTTCTTTTTTCTTTTTTTGAGACGGAGTCTGGCTCTGTCACCCAGGCTGGAGTGCAGTGGCGCAATCTCGGCTCACTGCAAGCTCTGCCTCCCAGGTTCACGCCATTCTCCTGCCTCAGCCTCCCGAGTAGCTGGGACTACAGGCGCCGGCCACCCTGCCCGGCTATTTTTTTTTTTTTTTTTAGTAGAGACGGGGTTTCACCGTGTTAGCCAGGATGGTCTCGATCTCATGACCTCGTGATCCGCCCACCTCGGCCTCTCAAAGTGCTGGGATTACAGACGTGAGCCACCGCTTCTGGCCCCCTCTGGCTAATTTTCTAAAAAAAAATTATTTGCTGTCCAAAGGGTCAGCTAGAATTTTTCTTTTATTTTTTTGTAGAGATGGGAGAGTCTCTATGTTGCCCAGGCTGGTCTTGAACTCCTGGCCTCAAGTGATCCTCCCACCTCCACCTCCCAAAGTGCTGGGATTACAGGTGTGAGCCACCGCAATGGCCTTTGTTCCCTCCTTTGTAAATAATAAATGTGTTAGATAATCCTCATAAAGTGCCTGGCACTTTATTAATTACTGTGGCAGTACAACCATGACTCTCTGTGAAGTAGATTCCTTTATTATTGACATTTTATAATTGAAGAAACTGAGGCAGTCTTGGAGAGATTATGATTTACCAAAAGTCACTCATCTAGGAACTTGTCCGGTGGGTATTGAACCCCAGTCAATCTGAACAAACACAACAGATGCATTAACTAGAGACTGGTGAGTGGATGAATAAAATGTACTACATTTGTACAATGGAAAACTATTTAAAAATAAAAAGGAGGCCAGGCTTGGTCCCAATACTTTGGGAGGCGGGGGCAGGATTTCTTGAGACCAGGAGTTCCAGACCAGCCTGGGCAACATAGCCAGACCCCCTATCTACAAAAAGTTAGCCAGGTGTGTGGTGGTGAGCACTTGTAGTCTCAGGTACTGGGGAGGCTGAGGTGGAAGAATCACTTCAGTCGGGAGGTCGAGGCTGCAGGGAGCTATGATCATATCACTGCATTCCAGCCTACAGAGTGAGAGACCTTGTTGCAAAAAATACATATAGATAGATGGATAGATACATGCTACAACATGGATAACCTCCCAAAACATGACGCTATTAATAAGTGAAAGACGCCACACACAAAATAATACATATCACCTGGCCACGTGGCTCATGCCTATAATCCTAGCACTTCAGGAAGCCAAGGCGGGTGGTTCATCTGAGATCAGGAGTTCAAGACCAGCCTGGCCAACATGGTGAAACTCCATCTCTACTGAAAATACAAAAATTGCCAGGCACAGTGGCTCACGCCTGTAATCCCAGCACTTTGGGAGGCCGAGACAGGCAGATCATGAGGTCAGGAGTTCGAGACCAGCCTGGCCGACATAGTGAAACCCCGTCTCTGCTAAAAAAACAAAAATTAGCCGGGCATGGTGGCAGGCGCCTGTAATCCTAGCTACTTAGGAGGCTGAGGCAGGAAAATTGCTTGAACCCGGGAGGCAGAGGTTGTGGTGAGCCAAGATTATGCCACGGCACTCCAGCCTGGGCGACAGAGCAAGACTCCTTCTAAAAATATATATACATACCGTATGATTCACTTTATATAGAATGTCCAAGAAGAGGCCAATCTATGGATACAGAAAGAAGGCTAGGAGAGGGGTTGGGTGCAGGGATGGGCAGTGACTGCTAATAGATATGGAGCTTCTCTTTGGGAAACGAAAATGTCCTAAAAGTATTATGGATGGCGGTGGTGGTTGCACAACCCTGTGAATATACTGAAAACATTGAGTTGTACACTTTAAATGGCAAATTGTACAGCATATGAATCCTATATTAATAAAGCTGTTAAACATTTTTTACTCGGCTGAGCATGGCGGCCCACACCTGTAATCCCAGCACTCTGGAAGATGAAGGCAGGTGGATCGCTTGAGCCCAGTTTGAGACCAGCCTGAGCAACGTGGCAAAACCTCATCTTTACGAAAAAAAAGAAATTAACCAGCGCAGTGGCTCGCACCTGTAACCCCAGCTACTCAGGAGGCTGAGGCAGGAGAATCGCCTGAACCCAGGAGGCAGAGGTTGCAGATCGCGCCACTGCACTCCAGCCTGGGTGACAGAGCAAGACTCCATCGCAAAACAATAACAACGGCCAGGCGCGGTGGCTCACACCTGTAATCCCAGCACTTTGGGAGGCCGAGGAGGGCAGACCACAAGGTCAAGAGATCGAGACCATCCTGGCCAACATGGTGAAACCCTGTCTCTATTAAAAGTATAAAAATTAGCTGGGCGTGGTGGCGGTCGCCTGTAGTCTCAGCTACTTGGGAGGCTGAGGCAGGAGAATCGCTTGAACCCAGGAGGCAGAGGTTGCAGTGAGCCGAGATCACGCCATTGCACTCCAGCCTGGGCGACAGAGCGAGATGCCGTCTCAAAAAAAATAAAAATAAAAAATTAAAAAACAACAACAACAACAACAAAGTGCATAAAATGCCACCCAGATCTAGCTGGCCTGGTTAGTGTGGAGAATTCCCTGTACCTTCGTTGAGAAAATGGGGCCCCACAAAGAAATGCTAAAGCTCCTCCTTGTGTTATTCATTCAACAAGTATGTAGCCATGGCCCATCGGGGGCTGATGATACAAATGTGACTAACACACACCCTCTGCACTGGCTAGCTGACAGCGTAGTTGGGGAGCCAGCTCTGGACATAAATAACCACAATGCATTGTGTTTTGACGCGATGGGGCAGGGGAGGGAATGACTAATGAGGCGGAGAGGCGTCCCAAAACCATGGGCCTTTGAAGTGGGTGAGGGGAAAAGCACATGAGGCCGAGGGATTAGGTATGGGCTTCAGTGGAAAAGAGCAGTGCCTCTGACAGCCCCCATGATAAAATGGCTCAGGTGTGACTTAGAGTAGGGAGTTAGCTGGGTGTTCAAATGGTACCCAGGAGGCCGGGCGCAGTGGCTCACACCTGTCATCCCATCATTTCAGGAGGCCAAGGTGGGTGGATCACTTGAGTCCAGGAGTTCAAGACCAGCCTGGCCAACATGGTGAAACCCCATCTCTACTAAAAATACAAAAATTAGCCGGGCATGGTGGCTGGCACCCGTAATCCCAGCTACTCAGGAGGCTGAAGTAGGAGAACCGCTTGAGCCTGGGAAGCAAAGGCTGCAGTGAGCCAAGTAAAAGTTCTTTTTACTGTCTGCACCTCTGGCCCTGAATAGTCGCTGATCACCATGACAATTAAGGGTATGGGCCTTGAGATGCAAAGAAAAGATTATCCTGGATTTTCTACATGGTATCAACCTAATCACAGGGGTCATTAAAAGCATAGAATCATTCTCAGCTAATGTCAGAACCCAAGGGAGGTGTGGCTAGGGAAGAATGGTCTGAGAGATGCAATGTTCCTGCCTTTGATGGTAGAGGAAGAGACCATGAGCCAAGAAGTGTAGGTAACCTCTAGAAGCTGAAAAAGGCAAGAAAACAGATTCTCCTCTGAAGCTTCCAGAAAGGACTGCAGCCCTACCAACACCTTGATTTTAGCCCAGTGAGACTCATGTAGGACTTCTGTATTAGTCCGTTCTCACACTTCAATAAAGAAATACCTGAAGGCCAGGCACAGTGGCTCACATCTGTAATCCCAGCATGTTGGGAGGCCACGGCGGGCAGATCACGAGGTCAAGAGTTTAAGACCAGCCTGGCCAACATGATGAAACCCCATCTCTACTAAAAAAAAAAAAAAAAATCCAAAAAAATTAGCTGGGCATGGTGGCGCACACCTGAAATTCCAGCTACTGGGGAGGCTGAGGCAGGAGAATTGCCTGAACCCAGGAGGTGGAGTTTGCAGTGACCTGAGATTGCGCCACTGCACTCCAGCCTAGGCGACACACACACACACACAAAAGTAAAGAGAAAAAGAGAAATACCTGAGACTAGGTAATTTATAAAGAAAGATTGTTTAATTAGCCTACAGTTCCAACGGCTCTAGAGGAAGCATGGCAGCATCTGCTTCTGGGGAGGCCTCAGGGATCTTCTACTCATGGCGGAAGGCAAGGGGGAGCAGGAGCAAGAGAGGAGGGGAGGAGCTACATACTTTTTTGTTATTATTTTATTTCTCTATTTTCTTTGAGACGGAGTCTCCCTCTGTCACCCAGGCTAGAGTGCAGTTGCACGATCTCGGCTCACTGCAACCTCCACCTCCCAGGTTCAAGCGATTCTCCTGCCTCAGCCTCCTGATGGACTGGGATTACAAGCGTGCACCACCACACCCAGCTAATTTTTGGTAGAGACAGGATTTCACCATGTTGGCCAGGCTAGTCTCGAACTCCTGACCTCATGATCTGCCTGCCTTAGCCCCCCAAAGTGCTGGGATTACAGACGTAAGCCACCACGCCTGGCCTTATTTAATTTTTTTGAGACCGAGTCTCACTCCAGCCCAGGCTGGAGTGCAATGGCGCAATCTTGACTCACTGCAACCTTCACCTCCTGGGTTCAAGTGGCTCTCCTGTCTCAGCCTCCCGAGTAGCTGGGATTACAGGCACGCACAAGCACACCCGGCTAATTTTTGTATATTTAGTAGAGACAGGGTTTTACCATGTTGGCCAGGCTGGTCTCCAACTCCTGGCCTCAGGTGATCTGCCCACCCCGGCCTCCCAAAGTGCTGGGATTACAGGCATCAGCCACCATGCCCAGCCGAAGCTACACACTTTTAAACAGCTAGGTGTCGTGAAAACTCACTCATTATTGCAAGAACAGCACCAAAGGGATGGTGCTATACCATTCATGAGAACTTCGCCCCCATGATCCAATGACCTCCCACCAGGCCCCATCTCCAGCACTGGAGATTACAATTCGACATGAGATTTGTGTGGGGACACAGATCTAAACCATATCGACTCCTAATCCAGTGGTCCCCAACCTTTTTGGCACCAGGAACTTGTTTTGTGGAAGACAGTTTTTCCACTGACTAGGAGGCAGGGAGGTTTCAGGATGGTTTAAGCACATTACATTAAACGTGCACTTTATTTCTATTATGATTACATTGTAATAGATAATGAAATAATTATACAACTCACCATCATGTAGAATCAGTGGGAGCCCTGAGCTTGTTTTCCTGCAACTAGACAGCCCCATCTGGGGGTGATGGGAGATAGTGACAGATCATCAGACATTAGATTCTCATAAAGAGCCCACAACCTAGATCCCGTGCATGCGCTGTTCACAATAGGGTTTACGCTCCTATGAGAATCTAATGCTGCCACTGATCTGACAGGAGGCAAAGCTCATGTGGGAGTGTGAGCAATGGGGAGCTGCTGTAAATACAGAAGAAGCTTTGCTCGCTCGACTACCACTCACCTCTTGCTGTGCGACATGGTTCGTAGCAAGCCACAGACTAGTACTGGTTTGTGGTTCAAGGTTTGGGGACCCTTCTTCTAACCTATAAAATTTTAAGACAATAAATTTGTGGGGTTTTGTGCAGCAGTTTGTTACTGCAGTAAGAGAAAATCAGTACATTCCCGTATATATCTGTTGTTCTGTGCAGTCTGTCTCCTGCTCACTCAGGGTCCAAGGTTACAAAATGCTGCTTCTCCAGGTCCGTCCCCACCTTTTCTGCAGGAGGCTGAGTACCTCTCAGATACCTCCTAGATAGATCCAGGTGTCTCAAAGTATGATATGCACACACACACACACACACACACACGCATGCACGAGCACCCCCAGAGTCTGTGCCCCCAATGGTGGCTGCCACCAGCCTCTGCAGTAGGGGCTGCTATCTTGCTGCGGCAGGCCAGGCTGCTGTTATTCCTGCGCCCTGAGGCATGGCCTCCTGCCTGACACGATTTCTGCAGATGCCTTGAGATGCTTTAATTTATTATTATCTTCATTCTCTGGCTGCTGGAGTCCATGGGGCCTTGTAGGGGGACAATCAGAGTGACAGTCACAGTGTCCCACTCAGGACTGCCCCTTGGACCTTCCAACCAAGCAGGAACCTTAACTCTGCCTTAACTTCCTTGGGAGGAAGGACTGTGTCCTGGAGGCTCCATGGTCCTGAGGGGGCCTGCTCTCCACTCCCAACCCAGCCCTCCAGGCAGGCCTGTCTCCTGGGGCCTCTGCTGTAGGCTTTTTCCCATAAACATACACAGTCCCCAGAAAAGTGCTTGAGATAGTGCTTGGCGCTTAGTAAACACTGCATAAGAATGCTTATTGGCCAGATGCCATGCCTATGCCTGTCACCCCAGCACTTTGGAAGGCCAAAGTGGGAGGATTGCCTAAGCCCAGGAATTCAAGACCAGATGGTGCAACACAGTGAGACCATGTCTCTACAAAAAATTAGCCAGGCAGGGTGGCATGTGCCTGTAGTCCCAGCTATTCAGTAGGCTGAGGCGGAAGAACCACCTGAGCCTTAAGGTTTGAGGTTACAGTGAGCAACACTGCACTCCAGTCTGGGTGACAGAGGGAGATACTGTCTCTTTAAAAAAAAGAAAAAGAAAAGGCCGGGCGCCATGGCTCACGCCTGTAATCCTACCACTATGGGAGGCCTAGGCAGGCAGATTGCCTAAGCTCAGGAGTTCGAGACCAGCCTGAGCAACACAGTGAAACCCCATCTCTACTAAAATACAAAAAAAAAAAAAAAAAAAAAAAAAAGGGGCCAGGCGTAGTGCCCGAGCATTTTGGGAGGCCGAGCCAGGTGGATCACCTGAGGTCAGGAGTTTGAGACAAACCTGAACAACATAGTGAAACCTTGTCTCTACTGAAAATGCAAAAATTAGCTGGGCGTGGTGGCACTTGCCTGTAATCCCAGCTACTCAGGAGGCTGAGGCAGAAGAATCACTTGAACCTGGGAGGTGGAGGCTGCAGTGAGCTGAGATCATGCCACTGCACTCCAGCCTGGGTGACAGAGCAAGACTCCATCTCAAAAAAAAAAAAAAAAAAAAAAAAAATTACAGTGGCTCACGCCTGTAATCACAGCACTTTGGGAGGCCAAAGTGGGCGGATCACCTGAGGTCAGGAGTTCGACACCAGCCTTGCTAACATGGTGAAACCCCCGTTTTACTAAAAATACAGAAAATTAGCAGGGCATGGTGGCTTATGCCTATAATCCCAGCTACTCGGGAGGCTGAGGCAGGAGAATCACTTGAACCCAGAAGGTGGAGGTTGCAGTGAGCTGAAATTGTGCCACTGCATTCCAGCTTGGGCAACAAGAGTGAACCTCCATCTCAAAAAAAAAAAAAGTGCTTATTAATAAATCCCGGCCGGACACAGTGGCTCACACCTGTAATCCCAGCACTTTGGGAGCCCAGGGCGAGCAGATCACCAGAGGTCAGGAGTTTGAGACCAACCTGGCCAACATGGTGAAACCCCATCTCTGCTAAAAATACAAAAAATAGTCAGGTGTGGTGGTGGTTTCCTGTAATCCCAGCTACTTGGGAGGCTGAGGCAGGAGAATCACTTGAACCTGGGAGGTGGAGGTTGCAGTGACCCGAGACTGTGCTTCTGCACTCCAGCCTGGGTGACAGAGCAACACTATGTCTCAAAACAAAACAAAAACAAAACAAAACAAAAACCCTTTATATTTTAGTCTAGTATAATTTCTGTAGCACAGGGATTAAGAAAACAAGTCCTGGCCAGGTGGGTGGCTCACACGTGTAATCCCAGCACTGTGGGAGGCCAGGGCGGGCAGGTCACCTGAGGTCAGGAGTTCAAGACCAGCCTGGCCAACATGGTGACATCCCGTGTCTACCAAAAATACAAACATTAGCTGGGCGTGGGGGTAGGAGTCTGTAATCCCAGCTACACAGGAAGCTGAGGTACGAAAATTCCTTGAACCTGGGAAACAGAGGCTGCAGTGAGTTGAGATCACACCACTGCACTCCAGCCTGGGTGACAGAGCGAAACTCTGTCTCCAAAAAAAGAAAAAAAAAGAAAAGAAAAAAGAAATAAATAAACAAAAAGAAATTGACACTTTCGGTCATAAAGCTTGAAACTTACATTTTATTTTACCTGAGTTCCTTCCTCAGGAAAGGATCCCCAGGCCTCTCAAAGTTTATCAAAGAACTGAAACTCACCAGGTCATGGCATCCTGACAATGAGACTCCGGACCCCTCATTCATCATGATTGCTTCCTTACCCCTCCTGAGTTCCTGTATTCCCACACATAGTTGCATTTCTTCCCTGCTGTATAAACCCCTAATTTTAGTAGTCAGGGAGATGGATTTGAGACTGATCTCCCATCTCCTCAGCTGCAGCACCCAATTAAAATCTTCCTTGGCAATAATCACTGTCTCAATGATTGGCTTTCTGTGCGGCCAACAGCTGGAGCTAGGCTGAACTCTACTGCTTTGGTAACACTAAAAGAATGAAATGTGATCATACACACACAGTGGTTCTAAAACATGTCTGCTAATTTCTTTTTTTTGAGACGGAGTCTCTCTCTGTCACCCAGGCTGGAGTGCAGTGGTGTGATCTTGGCTCGCCACAACCTCCACCTCTTGGGGTTGAAGCGATTCTCCTGCCTCAGTCTCCCGACTGGCTGGGATTACAGGCGCCCACCACCAAGCCCAGCTAATTTTTGTATTTTTAGTAGAGACAGGGGTTTCACCATGTTGCTCAGGCTGGTCTCAAACTCCTGACCTTGTGATCCGCCCACCTTGGCCTCCTAAAGTGCTGGGATTACAGGCGTGAGCCATCGCGCCCAGCCCATGTCTGCAAATTCTCTGACACCCCTCATGGAGTGGAGTCTAATTCCTCCTCACCTTGAACATGGTCTGGCTTTCGTGACTCACTTCCTTTTCTTTTGAGACAGTATCTCACTCTGTTTCCCAGGCTGGAGTTCAGTGGTGCAATCACAGCTCACTGCAGCCTCAACCTCCTGGGCTCTGGTGATCCTCCCACCTTAGCCTCCTGAGTAGCTGGGACCATAGGTGCTCACCACCACACCCAGCTGATTTTTATTTTATTTATTTATTTATTTATTTATTTGTTTATTTATTTATTGTTTTTTGAGACAGAGTAATGCTCTTGTTGTCCAGGCTGGAGGGCAATGGCGCGGTCTGAGCTCCCTGCAACCTCTGCCTTTCGGGTTCAAGAAATTCTCCTGTCTCAGGGTCCCAAGTAGCTGGAATAACAGGTGCCTACGACTACTCCCAGCTAATTTTTGTATTTTTTAGTAGAGATGATGTTTCACCATGTTGGCCAGACTGGTCTTGAACTCCTGACCTCAGGCAACCTGCCCACCTCCGCCTTCTAAAGTGCTGGGATTACAGGTGTGAGCCACCACATCCAGCCCTGACTCACTTCTAAGGAGTAGAATGCAGTGGAAGAGACCTGCATGACGGCTGAGGCTGCATCAGAAAAGTTGATGCAGCTCCCACGTGGCTCTCTCTGGGAATATGGGCCGTTGAAGCACAGAGCCAGGCTATAAGAAGCCCAGCTGCCTCCAAGCCACCATGCTGGAGGGATTGCATAAAGAGACCACACGGTTATACTGTGAGATGTCCTCTGTTCCAGCCCTCAGCCATTCGAGTCTTCCCTGCCTAAATACAAGACATGTGACTGATGAAGCTTTTGAAATGACTCCACATGGTGGTGCGCGCCTGTAATCCCAGCTACTCGGGGGGCTAAGGCAGAATTGCTTGAACCCAGGAGGCAGAAGTTGTAGTGAGCCATGATCAAGCCACTGCACTCCAGCCTGGGCAACAGAGCAAGACTCCATCTTGAAAAATAAAAATGAAAATGAAATGACCCCAGCCTCAGCCAGTACTGTAACCATAGGAGGAACCCTAGGCAAGACCTCATCCTATGTAATTCAACACCCTGAATTATCAGAGGTAATAATTCTGACAGTTGTTGTTTAACAATCTGGAATGTCTCCTTACACAGCAAAAGACAACAGATAGACACATATAGTACTTTGCACATAAAAAACATTGAAAACATAGCAGTCCTGGCCAGGCACGGTGGCTCACTTCTGTAATCCCGGCACTTTGGGAGGGCGAGGCGGTGGGATCACCTGAGGTCAGGAGTTCGAGACCAGCCTAGCCACCATGGTGAAGCCCCGTCTCTACTAAAAATAAAAAAATTAGCCAGGTGTAGTGGTGTACACTGGTGTAATCCCAGCTACTCAGGAGGCTGAGGGTAGAGAATTGCTTGAACCTGGGAGATGGAGGTTTCAATAAGCCAAGATTGTGCCACTGCACTCCAGCCTGGGCAACAGACTGAGACTCCATCTCGAAAACAAAAACATAGCAGTCCTAACTGTTATTATTTCAAACCAGTTTTATCTTGACCCACTAGGACCTTATGTATTAATCATAGCAACTATTATTTATTGAACACTTAGTATAAAACAGACATAGCACATATGCGCACACATTGTTATACTGCTCTTTGATTTATTGTGCTTCACAGAAACTGCATTTTTTACAAATTGAAGGTTTGTGGCAACCCTGTGTTGAGTAAGTCTGTCAGTGGCATTTTTCCAACAGCACGTGCTCACATCATACCTCTGTGTCACAGTTCGGTAATTCTTACAATATTTCAAGCTTTTTCATTATTACTATGTCTGCTGTGGTGATCTGTGACCAGTGGTCTTTGATGTTACTACTACAGTTGTTTTGGGCATCATACACTGTGCCCATTTAAGATGGTGAATTTAATCAACCAATGTGCGTGTTCTAACTGCCTCTCTGACCAACTGTGCCTCCGTCTCACACCCTCTTGCCCTCTTGAATCTCCCTATTTTCTGAGACAGAACAATATTGAAATTAGGTCAATACCTAATGGCCTCTGAGTGTTAAAGTGAAAGGAAGGGGCCTACGTATCTCACTTAATGTCAAAAGCTGGAAATGATTAAACATAGTGAGAAAGACATGTAGAAAACTGAGATGAACAAAAGCGAAGCCTCTTGTACCCATTAGCCAAGTCTCTTGAGACCGAGTCTTACTCTGTGGCCCAGGCTAGAGTGCAGTGGCGCGATCTCAGCTCACTGCAACCTCTACTCCTGGGTTACATGATTCTCCTGCCTCAGCCTCTCAAGTAGCTGGGATTACAGGCATGCACTACCACACCTGGCTAATTTTTGTATTTTTAGTAGACATGGGGTTTCACCATGATGGCCAGGCTGCTCTCGAACTCCTGACCTCAGATGATCTGCCTGTCTCAGCCTCCCAAAGTGCTAGGATTACAGGCATGAGCCACTGTGTCTGGCAGGAAAAGTTCTTGAAGGAAATTAAAAGTGCTACTGCAGTGAACACGTGAATGAAAAGAAAGCAAAACAGCTTTATCGCTGATGTAGAGAAAGTTTGAGTGGTCTGGATAGAAGATCAAACCAGCCACAACATTCCCTTAAGCCAAAGCCTAATCCAGAGCAAGGCCCTAACTCTCCTGAATTCTATGAAGGCCAAGAGGGGTGAGGAAGTTGTAGAAGAAAAGTTGGGGCTGGGCGTGGTGGCTCATGCCTGTCATCCCAGCACTTTGGGAGGCCGAGGTGGGTGAATCACCTGATGTCAGGAGTTCGAGACCAGCCTGGCCAACATGGTGAAACCCCGTCTCTACTGAAAATACAAAAATTAGCGAGGCATGGTGGCCCATGCCTGTAGTCTCAGCTACTCAGGAGGCTGAGGCAGGAGAATAGCTTGAACCTGGGAGGCAGAGTTTGCAGTGAGCTGAGATCATGCCACTGCACTCCATCCTGAGCAACAGAGTGAGACTCCATCTAAAAAAAAGAAAAAAAAAAAAGGTCCAGGCCCAGTGGCTCACGCCTGTAATCCCAGCACTTTGGGAGGCCGAGGCAGGCGGATCACCTGAGGTCCAGAGTTCGAGACCAGCCTGACCAACATGGAGAAATCCCGTCTCTACTAAAAATACAAAATTAGCCATGTGTGGTGATGCATGCCTGTAATCCTAGCTACTCCGGAGGCTGAGGCAGGAGAATGGCTTGAACCCGGGAGGCAGAGGTTGCTATGAGCCAAGATCATGCCATTGCACTCCAGCCAGGGCAACAAGAGCGAAACTCTGTCTCAAAAAAAAAAAAAAAAAAAGAAAAAAGAAATATATATATGTATTTTGGCCAGGTGCGGTGGCTCATGCCTGTAATCCTAATACTTTGGGAGGCTGAGATGGGTGGATCACCTGAGGTCAAGAGTTTGAGACCAGCCTGGCCAACATGGTGAAACCCCATCTCTATTAAAAACACAAAAATTAGCCGGGCGTGGTGGCACACGCCTGTAATTCCAGCTACTGGGGAGGCTGAGGCAGGAGAATCACTGGAAACTGGGGGGTAAAGGTTGCAGTGAGCCAAGATTGTGCCACTTCACTCTAGCCTGGGTGAAAGAGCGAAACTCCCTCTCAATAAAAAAGAAATACATTGGCCAGGCACCGTGGTGCACGCCTGTAATCCCAGCACTTTGAGAGGCCGAGGCAGGCGGATCATGAGGTCAGGAGATCAAGACCATCCTGGCTAACACAGTGAAACCCCATCTCTACTAAAAATACAAAAAATTATCCGGGCGTGGTGGTGGGCGCCTGTAGTCCCAGCTACTCAGGAGGCCAAGGCAGGAGAATAGCATGAACCCAGGAGGTGGAGGTTACGGTGAGCCGAGATCGCTCCACTGCACTCCAGCCTGGGCAATAGAGCAAGACTCCGTCTCAAAAAAAAAAAACAAAAAAACATACATTTTGTAAGGCTATGGCTATGAGAGCTAGTGATTCCTCTGATGGATCTGGGTGAAGCCATTGAAAACTGGAAAGGATTCACCATTCTCGATGCCATTAAAAGCATTTGTTATTCATGGGAGAAGATCAAAAGATGAACATGAACAGAATTTTGGAAGAAGTGGATTCCAACCCTCATGGACGATTCCAAGGCGTTCAAGACTTCAGTTGGGGAAGGAACTGCAAGTGTCGCGGAAATAGCAAGAGAACTAGAATTAGAAGTTCAGGCCAGGCATGGTGGCTCACACCTGTAATCCCAGCACTTTGGGAGGCCAAGGAGGGCAGATCACCTGAAGTCAGGAGTTCGAGACCAGCCTGGCCAACATGGCGAAACCCCATCTCTACTAAAAGTACAAAAATTAGCCGGGGGTGGTGGCACGTGCCTGTAATCCCAGCTACTTCAGAGGTTGAGGCAGAAGAATTGCTTGATCCCGGGAGATGGAGGTTGCAGTGAGCCAAGATTGCGCCACTGCACTCCAGCCTGGGCGACAGAGTGAGACTCCATCTCAAAATAAAAAAAAAAAGAAGTTCAGCCCGAAGATGGGAGTGAATTGATTGCCCAATCCCATGAGCAAACTTGAATTAATGAGTAGTTGCTTCTTATGATTGAGCAAATAAAATTGGTTTCTTCCAATGTGATGTATTCCTGGTGAAGATGCTGTAGATATTGTTGAAATAACAGCAAAAGATTTATACTGTATAAAATCCTAGTTGATAGAGTAGCAGCAGGGTTTGAGAAGATTGACTCTAATTTTGAAAAAAGTTCTCCTATGTGTAAAATGCTATCAAACAGCATCACATGCTACAGTGAAGTTGGAAGTCAATTGATGCTGTAATCTTCACTGTTGTCTTTTTTTTTTTCTTTTTTTTAAGACTGAGTCTCGCTGTGTCTCCCAGGCCCGAGTGCAGTGGCACAATATCAGCTCACCACAACCTACGCCTCCTAGGCTCAAATGATTCTCCTGCCTCAGCCTCCCCAGTAACTGGGATTACAGGCGTGTGCCACCACGCCCGGCCAATTTTTTGTATTTTTAGTAGAGACAGGGTTTCACCGTGTTGGTCCGGATGGTCTCGAACTCCCGACCTCATGTGATTCACCCTCCTCCGCCTCCCAAAGTGCTGGGACCACGGGCGTGAGCCACTGCGCCCGGCCACACTGTTGTCTTATTTTAAGAAATTGCTGGCCAGGCGTGGTGGCTCACGCCTGTAATCCCAACACTTTGGGAGGCCAAGACGGGTGGATCATGAGGTCAGGAGATCGAGACCATCCTGGCTAACACGGTGAAACCCCGTCTCTACTAAAAATACAAAAAAATGAGCCGGGCGTGGTGGCGGGCGCCTGTAGTCCCAGCTACTCAGAAGGCTGAGGCAGGAGAATGGCGTGAAGCCGGGAGGTGGAGCTTACAGTGAGCCAAGATCGTGCCACTGCACTCCAGCCTGGGCGACAGAGGGAGACTCCGTCTCAAAAAAAAAAAAAATTGCTGGCTGGGCGTGGTGGCTTATGCCTGTGGTCCCAGCACTTTGGGAGGCCAAGGCAGGAGGATTACCTGAGGTCAGGAGTTCAAGACCAGCCTGGCAAACATAGTGAAACCCCATCTCTACTAAAAATACAAAAAATTAGCCAACCATAGTGGTGCACACTTGTAATCCCAGCTACTCGGGAGGCTGAGGCAGGAGAATCGCTTGAACCAAGGAGGCAGAGGTTGCAGTGAGCTGAGATCGCGTCACTGCACTCCAGCTTGGGCAACAAGAGCAAAACTCCATCTCAAAAAAAAAAAGAAATTGCCACAGCCATCTCAGCCTTCAGGAACCACCACCCTGATCAGTCAGCAGCCACCAACATCAAGGCAAGACCCTCCACTAACAAAAATGTAATGACTTACTGAAAACTCAGATGATCATTAACATTTTTAAGCAATATTTTTAAAGTTAAGGTAGGTACTTTTTTGTTTGTTTTGTTTTTTGTTTTTTTTGAGACGGAGTCTCACTCTGTTGCCCAGGCTGGAGTGCAGTGGCGCGATCTCGGCTCACTGCAACCTCGGCCTCCCAGGTTCGTGCCATTCTCCTGCCTCAGCCTCCTGAGTAGCTGGGACTATAGGCGCCTGCCACCACGCCTGGCTAATTTTTTTGTATTTTTAGTAGAGACTGGGTTTCACTGTGTTAGGATGGTCTCCATCTCCTGACCTTGTGATCCGCCCGCCTCAGCCTCCCAAAGTGCTGGGATTACAGGCATGAGCCACCACGCCCGGCCTACAATAGCATTTCTATTTTTTATTTTCTTTCTTTCTTTTCTTTTTTAATAGAGACAGAGTCTCACTTATTGTCCGGGCTGGTCTCAAACTCCTGGCCTCAAGTGATCCTCCTGCCTCAGCTTCTCAAAGTGTTGGGATTACAGGCGTGAGCCACTGCCACCTGGCCATCATTTCTATACAATAACAATCATTTATTAAAATATTATGAGGCCGGGCGCTGTGGCTCACGCCTGTAATCCCAGCACTTTGGGAGGCCGAGGTGGGCGGATCACGAGGTCAGGAGATCGAGACCATCCTGGCTAACATGGTGAAACCCCATCTCTACTAAAAATACAAAAAATTAGCAGGGCGAGGTGGCAGACGCCTGTAGTCCTAGCTACTCGGGAGGCTGAGGCAGGAGAATGGCGTGAACCCCGGGGGGTGGAGCCTGCAGTGAGCTGAGACCGCGCCACTGCACTCCAGCCTGGGCGACAGCGAGACTCTGTCTCAAAAAAAAAAAAAAAATATATATATATATATATATACACATATATGTATATATTATGAAAATAAGTCTAGGCGTGATGGCTCATGCTTGTAATCCCAGCACTTTGGGAGGCTGAGGCTTGTGGATCACTTGAGTCCCATAGTTCAAGACCAGCCTGGCCAACATGGTGAAACCCCGTTTCTACTAAAAATACAAAAATTGGCTAACCATGGTGGTGCACACCTGTAATCCCAGCTACTCAGGAGGGTGAGGCAGGGGAATCACTTGAACCTGGTAGGCAGAGGTTGCAGTGAGCTGAGATTGCACCACTGTGCTCCAGCCTGGGTGACAGAGTGAGACCCCATCTCAAAAAATAAAAGAAAACACAGATGAAATAAAGATATTTCCAGACATACAAAGGCTGAGAGGATTCATCACCAACAGAACTGCACTACATAAAATATTAAATAAGCTTTTCAGACAGGAGGAAAATGATAACAAATGAAAATCTGGATTGACAGGAATAAAGAGCATAGGAAATGGAAAGTACATAGGTTAATATATAAGATTTTTATTACTATTTAAATCTCTATAAGTATAATTCACTATTTAAACAAACAGCAATAAACTAGAAAGAGAAGGAGACTTCCTCAACCTGATTATGGGCAACTGTGGAAACCCCAATGCAGAGGATTAAACTGTGTCCCCAGAAAAATACGTTCAAGTCCTAACTTCCAGTACCTGTAAATCTGGTCTCATTTGGAAATAGGGTTTTTTCAGATGTAATCAAGTTAAAACAAGATCATTCTGGATTAGCATGGACCCTAAATCTAAGGACTGATACATTTATAAGAGAAAGGAGAGGGAGTGTTAGTCCATTCTCACACTGCTATAAAGAACTACCTGAAGGCTGGATGCGGTGGCTCACACCTGTAATCCCAGCACTTTGGGAGCCCGGGGTGGGTGGATCACAAGGTCAGGAGTTCAAGACCAGACTGGCCAACATGGTGAAACCCCGTCTCTACTAAAACTATAAAAATTAGCTAGGCGCGGTGGCAGGCACCTGTAATCCCAGCTGCTCGGGAGGCTGAGGCAAGAGAATCGCTTGAACCCTGGGAGCATAGGTTGCAGTGAGCCAAGATCACGCCACTGCACTCCAGCCTGGGCGACAGAGTGAGGCTCCGTCTCAAAAAAAAAAAGAATTACGTGAGACTGGGTCATTTACAAAGAAAAGACATTTAATTGACAGCTCCACAAGCTATATGGGAGTCATGGCTGGGGCGGCCTCAGGAAACTTACAATCTTGGTGGAAGCGTGAAGGGGAAGCAAGCATGTATTCACATGGCAGCAAGAGAGAGAGCAAGTGAAGGGGGGAAGTGCTACACACTTTTAAAAAACCAGATCTGGCCGGGTGCGGTGGCTCACGCCTGTAATCCCAGCACTTTGGGAGACTAAGGCGGGCGGATCAAGAGGTCAGGAAATCGAGACCATCCTGGCTAACACAGTGAAACTCTGTCTCTACTAAAAATGTAAAAAATTAGCCGGGCGTGGTGGCAGGTGCCTCCCACCTACTTGGGACTCCCAAGTAGTCCCAGCTACTTGGGAGGCTGAGGCAGGAGAATGGCGTGAACCCGGGAGGCGGAGCTTGCAGTGAGCCAAGATAGCGCCACTGCACTCCAGCCTGGGCAACACAGTGAGACTCTGTCTCAAAAAAATAATAATAATAAAAATAAAAAATAAGAAATAAAAAACCAGATCTCATGAGAACTCACTCACTATCACAAGAACAACAAGGGAGAAATCTGCCCCTATAATGCAGCCACTTCCCACCAGCTCTCTCCCCCAACACTGGGGATTACAATTCAACATGAGATTTGGGTGGGGACACAGAGCCAAACTATATCAGAGGGAGATTTGGATACAGAGACACAGAGGAGACCCAGGGAGAAGGTCATGAGACGATGGAGGTACAAATCACAGTGATGCACCTACAAACCTAAGAATGCCAAAAATTGCTAGGCATCACCAGAAGCTAGAGAAAGGCAGAGGGAACTAGAGGGAGGCTGAGACAGGAGAATCACTTGAACCAGGGAGGCAGAGGTTGCAGTGAGCCAAGATCACATCGTTGCACTCCAGCCTGGGCAACAAGAGCAAAACTATCTCAAAAGAAAAAAAAAAAAAGAAAGAAAAGAGAATTTTATCTACAATAGCATCAGAAAAGAATAACATACTGAGGCCAGGTGCAGTGGCTTACATCTGTAATCCCAGCACTTTGGGAGGCTGAGGCCGGTGGATAACCTGAGGTCAGGAGTTCCAGACCAGCCTGGCCAACATGGTGAAATCCCATCTCTACTAAAGATACAAAAATTAGCTGGGTGCCGCGGTGGGTGCCTGTAATCCCAGCTACTCAGGAGGCTGAGGCAGGAGGATCACTTGAACCTGGGAGGCAGAGGTTGCAGTGAGCCGAGATCGTGCCATTGACCTCCAGCCTGGGCGACAAGAGTGAAACTCGGCCGGGTGCGGTGGCTCACGCCTGTAATCCCAGCACTTTGGGAGGCCGAGGGGGGTGGATCACTTGAGGTCAGGAGTTTGAGACCAGCCTGACCAACATAGAGAAACCCCATCTCTACTAAAAATACAAAATTAGCCAGGTGTGGTAGTTCATGCCTGTAATCCCTGCTACTTGGGAAGGCTGAGGCAGGAGAATCGCTTGAACCTGGGAGGCAGAGTTTTCGGTGAGCCGAGATAATGCCATTGCACTCCAGCCTGGGAAACAAGAGTAAAACTCTGTCTCCAAAAAAAAAAAAAAAAAGAAAAAAGAAATAAAGAAAGAAAGAAAACCTTACATTTAGGCCAACTGATTTTTTACAAGAATGTCAAGACATTTTAATGGGGATATTTGAAAAGACAACCTAATATAAAAATGAGAAAATGATTTGAATAGATATTTCTCCAAAGAAGATACACGAATAGCCAATAGACATATGAAGAGATGCTCAACATTATTCACGAAAGAGATGCAAATTAAATCCATGATGAGATACTACTAGGCCATAATTTGTCTTTGCAACAACTACTGCAAAGGTAACTACATATCCATATGCAAAAGAATCACTTGCACCCCTACCTCACACTATATAGAAAAATTAACTCAAACTGGAGCATAGACTTAAATTTAAGAGCTAAAACTATAAAACTCTTAGAAGAAAACAAGAGTAAATCTTTATGACCTTGGGCTAGGTAAAGTTTTCTTAGATATGACACCAAAAGTACAAAAAGAAAAAGAAAAAAGAAATATGCTGGACTTCATCAAAATTAAAAACATTTTTGTTGCAAATGATGCAACCAAGAAAGTGAAAAGACAATCCACAGCATGGAAGAAAATATTTTTAGACTGCTAATAGCTGTGGAGTTCTTTTATGAAAAATTTTTTTGCTTTCTTTTTTTTTTTTTTCTTTTGAGATGGAGTCTCACCCTGTCACCCAGCCTGGAGTGCAGTGGCGTGATCTCGGCTTACTGCAACCTCTGCATCCCAGGTTCAAGCAATTCTCTGGCGTCAGTCTCCCAAGTAGCTGGGATTATAGGCACGTGCCACCACGCCCAGCTAATTTTTTGTATCTTTAGTAGAGACAAGTTTCACCATGTTGGCCAGGCTGGTTTCAAACTCCTGACCTTGTGATCTGCCCACCTTGGCCTCCCAAAGTGTTGGGATTGCAGGCGTGAGCCATCATGCCCAGCCAATGAAAATGTTTTTAAATTAAGCTGTGGCAATGGTTGCATAACTTTTGAGTATAATAATCACTGAATCGTGCATTGTAAATGTGTGAATTTTATGCTATATGAATTATATCTCAGTAAGTCTATTTTTAAACAATCAATGTAACTCCTTTATTAAACTAAAAAAGAAAACCATTAATATCTTTCAATAGATTCAGAAAAGTGTTTGACAGGATCAATTCAGCAAATTAGAAATAGAAGAGAACTTCCTCAAACTGATAAAGGGCACCATCAAACAACCTACAAATAACAGCATGCTTGATGGTGAAAGACTAAATGCTTTCCCATAAAGATCAGGTCAAGACAGGAATGTCCACTCCCCTCACTTCTATTCAGCACTGTACAAAATATTCTCTCTTTTTTTTGTACAAAATAATCTAGCCACTGCAATGAGGTTTTTATTTTTTATTTTTTATTTTTTTTGAGACAGAATCTTGGTCTGTCACCCAGGCTGGAGTGCAGTGGTGCAATCTTGGCCCACTGCAGCCTCCACCTCCCGGGTTCAAGAGATTCTCCTGCCTCAGCCTCCCGAGTAGCTGGGACTTCAGGTACGCACCACTGTGCCTGGCTAATTTTTGTATTTTTAGTAGAGACAGAGTTTTATCCCGTCAGGCTGGTCTCGAACTCCTGACCTCAGGTGACCCGCCTGCCTCGGCCTTTCAAAGTGCTGGGATTACAGGCATGAGCCACTGCATCCAGCCTCAATGAGGTTTTTTAAAAAAGACATTCAATTTAGAAAGGAAGAAGTAAATTCTACTTATTCCCAGATGACTATCTATGTAGAAAATTTAATAAAATCTATTTTTAAAAAGTAGGATATAAGATCAACACAAAAATTAAGTGTATTTCCATATGCTAGCAACAACGAATCAGAAATTAAAAGTAAGTTAATAATACAATTTATAATGGCATCAAAAATGTGAAATACTTATGGCTAAATCTGATAACAGATGTTGTTATGAGTTGAATTGTGTTCTCCAGATATATAGGTTGAAGTCTTAACCTCTGCTACCTCAGGTTATAACCTTATTTGGAGACAGGGTCATTTCAGATGGAATTAGTTAAAAGGAGGTTATACTGGAGTAGGTGGGCTCTCAATACAATATGACTGGTGTCCTTATAAGAAAACAATGTGAAGACACAGGGGGAAAATGCCATGTGATGATGGAGGTAGAAATTGAAGTTATGCAGCTGCAAATCAAGTAATGCCAAACATTAACGGTGACACCAGAAGCGAAGAGAAAGAAACAGATTCTGGAACACGTTCCCCTCTACAGCCTTTGAAAGAGGATGGCTCTGCTGACACCTTTATTTCAGATTTCTAGTCTCTAGAACTAAGAGAAAATAAATTTGTTGTTTTAAGCCAGATCAACAGAAATTTTTGTTCATAGTAATTTGTTATAGCAGCCCTAGGAAGCTAAGACAAATGTGAACGTGTGTACGCTTTAAACTATAAAATGTTGCTCAGAGAAGTTAAAGAAGACCTAAGTAAAAGAGATATATACTTTAATAACATGCAAAATTTCAAGAACATATAGAAACTCTTTATTTCCAGCTTTGTCTTCAACGCTTTCAGTTGCTGATGTACAAATTTTTTTTTTTTTTTTTTTTTTTGAGATGGAGTCTCGCTCTGTCACCCAGGCTGGAGTGCAGTGGTGTGATCTCTGCTCACTGCAAGCTCCGCCTCCCAGGTTCAGGCCATTCTCCTGCCTCAGCCTCCCGAATAGCTGGGACTACAGGCGCCTGTAACCATGTCCGGCTAATTTTTTGTATTTTTAGTAGAGACGGGGTTTCACCATGTTAGCCAGGATGGTCTTTATCTCCTGACCTCGTGATCCGCTGCCTCGGCCTCCCAAAGTGCTGGGATTACAGGCGTGAGCCACCGCGCCCGGTCCGCTGATGTACAAAATTATATCTTTATACATTGCATGTCCCCAAACAAAACTAATAATTCTTTTTTTTTTTTTTTTTTTTTTTGAGACAAAGTCTTGCTCTGTCACCCAGGCTGGAGTGCAGTGATGCGATCTCGGCTCACTGCAACCTCCGCCTCCCTGGTTCAAGCGATTCACCTGCCTCAGCCTCCTGAGTAGCTGGGATTACAGGCACATGCCACCACGCCCAGCTAATTTTTGTGTTTTTAGTAGAGACAGGGTTTCACCATGTTGGTCAGGCTGATCTCAAACTCTTGACCTCATGATCCACCCGCCTCAGCCTCCCAAAGTGCTGAGATTATAGGCATGAGCCACCACACCTGGCCTAATAATTCTTTTAAATACATTTGTCCCTTAAATTATGTGGAAAACAAGATGTAGAGTTACAAACTAAAGTTACAATAACACTAGCTTTTAGACTACTATTTTTGAAAATATATTCTTTCTTTAAATCGTTTAGAAAACAAAACGTGGACGCCAGGTGCAGTGGTTCACGCCAGTAATCCCAGCACTTTGGGAGGCCGAGGCAGGCAGATCACCTGACGTTAGGAGTTCAAGACCAGCCTGGACAACATGGTGAAACCCCATCTCTACTAAAAATACAAAAATTAGCCGGGCATGGTCACCAGCACCTGTAATCCCAGCTACTCGGGAGGCTGAGGCAGGATAATTGCTTGAACCAGGGAGGTGGATGTTGCAGTGAGCCAAGATTGCACCATTGCACTCCAGCCTGGGTGACAGAGGGAAAATCTGTCTCAAAAACAAACGAACAAACAAACAAAAAACAAAAAGTGGAGATACAGACTGTTGTTACAATAATACTAGATTTTATAATTACCCATGTATTTATCTTTATTGAGATCTCTAATTCCTCAAATGGCTTGGAGTTACTGACTAGTGTGTTTTCATTTCACCCTGCAGGATTCCTTTGAGCATTTCTTCCAGGGCAGGTCTAGTGACAACAAACTCCCTCAGCTTTTTTTTTTTTTTTTTGAGACACAGTCTTGCTCTGTCGCCCAGGCTGGAGTGCAGTGGCGTGATCTGGGCTCACTGCAACCTCCGTCTCTCGGGTTCAAGCGATTCTCCTGCCTCAGCCTCCTGAGTAGCTGGGATTACAGGCGCCCGCCACCACACCAATCTAATTTTTGTGTTTTTAGTAGAGACGGGATTTCACCATGTTGGTCAGGCTGGTCTCAAACTCCTGACCTCATGATCCGCCTGCCTTGGCCTCCCAAAGTGCTGGGATTACAGGCATGAGCCATTGCGCCTGGCCAGCTTTTTTTTTTTTTTTTTTTTTTAGAGACAGATTTTCGCTCAGTTGCCCAGGCTGGAGTACAATGGCGCGATCTTGGCTCACCACAACCTCCGCCTCCTGGGTTCAAGCAATTCTCCTGCCTCAGCCTCCCGAGTGGCTGGGATTACAAGCATGCGCCACCACGCTTGGCTAATTTTGTATTTTTAGTAGAGACGGGGTTTCTCCATGTTGATCAGGCTGGTCTCGAACTCCTGACCTCAGGTGATATGCCCGCCTCAGCCTACCAAAGTGCTAGGATTACAGGCGTGAGCCACCATGCCCAGCCCAAACTCCCTCAGCTTTTGTTTATCTTGAATGTCTTACTATCTCCCTCACATTTTTTTTTTTTTGAGACGGACTCTCACTCTGTCACGCAGGCTGGAGTGCAGTGGCACAATCTCGGCTCACTGCAACCTCCACCTCCCAGGTTCAAGCAATTCTCTTTGCCACCACGCCCGGCTAATTTTTGTATTTTTAATAGACACAGGATTTCACCATGTTGGTCAGGCTGGTCTCAAACTCCTGACCTCGTGATTTGCCCGCCTCAGCCTCCCAAAGTGCTGGGATTACAGGCATGAACCACCACACCTGGCCACTCTCTCATTTTTGAGGGATAGTTTTGCTGGATATGAGATACTTAGTTGACAGCTCCCCACTTCACTATATTAGTTTTTTGATCTCTATAGTTTCTGATGAGAAATCTGCTGATTTTCATCTTATTGAGGATTCCTTGCATGTCGAGTTGCTTCTCTCATGCTCTTTTCAAGGTTCTCTTCTTGGCTTTCAAAACTTTCATTATAATGTGTCTCACTATGGGTCTCTGATTTCATCTTACTTGGAGTTCATTGAACTTCTTGGATTTTTTATATTCATGTCTTTTGTCAAATTTGGGAAGTTTTCAGCTATTATTTCTTTAAATATTCTCTCAGCACCCACCCCCCTTCTCCTTTGGAACTTTCACAATACATAGGTTGGTGCACATGATGGTTTCCCGCAGGTCTCTTAGGCTCTGTTCACTTTTCCTCAATCTTTTTTCTTTCTATTCCTCAGACTCAATAATTTCCATTGTCCTTTCTTCAAATTTGCTCATTCTTTTTTGTTTTAGGCCATTCTTTGTGTTGCTATAAAGGACTACCAAGACTGCGTAATTCAGCAAGAAAAGAGGTTTCATAGGCTCATGGTTCTGCAGGCTTTGTGGGAAGCATGGTGCTGGCATCTGCTTCTGGTGAGGCCTCAGGAAGCTTACTTACATCATGGTGGAAGGTAATGGAGAGCCAGCCCATCACACAGCAAGAGCAGGAGCAAGAGAGAGAGGAGGGAGGTGTCACACACTTTTCAACAACCAGATCCCACGAGAACTCACTCACTATTGCAAGGAGAGCACCAAGCCATTCGTAAGGGATCTGGCCCCATGACCAAAACACCTCCCACCAGGGCCCACCTCCAACATCGGGATTACATTTAAATATGAGGTTTGGGGGGACAGACATCCAAACTATATCATTTATTCTGCCAATTTGTCATTTTAGTTATTATACTTTTTAGCTGCAAAATTTGTTCTTAGTTTCTTTTGCAGGTTTTCTATCTCTTTACTGATATTTCCATTTTGTTCATATGTTGTTTTATTGGCTTTTTCCATGTCTTCCTTTTTTTTTTTTTTTTTTTTTGAGACAGAGTCTCGCTCTGTCGCCCAGGCTGGAGTGCAGTGGCACGATCTCGGCTCACTGCAACTTCTGCCTTCTGGGTTCATGCCATTCTCCTGCCTCAGCCTCCCGAGTAGCTGGAACTACAGGCGCCCGCCACGGCGCCCAGCTAATTTTTTGTATTTTTAGTAGAGACTGGGTTTCACCATGTTAGCCAGGGTGGCCTTGATCTCCTGACCTAGTGATCTGCCTACCTCAGCCTCCCAAAGTGCTGGGATTACAGGCAGGAGCCACCGTGCCCGGCCTTTTTTTTTTTTAATCACCCGGGCTGGAATGCAGTGGTGTGATCTTGGCTCACTGCAACCTCTGCCTCCCGGGTTCAAGTGATTATCCTGCCTTAGCCTCTCGAGTAGCTGGGATTACAGGCATGCACCACAACGCCCGGCTAATTTTTGTATTTTTATTTTATTTTTTTTTTAAGAAAAGTTTTATTAATGTGTTAATATTTCAGCAAAGTTATTGCAATGGGTTGAAAACACAAACACACTGTTACAGGCTTTAAAGTGACAAACGAGTTTTACACAATTGAAATATTACACATACTTATGGGATTTATTGAATGATTAACAGACCCATAAAAGAAATTAAATCTGAAAGACGAAATCCAGTATTAGCACCTACAATATCTCTGACAGTTAAACTTTTAATGGTTTCTGTCTCCTAATGTATTTTTAAACTCTCTCCCTCATACAGTGCTCTCAAACCCCAAGGATGAACGAAAAGGCATAAGCGGCCCTGATCCTAGAAACGTACAACCAAAAGCAGAGCTACAAATATGGACTCAGACTTGAGAGTTTTACTTAGAAGTAACTTACTGTACTTGAGCCAGTCATAAGTTTTCTGTGCACTGAATACTGTATATGAGAAAATTCTGTGAGTCATAAGGTTTGGGTAGGGATAGTTAAAAATTAGTAATATACAGTATTATTCCAATCAAATTTTTTTCTCGTAAGTTATATTTGTAAGAAAACTATAATTAAAATATTTTTATACCTGCTTATTACATATCCAGGGACCCAGCAGGAACATCTATGTGTTTGATGGTTTGGCATCCACTTTATTGTGCTTACTGATTTTTGTGATGAACAAGCAACACACATCACATCTTCACAACCTTTAAGGTAATGCAACAAGGACATAACATTCTCCAAAGAAATAACTGGAAATTGCATTAAATACTGCTTTAATGAGGAATAATTGCTATAATAAAACAAATAACATTATACATTATTTTTTCAATGAGCTTCAGTTTGAGGAACTGAATAGTAGAAACAGATCTTAATATATGAGTCATGGTAAAACTGGTAAATCTTTGAAATCTAGGAGGTGCATTAGCAAAACCACAGCCACACCAACCTTTGCCAAAATCCTGGAGAAAAGCATTTTATTAATTTAGGGGAACAAGATGGAACACTGGCAAAGATACAACTTGTTGAGGTCTAAAGCTACCTGAGAAGCTGGCCCAAGGAATGAGGAGAACCAATGGTACGTACTGGTGGCAGATAATAAGGTTTGCACTGGGCTGACCAGCTGTGTTTTATTAAATGGCCTTCAATAAAAAAAGTGAAATGCTTCATTGTGTTTTCTCAGAAACTAGTCAAAAGATTACAGAGTCCTACACAATTTGGAGACACAAAGTGGATACTGAGCAACTAAAGGTCTTTCCAGGTGTGGAATTTTACAAAGTCCTTGGAGTAAATGGCAGTGTGGCTCTGGCAGCAGATAGGAATGATACTCTGGAGAGGAGGTAGAGACACTCTGCAGTCGGCCAATGGATACATGAGGGGCCCAGCTAGAAGTAGGATCTTTAATTCTATGGTTTATCTTCCATGGCTCATGCCTCTGCCTTCATAAATGGTAATTTCAATAACTCGCAGTCCTTACTCAATGGAGTCTGTCAGGAGAAGGCCTTGTGGAACATAGATCTTCTCATTCTGCTCTTGAATGCATTTGGAGACTTTCTTCAGAAGCTTCTGGTAATGAGTTTCCAAGCATAGGAAGATGGTATATGCTGTTAAACAAGCCAAACAACCTTCGAGATATGATTGGCCACCAAGCTTCTCTGCTTCTGCATAAAGGTTATTTAGAGTTTGAACTATTTCTTCAAACTGCTGCCTATCAATCTGGTTCTCCAGCTCCATGGAGAACATGGTCTGGAACTGGCAGCCTGTGCCACTGCTGTAGTCTCGCTGAATGAACACCTTTCTGGACTCTGGTGCCTGCCGCAGCCTCATGGCAAGGACAGGACAGGCCGCACTCTAATTTTTGTGTTTTTAGTAGAGACTTAGTTTCACCATGTTGGCCAGGCTGGTCTCAATCTCCTGACCTCAGGTGATCCGTTCACCTCAGCCTCCCAAAGTGCTGGGATTACAGGCGTGAGCCACTTCGCCCTGCCCTCCTATGAGTCTTTAATGCCAAGGATGCTTTGTCAAGATAAAGGCTCACGTCCATTTCAGTGTCAACTGTCAGGGACTCAGCTGCAGACACTTTTGACTCATCTGCTTTCTGTTTATTTGTTTTTGATTTTTTGTTTTTTGCAAGCCTTTATGCTGCCTTCCTGTCTTTTTTTTTTTTTGAGACCAAGTCTCGCTCTGTCCCCAGGCTGGAGTGCAGTGGCACGATCTCGGCTCACTGCAACCTCCACCTCCTGGGTTCAAGCGATTCTCTTGCCTCAGCCTCCCAAGTAGCTGGGGCTACAGGCATGAGCCACCGTGCCCAGCTTGCCTTCCTGTCTTTCTCCTCTTCCTGAGTCTCTTCCCCATCCCTACAGCATGGCCTTCACGTATGCCAAGCTTGCAAGCTTGCTGTTTGTTGCAAACAAACCTGGACTGACAATCTCTCTTCTGTCTTGTGGACAGCCAGACTGACTGTCCTCTTCTACCTGGGTGCCTGTGTACATGTCCTCTAACCCCTAACCCTAACCCTTTGCAGCTTCTGTTTCTTTTCTTTTCTTTTTCTTTTTTTTTTTTTTTGAGATGGAGTTTCACTCTTGCTGCCCAGGCTAGAGTGCAATGGCACGATTTCGGCTCACCGCAACCTCCGCCTCCCGATTCAAGCGATCTCCTGCCTCAGCCTCCCGAGTAGCTAGGATTACAGGCATGCACCACTATGCCCAGCTAATTTTGTACTTTTAGTAGAGATGGGCTTTCTCTATGTTGGTCAGGCTGGTCTCAAACTCCCGACCTCAGGTGATCTGCCTGCCTCGGCCTCCCAAAGTGTTGAGATTACAGGTGTGAGCCACGGATCCCAGCCAGCTTCTCTTTCTTTATCTATAAATAGAACTGTCGTGAAGATGCAATGAGATGAATTTTAGCTCAGAGCCTGCCACCTGGTGACTTACCCATGTTAGGTATTGTGGTTACAGCTCTGCTGTCAAACCACTTCTCCAACTCTCTTTCTAGCCTCAGTTCATTTGTCAAAGGGTTTGGCCCCAGTATTTTGCTGGATATTCAGAAGTACGACCTCACGTCTGCAGAATGCCACTGACTTTCACACGAGGCCTCCCAGGAAGGGATGCCAGGCCTCAGACACTAGCTGTTGGATCTCGGGACTTGCCACTCCACTTTGGCATTTTTCAGGACCACACGGCATACAGTTGATCTAACAGTCTTTCCTGTCCTCCCAGTGGTCAGCTGCAGCCCAGTTCTAGGGCTTCTGTGGGAGAAGACAGGAGAGGGCTGGGAGTCAGGGCACACAGATGTGTCAGATGAGGCTTTGCTTGCAAGGAGCTCACCACTTGGGTGGTGGAGAAGGCCCAGAAGGCACTACTACAGTGCTCCCAAATCAGGAAAAGATTGCTAAATGCCCGTATACTCAGGATCACATGGGAGCCCAGAGTTGGATGCCTGGATCAGCTGGGAGTCTACCTGACATTGATGATGTTTGGCTAGAATACTGATGGACAAGGCCAGGCGCGGTGGCTCACGCCTGTAATCCCAGCACTTTCAGAGGCCAAGGCGGGTGGATCACGAGGTCAGGAGATTGAGACCATCCTGGCTAACACGATGAAACCCCATCTCTACTGAAAATACAAAAAATTAGCTGGGCGTGGTGGTGGGCGCCTGTAGTCCCAGCTACTCAGGAGGCTGAGGCAGGAGAATGGCGTGAACCCAGGAGGTGGAGCTTGCATTGAGCCGAGATTGTGCCACTGCACTCCAGCCTGGGGGACAGAGCGAGACTCCGTCTCAAAAAAAAAAAAAATACTGATGGACGAATGGGAGGTGGCAAGACCGACACTGAGGGAAGGGCATCCCAGGCACAGGGAAGAGCATTTAGGAAGGCTTGAAACAGTCAGGTGCATTCTGGGAACTCCAAGTAATTCCACTCTTGAGTTGAGTGAGGGCTAAACACCTTCAAATCACAAAACATTCCAGCCACTGGTCTCTTCTTCTCCCTCCATTCCATCCTCAATACTATAGCTAGATTTATCTTCCTTCCTTCCTTTCTTTCTTTTTTAACATGGGGTTTCAGCCGGGCGCAGTGGCTCACCCCTGTATCCCAGCACTTTGGGAGGCTGAGGCGGGCAGATCACCTGAGGTCAGGAGTTCAAGAACAGCCTGGCCAACATGGAGAGACCCCATCTCTACTAAAAATATAAAATTAGCCAGGCGTGGTGGTGCATGCCTGTAACCCCAGCTACTTGGAAGGCTGAGGCAGGAGAATCGCTTGAACCTGGGAGGCAGAGGTTGCAGTGAGCTGGGACCGTGCCATTGCACTCTAGCCTGGGCAATAAGAGCGAAACTCCATCTCAAAAAAATAAATAAAAATAAAATAAAATAAAATAAATTTGGCTCCTCTGATTTTAAAATCGATCGGGGTTTCCTATGACCTATAGGACCAAGAACAAACTCCCTCTCTTGACATTGAAGACTCTTCACAGCCTTCTCCCAAACTCCTTCCACCTCTCCTCCCTACCTTTTGTTATAGTTACAGCCACTTGGATGATTTCCTGTTCTTAAAGCAGGCCAGTCACATTTTTTGTCCAGACTTCTCCCTCTGCCTGGAATGTTCTCCCCTTCTTCCCTGGGCAAATTCCCCCCATCTTCCAAGACCCAATGCAGAAGACAGGTTCATTAGAAGCCCCTTCAGGGTACTTCCAGTGCCTAGAATCCAGCCTGACATTTTGGTTGAATAATTAATTAATCAGATCAAGGACCTCTTCCCTGAGTACCCAACATAGCCCCCCTCCCCAACGCCTGTGCTCCCTGCACACCTCCTCCATGCTATGTTGGAACTTCTTGAAGTCAGGCTTCATTTCTTTTGTTTCGTTTCTTTCTTTGTTTTCTCTTCTCTTTTTCTTTTTCTTTCTTTCTTTCTTTTTTTTTTTTTTTTTTCGAGACAAGAGTCTCACTGTCGCCCAGGCTGCAGTGCAGTGGTGCCGTCTCAGCTCACTGCAGCCTCCACCTCCCTGGTTCAAGTGATTCTCCTGCCTCAGCTGTCGGAGTAGCTGGGACTACAGGCACCCACCACCACACCCGGCTAATAGAGACAAGGTTTCACCATGTCAGCCAGGCTCATCTCGAATTCCTGACCTCAGGTGATCCGCCCGCCTCAGCCTCTCAAAGTGCTGGGATTAAAGGCGTAAGCCACTGTGCCCGGCTGCGTTTCTTTTTTCTTTTCTTTTCTTTCTTTCTTTCTTTCTTTCTTTTTTTTTTTTTTTTTTTTTTTGAGACAGAATCTTGCTCTGTCACCCAGGCTGGAGTGCAATGGCACCATCTCAGCTCACTGCAATCTCCGCCTCCCGGGTTCAAGAGATTCTCCTGCCTCAGCCTCCGGAGTCGCTGGGATTGCAGGCACCCGCCACCGTGCCCGGCTAATTTTTGTATTCTTAGTAGAGACGGGGTTTCACCACCTTGGCCAGGCTGGTCTCAAACTCCTGACCTCGTGATCCACCCGCCTCGGCCTTCCAAAGTGCTGGGATTACAGGCGTGAGCCACCGCGCCCGGCCTCCGGCCGCGTTTCTTTTCTTTTTTAGAGGAGTCAGGCTGGAGTGCCGTGGCACAATAGCTCACTGCAGCTTCGAACTCCTGGGCTCAAGTGCTCCTCCCGCCTCAGCCTCCTGAGTAGCTAGGACTGCAGGCGTGCACCACCACGCCCGGCTTTTTTTTTATTATTATTAATTTTTTTGTAGAGACGGGATCTTGTTGTATTGCCCAGGCTGGTCTCCAACTCGTAGCCTCAAGCGATCCTCCCACCTCGGCCTCCCAAAGTGCTGGGATTACAGCTGTGAGCCACCGCGCCTGGCACAGGCTTCATTTCTGATGGTCCTTCCTTTTTCCTTGATGCCTTTCTCTGTACCTGGCACATAGAGGTGCCTGGTACGTGTTTGTTGAATGAATGAATGAATGAGTGAATGAGCGAACATGCCATTTCACCTTATATATCTTGTGAACCTGCCAGGCCCGGGCCTGATGTCATAGCCTCTACCCCTGGCCCGAGTCTCCAGTCCCCTGCGTGTCTGCTGACCACAGCACGAACGCCAGCGCACTACCCTCCTCAACCCCAGCCCAGGCCCCTTCCCCGTCGGGGTCCCCCCAACCCTTTCCCCGCCCGCTTCCCCGCCCCGGGGCCGCTTAGCCTCCAGCTCAGCGGGAGGTATCCCCGCCCACGGCCAGGATTGGAGGATGGAGGCAACGCCCACCCCGCCGGGCGGCCTCCTATTGGCGCGGCCGTCGCCAGGGGTGGGGACAGGACCGGCGGCTGCTGACGCCATCCCGGCCAGAAAAGCCCTGGCCAGTGGCGGGCGCGACACTATCCGTGCGGCCAGGCGGAGGTGAGTGCGCGGCGGCCGGATGGGCGGGACGGGCGTGGAGGACGCCGAGCACCGTGGCGCGCGCTCACGTCCGCGTCCCCAAGGGCTGCGCTCCCTCAAGCGCAGTGCCCAGAACTCGGAGCCAGCCCGGCCCGGGGGACCCTGCTGGCCAAGGAGGTCGTCAGTCCGGTCTTGTCTTCCAGACCCGGAGGACCGAAGCTTCCGGACGACGAGGAACCGCCCAACATGGCCTCGGAGGTGAGTGGGACCTCGGGGACTCCGGTCCTCCTAGCCTCCAAAGGAGAGAGTGGGGGCGCCAGACCTGCCTCGGGCCACCCTGCTGGGAATCGCCCTCCAGGAAGCAATTTTGAAAATTACCTAGGAAGCCTGCACCCCCAGCCCTCCCGGGCGCATCATCTGGAGCCCAGCAGTCACCTTTACCAGGACTCACCAGTATCCGCAGGCAGCCCTTGTGGCAAACCCACCAACCCACACTACTAGGGGTAGAGTGGCTCTGCCCTCACCTCACAGTGATGCCTGCCTGGCCAGGAAAAGTGGCTCCCAAGCCTTCAGCCTTCCAACTCTTCCTTCCTTCTTACCACGTGTCCTCCTGTCAGGTCCCACCCCACACCACATCCCTTCTCCTGCTAGAGCAATTGTCCCTGTTTATAGAATAAAGCTCAGCCCCTAAGTGTTCTTGTCCTTGACTGTGGCATGTGGAAAGAGCCAGGAAAAAGGGGACGTCGCCTCGTGGCTCCAGCAACCCTGGTGCCTGGTCCCTTCCTGTCTCACTGGACCCTGCCTCTTAGGGTCAGTGGCTCCTGGCCTCTCCTCCTGACCACTGAGATGCTGGATTCCCAGGCAGAGGTTTTCCTTCCTTGGGCCATAGTTGATTTATCTGGCAATGGGGGTAATAATAGCTGTCGGCCTCACTCTGTAAGGCACTAGATTATGAGGCCATTGCTTTGGACCCTTCAGGTGAGAGGGGCTGTTCGCCTGATGCTTGATGAAGGGAACTCCGGGAAGCAGGAGGTCTGGGTTCCAGGCCCTTTTGGCCTTCATTAGCTAGCAATTCACTTCCTCTTTCTCAATGCCCTGCAAGCTCAGTGCCCTGCAAGCTTCTGGGTCATGGCAGGGGGGTAGGGCCTGGACTTTGGAGCCAAACAGACTTGGTTTCTGTACCAGTCACTTGAGCCCTTTAAACCTCTTTCCTCATTTGTGAAATAGGGGTAATATTGCCCACCTCATAAAAGGCCGTAATAACATATGTGAAATCCCTAGCACAGGGCTGAGCAACAGTAGGTGCTCAATAAATGGTGGCTAACCACAACAATACTGATATTTCTACTTTGGGAGGCCGAGGCGGGAGGACTGCTGAAGCCCAGGAATTCCAGACCAGCCAGGGCAATGTAATGAGACCCTGTCTCTACAAAAAGATTTTGAAAATTACCCAGGTGTGGTGGCGTACACCTGTAGTCTCACAGGAGGCGGAGGCATGAGGATTGCTTGAGCCCAGGAGTTTGAGACTGCAGTGAGCATGATCTCACCACTGCACTCCAGCCCAGGCAACAGAGTGAGATCCAGTTTCAAAAAAATAAAAATAAAAAAACCTGGCAGGCATGGTGGCTCACACCTGTAATCCCAGCACTTTGGGAGGTCGAGGTGGGCAGATCACCTGAGGTCAGGAGTTTGAGACCAGCCTGGCCAACATGGTGAAACCCCGTCTCTACTAAAAATGCAAAAATTAGCTGGGTGTAGTGGTGGGTGCCTGTAGTCCCAGCTATTCGGGAGGCTGAGGCAGGAGAATCGCTTGAACTCGGGAGGCGGAGGTTGCAGTGAGCTGAGATCGCACCACTGCACTCCAGCCTGGGCGACAAAGCAAGACTCCACCTCAAAAAAAGAAAAAAAACCCACAAGTCCCAAAACCAAAACTGGTATTTCCCATGTACATTCGACCTTAACTGTTGCTCATTCAACCCAGCCCAACTCAGTGCCCCATCCCCTGGCCCTGAAGAGACCATTCTGGCCCAGATGTGTCCTGGCTTGGAGTAGCACCTTCTGCTACCACACTAGGCCTCCACTCTCCTCAGTGCCCAAGGGGAGGCACCTCACTCTGATCTCCCTGTGGGGTCCTCTTATGCCTGCCAGTAAGGATAGGAGTTTGGTTCTAGAGCAGAGTGGTCTGGCTTCCAACAAGCCCAGTGTTCTAGGTGACCTCAGGTTGCCCCAGGCCTTCCTGTAGGTTGGCACTAATTGGTTTGGCTGCAGCTCCACTTATTAAGTAGTTATTTTTATTACTAACAACCTAGGCAGGGTGGCCCAGGAGCCCGCTGGGGGAGGCGGTGCCAGGCTCCTGGCTGAGGGGCAGGCTGGCCCCAATTCTGACTGGCTGGCTCCAGTGATCAGGACCAGGGCCCCACGTGGTGCTTTGCTGGAGATCTAGGCTTGGTGGGGCAGCTGTGGGGTAAGGGGCAGGACCAGCTCAAAGATGGGGTGGGGGCGGAGGCTGCCTCTGCAGGGCAGAGTCCTTTGGCAGTCGGGACTGTTGGGCATAGAGGAGTCAGCTCACAGCTCAGGGCCAGAGCACTGGAGAGGTCTCTGGGGTGCATACAGGAACCAGGAGTGGAGCTGAAGCATGTCCTATCCCCTGCCAGCCCTCCCTTAGTAACAGCTGGCATTTCTCGAGTCCTTCCTGAGCACCAGGCACCGTGTTATGTATGCAATTTGCAAATATTATCTGATTAAATGCTCACAATAAGGCTATCAGAGAGGTACTATTATTATCCTTATCTTATTATTATTATTATTATTATTTTTAAGAAGGAGTCTTGCTCTGTCGCCCAAGCTGGAGTACAATGGCGCCATCTCTGCTCACCGCAACCTCTACCTCCAGGATTCAAGTGATTCTCCTGCTTCAGACTCCCAAGTGGCTGGGACTACAGCTTCCTGCCACCGCGCCTGGCTAATGTTTATATTTTTAGTACAGATGAGGTTTCACCATGTTGGCCAGGCTGATCTCGAACTCCTGACCTCAAGCGATCCACCTGCCTGGGCCTCCCAACCCTGAGGGTTTTTGTTTTTGTTTTTGTTTTGAGACAGAGTCTTGCTCTGTCGCCCAGGCTGGAGTGCAGTGGCACGATCTCAGCTCACTGCAAGCTCCGCCTCCCGGGTTCACGCCATTCTCCTGCCTCAGCCTCCCAAGTAGCTGGGACTACAGGCGCCCAACACCCCCATGCCTGGCTAATTTTTTTGTGTGTGTTTTCAGTAGAGACGGAGTTTCACCATGTTAGCCAGGATGGTCTCCATCTCCTGACCTCGTGATCTGCCCACCTCAGCCTCCCAAAGTGCTAGGATTATAGGTGTGAGCCACCACGCCCAGCCCCTGAGGTTTAATAATAGGTGCCAGGCCAGGTGGTTAATAGAAGTCTGGGGCATTGTAGGGGGACAGAGGAGGATATATGTCCCCATTGGCCATTGTAGACTCCCTTCCACAAAAAGGACGTCAGTGAAGTGACATGCCCACCTCTACCCCACCCTCCTCCCAGTCCTGGGCACTAGGGCTGCTCCCCAGGTGTTCTGTACCCCCTCCCCACTCTGTCCCATGCCCTGGCCTCTGCCCTCTTTCAAAACATAGATGTGGCTGGCGCCTAGGCTCATGCCTATAATCTCAGCACTTTGGGAAGCTGAGGCTGGAGGACAGCTTGAGCCCAGGAATTCAAGACCAGCCTGGGCAACATAGTGAGACCCTGTCTCTACCAATTATTTTATTTTATTTTATTTTGTTCATTTATTTATTTATTTTGAGACAGAGTTTTGCTCTGTCACCTAGGCTGGAGTGCAGTGGCGTGATCTTGGCTCACTGCAACCTCCGCCTCCCGGGTTCAAGCGATTCTCCTGCCTCAGCCTCCTAAGTAGCTGGAACTACAGGCGAGTGCCACCACGCCTGGCTAATTTTTGTATTTTTAGTAGAGACCAGGTTTCACCATGTTGACCAGGATGGTCTCTGTCTCCTGACCTCATGATCCACCCACCTTAGCCTTCCAAAATGCTGGGATTACAGGCATGAGCCACCACTCCCAGTCCTATAAAATTTTAAAAAAATGTCTGGGTGTGGTGGCGCATGCTTGTAGTCCCAACTATTGGGGAGGCTGAGGCAAGAGGATTGGTTGAGACCAGGAGTTTGAGGCTGCAGTGAGCTATGATGGTGCCACCGCACTCCAACCTGGGTAACAAAGTGAGACCCTGTGTCTAAAAAAGAATTTAAAGGCCGGGTGTGGTGGCTCACACCCGTAATCCCAGGACTTTGGGAGGCCGAGGTGGGCAGATCACGAGGTCAGATTAAGACCATCCTGGCTAACAAGGTGAAACCACGTCTCTACTGAAAAAAAAAAATACAAAAAATTAGCCAGGCATGGTGGTGGGCACCTGTAGTCCCAGCTACTCAGGAGGCTGAGGCAGGAGAATGGCGTGAATCTGGGAGGTGGAGCTTGCAGTGAGCCAAGATCCTGCCACTGCACTCCAGCCTGGGTGACAAAGAGAGACTCCATCTCAAAAAAAAAAAAAAAAAAAAAGAATTAAAAAAGATTTTTTTAATGAACAAAACAGGCTCGGCACAGTGGCTCATGCCTGTAATCCCAAGCACTTCGGGATGCCAAGGTCAGGGGATCACCTGAGATCAGGAGTTCGAGACCAGCCTGACCAACATGGTGAAACCCCGTCTCTACTAAAAATATAAAACTCAGCCAGGTGTGGTGGCACACGCCTGAAATTCCAGCTACTCGGGAGGCTGAGGCAGGAAAATTGGCTTGAAGCCGGGAGGTGGAGGTTGCAGTGAGCCGAGATCACGCCACTGCACTCCAGCCTAGGCAACAGAGTGAGACTCTATCTCAAAGAAAACGAACAAAACATAGATGCCTACATACCATTCCTCTGCCCTTGGCTCCTGGGGAGTAAGGGATCACCCAGTGACCTCCTAGAAGGCCAGTGACAATGGGGGGTGTCAGGGTGCTTTTCAGAGCCAAGGGAGTGGTAGGAATTGGGATCTTAGTCCAGCTCCAAGCTGTGAGGGAGAGAGTTGCAGGGCACTTAAGCTTGGTGGAGACCCTCAAGGCCTCTTTGCCTGTCCCTGCAGCAAAGGTTCTGGACACCAGAGCCAAGTCCAGAAGCCCTGGTGGAACAGGGGTGAAAAGCATAGGTTCTGACTTCAGACTGCTGGGCCGCAGCCCTGGCTATCCCACCCCAGGTGAGAGCAGGCTGCTCTGTGCCTCAGTTTCCCCATCTTCATAGTGGAATTGTATTGGTGCCTACCCAGAGGGTTGTGTCAACAATTAGGATGGCACCTAGCACCTTGGTCAGTGGTGGGAAAGGTTCCAGAAGTTCTGCTGTGGTCCCAGGGGTGTCTCAGGCCCTGCCATCATCTCCTTGGAGGGGTGCCATGTGGTGGGAAAGAACCCCAACTTCAAGGCCACACACAGTGGCTCATGCCTGTAATCCTAGCACTTTCAGAGGCCAAGATGGGAGGATCACCTGAGGTCAGGAGTTCAAGACCAGCCTGGCCAACATGGTGAAACCCCATCTCTACTAATGATACAAAAATTAGCTGGGTGTGGTGGCACGTGCCTGTAATCCCAGCTACTTGGGAGTCTGAGGCAGGAGAATCTCTTGAACCTGGGAGGCAGAGTTTGCAGTGAGCTGAGATGGCACCACTGTACTCCAGCCTGGCCGACAAAGTGAGACTCTGTCTCAAAAAAAAAAAAAAAGAACCCAAACTTTTGGTGTTCAGCCATGTTCCCATGCTCACTCCCAGGGTGGTGACTCTGGGAAGGTCTCAGCCTCCTTGTCTGCCCAGTTAGAATGATCTGATGCCCCTGCTACCATCAGACTTGATAAGTTTCCCAAAGACTCTTTGCAAGAAGCACTGTTCTGGAGGGTGGAGGAGAGACTAATTGTTCTTGCTCTCCTGGCCAGAGTGGGAAGCTTTGGGGTGGCCGGTTTGTGGGTGCAGTGGACCCCATCATGGAGAAGTTCAACGCGTCCATTGCCTACGACCGGCACCTTTGGGAGGTGGATGTTCAAGGCAGCAAAGCCTACAGCAGGGGCCTGGAGAAGGCAGGGCTCCTCACCAAGGCCGAGATGGACCAGATACTCCATGGCCTAGACAAGGTACTTGCCGTGGCCCAAGCCCCACCCAAGGCCCCTTCCCTGTGGCCCCAGGCTCCCACCAAATCCCTGAGCAAACAGTGCAGTGTTGCCCATCTGTGGTTTCACATTGAACTAATTATATACTCAAGTGCTGTTTAACTGTGTGCCTTGATGACTGCCTCTCTCCATCCTTTAATGACCCCTGTGGCCCACATGGCTCATGGGTAAAGGTGTGCTGGGCCTGAGATGCCCCCTCCCAGGGTGCGCTTCCAGGACTCAGCTCCTGGGCAGGGACAGTCAGTCACCAGGGATAGGGTGGGACCAAGGCAGGGGCTCTCTTGGCTGCTGATGCCTGCTCACCTGACCCCGGCATTGCTGCTACCCACTACAGGTGGCTGAGGAGTGGGCCCAGGGCACCTTCAAACTGAACTCCAATGATGAGGACATCCACACAGCCAATGAGCGCCGCCTGAAGGTACGACCCCTGGAGCCCCACCGCTTTCCTTGCCTCCCCTCTCCACCTTGCCCAGGGCCACTTTGAGCATTAGCACCATTCTGTTTACTTCGCCATTGGCAGACAGCATGTGAGACCTCAGGACATGAGCCAGGCACCCTGGCTCATGCCTATAATCCTAGCACTTTGGGAGGCTGAGGTGGGAGGATTGCTTGAGACCAGGAGTTCGAGACCAGCCTGGGCAACATAATGAGGTCCCACAGCTACAAAAATTAAAAAAAGAAAAGAAAAAAAGAACAGGCCTCAGCAGAAATGGCGAGAGATTTGGGGAGGACCCGGAGCCCTGGGGTATGGAGGTAGGTTGGCAGGGCTGATGAGGAAAACTGCCCTGCCTGGGTTGACTCCTCTGGGGGTATAGACCGTGACCCTGGGTCTCCCTTCACCTCCAGGAGCTCATTGGTGCAACGGCAGGGAAGCTGCACACGGGACGGAGCCGGAATGACCAGGTGCTTTAGCCCCTCCACCCCCTGCTCCGTGTTGTCCCAACCTTGAGGAGCCCAGGGGGCAGTTAGAGTTCTGCAGCGGTCCTGGCTCCTCAGGGAAGCAACACATCGGCCTCCCTGAGCACCATCTCCTCCTTGCACAGGTGGTCACAGACCTCAGGCTGTGGATGCGGCAGACCTGCTCCACGCTCTCGGGCCTCCTCTGGGAGCTCATTAGGACCATGGTGGATCGGGCAGAGGCGTGAGTCCTACAGGGACACCCAGGGGGCAGACAGAGGTGTGATGGAAGCCTGAACAGGAGACCTAGGGGGCAGGGGTGAACAGCGTGGGGGTGCCAGGCCCTGGGGGACAGGGGCATCCCAGAACTCCAGGATCGAGGCAGAGCAGCCAGGAGTGGGCCATTTCCTGCAGGCCCCAATACTCCCATGCCAGTCTAGCTCAGCAGGCAGAGAAGACTAACCCTTCGTGGGGCTGGGTGCGGTGGCTCACGCCTGTAATCTCAGCACTTTGGGAGGCCGAGGTGGGTGGATCACCTGAGGTCAGGAGTTCGAGACCAGCCTGGCCAACATGGGAAAACTCTGTCTCTACTAAAAATACAAAAATTAGGCAATGTGGTGGTGTGCGCCTGTAATCCCAGCTACTCGGGAGCCTGAGGCAGAAGAACTGCTTGAACCCGGGAGGAGGAGGTTGCAATGAGCCGAGATCGCGCCATTGCACTCCAGCCTGGGCTACAGAGCGAGACTCCTGTCTCAAAAAAAAAGAAAAAAAAAAAAGAAAACTCACCATTTGCAGATTTGAAGGCAGGAAGCTAAGCCAAGCACAGCTAGCTTGGCTGTGCCTGGAGCAGCCAGAGTCACTCCCCACACTGCCTGTCCCCCAGATCCCCCATCCTAAGCTTCGCCTCCCCATCCAGCCCATCTGGCAAAAGACAGAGCCAAAGGCTGCCTCCTGCTGGCCTCATTTCAGGCTTTGGCTTCTGGGACCTGGTGTCTTTGGGACTGGATTTGTTCCTTGCAGACCTGGACGAAGAGCTGCTGAGAAGTCTCCATGTGTTGTCAGAGACCCCTCCTCTTCCTCAACTCCCTGTGACCCCTGTTGTGCAGACTTGGGGGAAAACAAGGGCACAAGAATTGTCACCCAGCAGGTGGTGTGGGGCTGCTAGGAGGAACAGGGAGTGTCTGCTACTGAGTTCAGGGTTTCTTTAATTTTTTGTTGTTGTTGTTTGTTGTTGTTTTTTTTTTTTTGAGACAGGGTTTTGCTCTGTCACCTAGTCTGGAGTGTAGTGGCGCTATCTGAGCTAACTGCAAACTCTGCCTCCTGGGTTCAAGTGATTCTAGTGCCTCAGCCTCCCAAGTAGCTGAGATTACAGGTGTGCACCACCATGTCCAGCTAATTTTTGTATTTTTTTCAGTAGAGATGGGTTTTGCCATGTTGACCAGGCTGGTCTTGAACTCCTGAGCTCAGGTGATCTGCCCGCGTCGGCCTGCCAAAGTGCTAGGATTACACCCATAAGCCACTGCGCTCAGCTTAATTTTTAAATTTTTAACTTTTTAAATTGTCTTTAGAGATGAGATCCTGCTCTGTCACCTAGGCTGGAGTGCAATGGCTTGGTAATAGCTCACTGCAGTCTCAAACTCCTGGACTCAAATGATCCTCCCACCTCAGCTTTCTGAGTAGCTAGGACCACAGGTGTGCACCACCTGTGAGACAGAGTCTTGCTCTGTTGCCCAGGCTGGAGTGCAGTGGCGTGATCTCCACTCACTGCAACCTCTGCCTCCCAGGTTCACGCCATTCTCCTGCCTCAGCCTCCCGAGTAGCTGGGAGTACAGGTGCCCACCACCACGCCCGGCTAATTTTTTGTATTTTTAGTAGAGACGGGGTTTCACCATGTTAGCCAGGATGGTCTCAATCTCCCGACCTCATGATCCACCCACCTCGGACTCTCAAAGTGCTGGGATTACAGGTGTGAGCCACCGTGCCCAGCCGCGAATTCTTTAAATTTTTTGTAGAAACAGGGTCTCACTATGTGGCTCAGGCTGGTCTCAAACTCCCGGCCTTAAGTGATCCTTCCCTCTTGGCCTCCCAAAGTGCTGGGATTAAAGACTTGAGCCACCGTGCCTGGCCTTGAGTACAGAATTTCTTCATGGGGTGATGAAAATGTTCTAAAATTGGTTGTGGTGATGGTTGTACAGTAAAGTGTAAACTTTAAATGAGTAAATTGTGAATGATATCTCAGTAAAGCTGGTTTATTTAAAACAACAGGCCAGGTGCTGTGGCTCACGCCTGTAATCCCAGCACTTTGGAAGGCTGAGGCGGGTGAATCACCTGAGGTCAAGAGTTCGAGACCAGCCTGGCCAACATGGTGAAACCCCATCTCTACTAAAAATACACAAAATTAGCTGGGTGTGATGGTGGGCACCTGTAGTCCCAGCTACTTGGGAGGCAGGAGAATCTCTTGGACCTGGGAGGTGGAGGTTGTAGTGAGCCGAGATCACGCCACTGCATTCCAGCCTGGGCAACAAGAGCGAAACTCTTTCTCAAAAACAACAACAACAAAAAAACAGGCCAGGTATGGTGGCTCATATCTGTAATCCCAGCCCTTTGGGAGGCCAAGGCAGGAGGACTGCCTGAAACCAGGAGTTTCAGACCACTCTGGGCAACATAGCAAGACCCCATCTTTTTTTTTTTTTTTGAGACGGAGTCTCGCTCTGTCGCCCAGGCTGAAGTGCAATGGTGCAATCTCAACTCACTGCAAGCTCTGCCTCCTGGGTTCATGCCATTCTCCTGCCTCAGCCCTCCTGAGTAGCTGGAACTACAGGCGCCCACCACTACGCCCGGCTAATTTTTTGTATTTTTAGTATAGATGGGGTTTCACCGTGTTAGCCAGGATGGTCTCGATCTCCTGACCTTGTGATCTGCCCGCCTCGGCCTCCCAAAGTGCTGGGATTACAGGCGTGAGTTACCGCGCCTGGCCACAAGACCCCATCTTTACAAAAAACTAAAAATTAGCTGGGCATGGTGGCATGTCCCTTTAGTCCCAGCTACTCAGGAGGCTGAGACAGGAGGATCGCTTGAGCCCAGGAGATCGAGGCAGCAGTGAGCTATGATCATGCCACTGCACTCCAGTCTGGGCAACAGAACGAGACCTTGTCTCTAAAAATAAAAACAAAACAAAACAACAAGAAAACAGGACCATCACTCACAGCACCTCTGCCTCTGCCCTGCCTACTTGAATGAGGTGCAGGGCATCTCACCTGCTCAGAGCAGCCCTTGAATGAGCCCCAGCTATTTCTAGGGTCCTCAAACGAAACCTCCCACGGCCAAGTCATACCCAACATGGGCCTCCTCCCCTATTCTGGCCCCTGCTCGGAGATGCTGAGTGACAGAGGCTGGACTTGGGGTGTTTCTGGCAAAGCCTCACTGCAGGAAGCCCCACAGCTCAGGCCCAGTCCTTGGTTCACACGGTCCCACTTCCAGCTTCTTTTGCCCTTAAGACTGATTTGTCCCTGGGAGATCACCAGATCCCTCATTCAGGTGGAGTGCTGCAGCGTGACACTTTTTCCAGGGGTGACCCAGGCCTGCAGGGTTCCAGTGTCACAGGCAGGCCTTGCATGAGCCTCCACCCGAGCTTCTGCTCCTCCTCTCCCACAGGGAACGTGATGTTCTCTTCCCGGGGTACACCCATTTGCAGAGGGCCCAGCCCATCCGCTGGAGCCACTGGATTCTGAGGTGAGCCAGGTGAGGTGCAGGGGCTGTGCTAGAGGGGAGGACCCCGGCTGCCCTGACCCTCCTGCCCCTGGCTTCCCACAGCCACGCCGTGGCACTGACCCGAGACTCTGAGCGGCTGCTGGAGGTGCGGAAGCGGATCAATGTCCTGCCCCTGGGGAGGTGGGTGAGGCTCCAGTGCCCCGAGGGCCTGGTGGGGGTGGCTGCTGCATAGCCTTAGGGATTGACAGAGCTGGGAAGTGCAGAGTGGGACAGAAAACCGCCTTATCTGCTCAGCGGGGGACTCTGCATGGAGCCCCAGCTCTCGCTAAGGTGACGACCAAGCCATTGAATGTGTCTGAGCAGGGCCAGAGCCCTCCAGCAAGGCTCCTGGCAAGCCCAGCCTGCTGCCCTCAGCCTGACATGTGGGAACATGTGTCAGGAGACAAGTGTCCTGCACCCAGGGTGACTTAGTGCTTGGGGACAAGTGTTTTGTGGACACTTGGGGACAAGTATTCTGTACCCAAGGAGACTGGGCCAGGGAAGAGGCTAAGCGCCAGGTGGTTGCCCTGGCAACCAGGACTTGGTTCTCTGTGTGTGCGTTCGTGTGTGTGTGTGTGTGTGTGTGTGTGTGTGTGTGTGTGTCAGGGCTGCCTGCCAGGAGCCCTGGTCACCATGAATCCCTGTCCCTGCAGTGGGGCCATTGCAGGCAATCCCCTGGGTGTGGACCGAGAGCTGCTCCGAGCAGGTGAGACGTCCTGCCCCTCCTCCCCAGGGAGAATCACCCTCAGCACCCGCCAAGACCTGCAGACACACCTGAAACCAGAGGGCAGGGGCCTGTGGCTCCTGGTGAAACCTTCATTCATTGCCTATGGGCACTGAGGTCATCAAGTTCAGGGGTCACTCATGGCAGGGATGCCTGGTACTGAGAGACTCAGGGCTCCTGCCTCCCTCCTGGGACTGTGCAAAAGATCCCTCCCCCCAGCTGTTGCCCCACCCTGATCAGGGGAGGGGGCTGGGCAACCTAGTTGGGGGAGAGGGGGCCACTCCCTGTCCTCCAGCTTAGCCCTGCTTCCTCCCACCCCCCCAGAACTCAACTTTGGGGCCATCACTCTCAACAGCATGGATGCCACTAGTGAGCGGGACTTTGTGGGTGAGTCCTGGGGAGCCAGTCCCCTGCCCTGTGCCTCACTTTAGTCCTTCAGCCCAGCTTCTCTCCAGTTTCCTCCCACACCTCCACGGACAGGCTGGTTGTGGTGATATTGTACACTGAAGTATAAACCTTAAATGGGTAAAGTGGGTGGGGCATGGTGGTTCACCATGCCCAGCACTGGCCAACATGGTGAAACCCCATCTCTACTAAGAATACAAAATTTAGCTGGGTGTGTGGTGGCAGGTGCCTGTAATCCCAGCTACTCAGGAGTTCTGAGGCCAGAGAATCACTTGAACCCAGGAGGCGGAGGCTGCAGTGAGCCAAGATCACGCCAGTGCACTCCAGCCTGGGCAACAAGAGCGAAACTCCATCTCAAAAAATAAAATAAAATAAAATAAAAATAAATAGGCCAGGCATGGTGGCTCACGCCCGTAATCCTAGCACTTTGGGAGTCCGAGGCAGGTGGATCACATGAGGTCAGGAGTTTAAGACCAGCCTGGCCAACATGGTGAAACCCCATCTCTACTAAAAGCACAAAAATTAGCTGGGCATGGTGGTGCATGCCTGTAATCCCAGCTACTCGGGAGGCTAAGGAAGGAGATTCGCTGGAACCTGGGAGGTAGAGGTTGCAGTGAGCCAAGATTGTGCCACTGTACTCCAGCCTGTGCATTGGGAGCGAGACTCCATCTCAATAAATAAATAAATAAATAAATGGATAAATTGTATGTGAGTGATAACTCAGTAAAGCTGGTTTATTTAAAACAACAACAATAACAAAAAACACGCTAGGTGCAATGGCTTACGTTTGTAATCCTAGCACTTTGGGAGGCCAAAGCAGAAGGATTGCTTGAGCCCACAAGTTTCAGAACAGCTTGGGCGACATAGCACGACCCCATCTTTGCGAAAAATGAAAATTTAGCCGGGTCCCCCCACCGCCTAACCTCCTCCTGCCCCCTGTATGGTCAGGCTGGGTGGGGATGGGAGAGGCCTGGTGACTGGGAACCTTTTCTCCCAGCCGAGTTCCTGTTCTGGGCTTCGCTGTGCATGACCCATCTCAGCAGGATGGCCGAGGACCTCATCCTCTACTGCACCAAGGAATTCAGCTTCGTGCAGCTCTCAGATGCCTACAGGTAAGCCCTGAACTGCCACCTCCATCTGCCGCTGCCGGCCTCTGTATCCCCCGCCGCCCGCGGACGTGGCTGCCTTCCTCCCCGTCCCACCCCTCCGCCAGACCTGGCCATTGCGGCGCTGGACCAGCCAAGGGTCCAGCCCCTTCAGCGCCAGCACCTCTGTCCCCAGCACGGGAAGCAGCCTGATGCCCCAGAAGAAAAACCCCGACAGTTTGGAGCTGATCCGGAGCAAGGCTGGGCGTGTGTTTGGGCGGGTGAGCAAGGCAGGGGGAGGGGCGGGGCCTCTGGGCTGATGGTGGGTGGCCAGGGGGGCAGGATCCCGGGTCCAGCCCCTGTGCCTCCCTCTTCCCGCAGTGTGCCGGGCTCCTGATGACCCTCAAGGGACTTCCCAGCACCTACAACAAAGACTTACAGGTGCGAGGCCGGGGGAGGCCTGGCTAGTACGTGCCAGTTCTCAGGGCTCTGGCACACTCAGGCAGGGCCCCACCCCGGGATTGCCATACATCCTCCCATCCTGTGCACACAGCTCCATCCGTGGCTGCCCTTGAACTCTCTGCCCTTCCTTTGTTGGGGTATTGAGTGTTCTTCCCATGGAAGGCAGTGGGGATGCCTCAGTGGGGGGGTGGGGCTGTGGGGACCCTGGGTGCCAGGGGGCTGCTAGGCCCTCACCTCCTGCCATGTGCCTCCCAGGAGGACAAGGAAGCTGTGTTTGAAGTGTCAGACACTATGAGTGCCGTGCTCCAGGTGGCCACTGGCGTCATCTCTACGCTGCAGGCAAGACATCACCCCCCTGCTTCTCCTCCCCTAGGTCCCAGGCACTGGGGTGGGCATGCGGGGAGGGTGGCCTTGGGAGGAGGTGAGGTGGGGCTGGAGGACCTGGGGCAGGGAAGGAGAGGTGTGCTCGCTCCTGCTCCTGGGGAACAGGGAAAGGACAGAAACTGCTGCCATGCAGTGGAAGTAGATGAGACTCAGGGGGCCTGGGGCCTGTCAAATGGCCTGACCAGAACTCTTTAAAAAAAGAAAATCTAAACAAAAGGCCAGGTGCAGTGGCTCATGCCTGGAATCTCACACTTTGGGAGGCCGAGGCAGATGGAGCACTTGAGGTCAGGGGTTTGAGACCAGCCTGGCCAACATGGCGTAACCACGTCTCTACTAAAAATACAAAAATTAGCCAGGCGTGATGGCCCACACCTGTAATCCCAGCTACTCAGGAGGCGGAGGCAGAAGAATAGCTTGAACCCAGGAGATGGAAGTTGTAGTGAGCCAAGATCATGCCGCTGCACTCCAGCCTGGACCACAGAGTAAAACTCCATCTACAAATATATAAATTAAATTAAATTAAATTAAATATCTTTAAAAAACATTTTTTAGAGACAGGGTCACTCTCTGTCGCCCAGGCTGGAGTGCAGTGGTGCGGTCGTAGCTCACTGCAGCCTCAAACTCTTGGGCTCAAGTGATCTTCCCACCTCAGTCTCCAGAGTAGCTGGGACTACAAACATGCGCCACCACGCCTGGCTAATTTTTTTATTTTTTGTAGAGACAGGGTCTCCCTATGTTTCCCAGGCTGGTCTCAAATTCCTGGCCCCAAGCCATCCTCCCACCTTGGTCTCCCAAGGTGCTGGGATTATAGGCATGAGCCACTTTGCCTGGCTGATTTCTTTTAAAATCAATTATTATGGGAAATTTATGTATATAACAGCTAGAGAATGCATAATGAACCCTATGTACCGACACCCAGCTTCAATGATAATCAACTCACGGACATCCTGGCTCCAGCTGTCTTTACCCACAGCTCTCTCCCACTCCCTTACCCCCTTATTTTGAAGCAAATTCCCATCATCACATCATTTCATTCCTAAATAGTTCAGGATATGTCTTGAAATCAGTGTTTCTTGGCTGGGTGCAGAGCCTCATGCCTGTAATCCCATCAATTTGCGAGACTAAGGTGGGCAGATCACTCGAGGTCAGGAGTTCGAGACCAGCCTGGCCAACATGGCGAAACCCCGTCTTTACTAAAAATATAAAAATTAGCTGGGTGTGGTGGTACACGCCTGTAATCCCAGCTACTCAGGAGGCTGAGGCAGGAGAATTGCTTGAACCCGGGAGATGGAGACTGCAGTGAGCAGAGATCACGCCACTGCGCTCCAGCCTGTGTGACAGTGCAAGACTCCATCTCAAAAAAAAAAAAAAAAAAAAAAGGCAGTGTTTCTGGAGGCTAGTCCCCCAACTAGCAGCACCAGCATCACCTCAGAAGTCCTGAGAAATGTGATGTGAGGCCCCACTCCAGATGGCTGAATCAGAGACTCTGGGGGTGCTCCCCAGCAATTTGTATTTTTCTTAGTAAATTCTCCAGTGGCTAGGCCTGGTGGCTCATGCTTGTAATCCCAGCACTTTGAGAAGCTGAGGCAGGAGAAGCGCTTGAGCCCAGGAGTTCAAAACCAGCCTGAGCAACATAGCGAGACCTTGTCTGTAAAATTAAAAAAATTAAATTAGCCAGTCGTGATGGCGTGTACCTGTGGTCCCAGCCACTTAGGAGACTGATGTGGGAGGATCCCTTGAGCCCAGGAGCTCAAGGATGCAGAGAGCCAGGATTGTGCCATTGCACTCCAACATGGGCGACCCTGTCTCAAAAAAGCCCAAAACAACAACAACAAATTAGCTAGGCACGGTGGTGTGCATGGCTGTAGTCCCAGCTACTTGGGAGGCTGAGGCTGGAAGATCCCTTGAGTCCAGGCTGCAGAGGGCTATAATGGCCACTGCACTCCAGCCTGGACAACAGAGCAAGACCCTGTCTCCTAAAACAGAAAACAAATCCTCCAGGAACATCTGATGCATGCTGAAGATAAGGACTCTTTGAAAACATAAAGGCCAGTAAAACATACAGGCCAGTAAGTGTTCATAGCACATGTAAATATTATCGATAATTATGAGAAGATGGTTCAAGTTGAGAGTGAGACAGAGCCGAGTGGGTAAGAGAGTATCTGCCCAAGGCAGGGATGTCCTGGCAGAGGGGCAGGTCCTGGGCCTGGCAGCTTCAGATCCCAGGGTCCCCAGGGCTCACCACTCGCCCACCTGTGCCCCCAGATTCACCAAGAGAACATGGGACAGGCTCTCAGCCCCGACATGCTGGCCACTGACCTTGCCTATTACCTGGTCCGCAAAGGGGTAAGTGTGTAGCAGCCAGGGGGAGGGTGAGGAGATGGGGTGCCCCCCCCAGAGGGTGGGGGAGCTCAGGAATGGGTGCAAGCGGCCCAGCCTGGTGGCTCACCCCTGTAATCCCAGCACTTTGGGAAGCCGAGGTGGGCGGGTCACTTGAGGCCAGGAGTTCGAGACCAGCCTGGTCAACATGGTGAAACCCCGTCTCTTTTGATGTAAAAATACAACAATTAGCTGGGTGTGGTGGCACACTCCTGTAATCCCAGTTACTCGGGAGGCTGAGGCAGGAGAATTGATTGAACTGGGAGGTGGAGTTTGCGGTGAGGTGAGATCGCGCCACTGCACTCCAGCCTGGGCAACAGAGCGAGACTTTGTGTCAAAAAGAAAAAAAAAAAAAAAAGGAAGGGGGTGCAGGCAATGGAGGCAGATCAGGGCATGGAGAAACCTGCCTCAGCGCCATCTTCCTCCCTGGCACCCAGATGCCATTCCGCCAGGCCCACGAGGCCTCCGGGAAAGCTGTGTTCATGGCCGAGACCAAGGGGGTCGCCCTCAACCAGCTGTCACTGCAGGAGCTGCAGACCATCAGGTACGGCCCATCCCCTTCCCCATGCTGCCTCCTAGGAAGTGAGCCTGGGTGCCTGGAGCCCAGGGTGGCCTGGCGCCCTGGCCCACCTCTTCCTCTCTCCCCAGCCCCCTGTTCTCGGGCGACGTGATCTGCGTGTGGGACTACGGGCACAGTGTGGAGCAGTATGGTGCCCTGGGCGGCACTGCGCGCTCCAGCGTCGACTGGCAGATCCGCCAGGTGCGGGCGCTACTGCAGGCACAGCAGGCCTAGGTCCTCCCACACCTGCCCCCTAATAAAGTGGGCGCGAGAGGAGGCTGCTGTGTGTTTCCTGCCCCAGCCTGGCTCCCTCGTTGCTGGGCTTTCGGGGCTGGCCAGTGGGGACAGTCAGGGACTGGAGAGGCAGGGCAGGGTGGCCTGTAATCCCAGCACTTTGGAAGGGCAAGGTGCGAGGATGCTTGAGGCCAGGAGTTTGACACAGCCTGGGCAACACAGGGAGACCCCCATCTCTACTCAATAATAAAACAAATAGCCTGGCGTGGTGGCCCATGCATATAGTCCCAGCTACTTGTAAGGCTGAGGTGAGAGGACACTTGTGCCCAGGAGTGGAGGCTGCAGTGAGCTATGATCACGCCACTGCATTCCAGCCTGGATAACAGAGTGAGAACCTATCTCTAAAAATAAATAAATAAACGAAAAATAAATGGAAGCGGAGAAAACTGGGCAAGGGCAATGAGAGTCGTAGACGGGAAGGGAAGAGGGGGCTCCCATCATAGCCTCTGCTCTGTCCAGGCCCCATCCCCTTCAGACAGGGTATCACAGTGACCTCCTAGGCCAGGAGCGATGGCTCACGCCTGTAATCCTAGCATTTTGGGAGGCCTGGGCAACAGGAAGACTCCAACTACCATATTAAAAAAAACATGAATGAAAGCAAAAACAAAACAACTAGCCAAACTGGGCGCGGTGGCTCACACCTGTAATCCCAGCACTGTAGGAGGCTGAGGCTGGTGGATCACTTGAGACCAGGAGTTCAAGACCAGCCTGGCCAACATAGTGGAACCCCATCTCTAATAAAAATACAAAAATTAGCCGGGCGTGGTGGCGCATGCCCATAATCCCAGCTATTCGGGAGGCTGAGGCAGGAGAATTGCTTGAACCCAGGAGACAGGTTGCAGCAAGCCAAGACTGCATTACTGCACTCCAGCCTGGGCCACAGAGCAAGACTCTGTCTAAAAACAACAACAAAAACTAGCCAGTTGTGGTGGTATGTGCCTATAGTCCCAGCTACGTGGAAGGCTGAGGCGGGAGGATTGCTTGAGCCCAGCAGTGGGAGGCTGCAGTGAGCTGTGATGGCACCACTGTCCTCCAGTCTGGGAAACAGAGCAAGACCCTGTCCCTAAAAGACAAAAAATAAGAAATGTCTGAAACTTATATTTTATTAACAACAAAGACAAACAAGCTAAACTCAAGGAAGAATGAATAACCCCTACCACGTGATTTTGGGAGCAATGACAGATTTTGTTAAAGAACCAAGGCTGGGTGCAGTGGCTCACGCCTGTAATCCCAGCACTTTGGGAGGCCAAGGCGGGCAGATCACCTGAGGCCAGGAGTTCGAGACCAGCCTGGCCAATATGGTGAAACCCCATCTCTACTAAAAATACAAAAAAAAATTTCCTGGGCGTGGTGGTACATGCCTGTAATCCCAGCTACTTGGGAGGCTGAGGGAGAAGAATCACTTGAACCTGGGAGGTGGAGGTTGCAGTGAACTGAGATTGTGCCACTGCACTCCAGCCTGGGTGACAGAAGTAGACTGTGTCTCAAAAAAAAAAAAAGAACCAAAAGCCAGACCCCAGCAGTGAGGATGTGACACCAAATCCCCAAAAGGGTCAAAGCTCTGGGTCACAGATAAAATCTTCCAGAGCAGTTGTTCTCAGACTGTCATTCCTGGCCATCATAATTTTCACCAAGGAGCTTAGAAATGCAAACTTTCTGGCTGGGCACAGTGGCTTATGCCTGTAATCCCAGCACTTTGGGAGGCCAAGGCGGGCAGATCACCTGAGGTCAGGAGTTCAAGACCAACCTGGTCAACAGGGTGAAACCCCATCTCTACCAAAAATACAAAAATTAGCCAGGCGTGGTGGGGAATGCCTGTAATCCCAGCTACTCAGGAGGCTGAGGCAGGAGAATCACTTGAATCTAGGAGGGGGAGGTTGCAGTGAGCCGAGATCACGACACTGGCTCCAGCCTGGGTGACAGAGCAAGACTCTGTTTCAAAAAACAACAAAAATAACACAGTGACCTAAGAAAAAAAAGAAAAGAAAAAAGCGTGGCATGATGGTGTGCACCTGTAATCCCAGCTACTCAGGAGGCTGAGCCAGGATTGTTTGAGGCTAGGAGTTCAAGACCAACCTTGGCAACATTGTGAGACTCTGTCTCATTGGGGGAAAAAAAATGACCTCCTGCCTTGGGTGTCATTGGCAGGACTGGTGGGACCTGATGGGTATGGGTGGCCCCGTCAGTCACTGTCCATCTCCCTTCTTTCCCAGCGTCCCCTGGGCTCCCCCTGCCCTCATTCACCCCTTGCTGAACCTACCCTTTCCTGGACCATTCAGGCACCATCACGGGTATTGCTCAGGCTGAGGCCTGTACCAGCACCGCAAGGGTGACCTGTGACCTCCTAAGGGGCATGGTGTATGGAGTGGTAAGGTCAGCCATCCAGCTAGTATGTGATGCCAGCCACTGGGTTAGCTTCCTGCAAAACAGACACCTCCTCTACCCTAGAGAGTGATGTACAGATAAATTCCCCCACATTGACCTTGAGGGGAGGGTGACTGGGATGCAGGGCCTGGAGGGGACCTGCACCTTGCTGCAGTCAAGGGAGGCATGGCTACACCAAGCCTGCAGAGAGCCCTGAGGCCAGGCCAGGCACACGGCAAGTGTTCAGTAGAGAGCCCGTGGTGACACAGAGACCTCTTCTATGCAAATCTCACCAAACTCCTGATAAGAGATGTCTGAAATTAGAGGCCAAGTACGGTGGTTTATGCATGTAATCCCGACAGTTTGGGAGGCCAAGGTGGGAGGACTGCTTGAAGCCAGGAGTTCAGTTCAATACCAGCCTGGGCAACATAGCAAGATCCCAGCTACCACATTAAAAAAAAAAAAAAAAAAACAGGCCGGGTGCGGTGGCTCACGCCTGTAATCCCAGCACTTTAGGAGGCCAAGGCAGGTGGATCACAAGGTCAGGACTTCAAGACCAGCCTGGCCAAGATGGTAAAACCCCATCTCTACTAAAAATACAAAAAATTAGCCAGGCACTGCCTGTAGTCCCAGCTACTCGGGAGGCTGAGACGGGATACTGGCGTGAACCCGGGAGGCAGAGCTTGCAGTGAGCGGAGATCACGCCACTGCACTCCAGCCTGGGTGACAGAGCGAGACTCCGTCTCAAAAAAAAAAAAAAAAAAAAGCTGGATGCAGTGCCAGACACCTGTAATCCCAGCTACTCAGGAGGCTAAGGCAGGAGAATTGCTTGAACCCGGGAGGTGGAGGTTGCTGTGAGCTGAGATTGTGCCATTGCACTCCAGCCTGGGGAACAAGAGCGTGACTTCACCTCAAAAAAAAAAAATAAACCAAGCCAAGCCAGGCACAGTGGCTCACACCTGTAATCCCAGCACGGTGGGAGGCCGAGGCCAGTGGATCACTTGATGCCAGGAGTTCGAGACGAGCCTGGCCAACATATTGGAACCCCATCTCTAATAAAAATACAAAAATTAGCCGGGCGCAGTGGTGCACGCCTGTAGTCCCAGCCACTCAAGAGGCTGAGGCACGAGAATTGCGTGAACCTGGGAGGTGGAGGTTGCAGTCAGCTGAGACCATGCCACTGCACTCCAGCCTAGGTGATAGAGTGAGAGTCCTTCTCAAAAAAAAAAAAGAAAAGAAAAGAAAAAAACAGCCAAACTTTTTAAATAATTTCATTTTATTTTTAAAAAATCGAGATGGGCTCTATGTTTCCCAGGCTAGTCTCAAACTCCTGAGCTCAAGCCTTCCACCTGCCTCACCCTCCCAAAGTGCTGGGATTACAGGCATGAGCCACCACACCTGGCCTACCATGAATTTAATGGCTCAACATGTGTAATCTGATAATTCTGGACATCACAAGTCTGAAATTGGTTTTACTGAGAAGAAATCAAGTGTCAGCCAGGATCTAGAGGAGGATCCATTTCCTTGTTTTTTCCATTTTCTAGAGGCCACCTGCATTCCTTGGCTTGTAGTTCCTTCTTCCATCTGCAAGACCAGTGGTGTAGCATCTTCAATTCTCTCTCTGCTTCCATTGTCAATCTTTTTTTGTTTGTTTGTTTTTATTTTTATTTTTTGAGACATAGTCTCACTCTGTTGCCCAGGCTGGAGTACAATGGCGCAATCTCGGTTCACTGCAACCTCCTCTGCCTGGGTTCAAGTGATTCTCCTGCCTCAGCCTCCCAAGCAGCTGGGATTACAGGCACCTGCCACCAGGCCTGGTTAATTTTTTTTGTATTTTTAGTAGAGATGGGGTTTCGCCATGTTGGTCAGGCTGGTCTTGAACTCCTGACCTCAGGTGATCCAACCACTTCGGCCTCCCAAAGTGCTAGGATTATAGGTGTGAGACACCCCGCCCAGCCTAGTGCCATTACTTTTTTTTTTTTTTTTTTTTTTGAGACGGGGTCTCGCTCTGTCGCCCAGGCTGGAGTGCAGTGGCGTGATCTTGGCTCACTGCAAGCTCTGCCTCCCGGATTCATGCCATTCTCCTGCCTCAGCTTCCCGAGTAGCTGGGACTACAGGCGCCTGCTACCAGGCCTGGCTAATTTTTTTTTTGTATTTTTAGTAGAGACGGGGTTTCACCGTGTTAGGCAGGATGGTCTTGATGTCCTTACCTCGTGATCCACCCGCCTCAGCTTCCCAAAGTGCTGGGATTACAGGCATGAGCCTCCGCGCCCAGCTGTGCCATTACTTTCAATGGCAAAACCGGCAATTACTTTTGGACGGATACAATAGTAACATCAAGGATCACTGGTCATAGATCAGCATGACAGATATTATTACAATAATAGGCTGGCGCGGTGGCTCACACCTGTTATCCCAGCACTTTGGGAGGCCGAGGCAGGTGGATCACCTGAGGTCAGAAGTTCAAGACCAGCCTGACTAACATGGTGAAACCCCATCTCTACTAAAATGCTAAAAATTAGCTAGGTGTGGTGGTGCACGCCTCTAGTCCCAGCTACTTGGGAGGCTGAGGCAGCAGAATTGCTTGAACCCCAGAGGTGGAGGTTGCAGTGAACCAACATCATGCCATTGCACACCAGCCTGGGCAACAAAAGCAAAACTCTATCTCATTAAATAAATAAATAAAGCCTGAGCAACAAGAGTGAAACTCTATCTCAATAAATAAATAAATAAATAAAACAATAATCCTGGGCACAGAGGCTCACGCCTGTAATCCCAGCACTTTGGGAGGCTGAGGCGGGTGGATCACCTGAGGTCAGGAGTTTGAGACCAGCCTGGCCAACATGGTGAAACCCCATCTCTACTAAAAATACAAAACTTAGCTGGACATGGTGGCGGGCGCCTGTAATCTCAGCTACTCGGGAGGCTGAAGCAGAATTGCTTGATCCCAGGAGGCAGAAGTTGTAGTGAGCCGAGATTGCACCATTGCACTCCAGCCTGGGTGACAAGAGCAAGACTCTGTCTTTAAAAAATAAATAAAAAAATAGTGGCTGGGCGCGGTGGCTCATGCCTGTAATCCCAGCACTTTGGGAGGCCGAGGCAGGTGGATCACCTGAGGTCAGGAGTTCGAGACCAGCCTGGCCAACATGGTGAAACCCTATCTCTACTAAAAATACAAAAATTAGCCGGGTGTGGTGGCGGGAGCCTGTAGTCCCAGCTACTTGGGAAGCTGAGGCAGGAGACTTGCTTGAACCCGGGAGGCAGAGGTTGCAGTGAGCTGAGATCATGCCACTGCACTCCAGCCTGGGTGACAGAGGGAGACTCTGTCTAAAAATAAATGAATAAGTAAGTAAATAAATAAATAAATACATACATAAGAAAGAAGGAGGAGTGGGGGGGGGAGGAGGAGGAGGAGGAACGGGAGGAAACAGCCAGGCCGTGGCTCATGCCTGTAAAGGAGGAAGAGGAGGAGGAAGAAACAGCCAGGCACAGTGGCTCAAGCCTGTAAAGGAGGAGGAGGAAACAGCCAGGTGTGGTGGCTCATGCCTGTTAAAGGAGGAGGAGGAGGAGAAGGAAGAGGAGGAGGAGGAGGAGGAAGAAACAGCCAGGAGCAGTGGAGGAGCAGGAGATGGAGGAGGAGGAGGAAGAAGAGGAGGAGGAGAAAGAAGAGGAGGTGGAGGAGGAGGAGTGGAGGAGAGGAGAGGAGGAGAGGAGGAGGAGAGGAGGAGGAGGAGAGGAGGCGGAGAGGAGAGGAGGAGGAGAGGAGGAGGAGAGGAGGAGGAGGGGAGGAGGAGGAGAGGAGAGGAGGAGGGGAGGAGAAGGAGGGGAGGAGAAGGAGCGGAGGAGGAGGGGAGTAGAAGGAGTGGAGGAGAGGAGGCGGAGAGGAGAGGAGGAGAGGAGGCGGAGAGGAGAGGAGGAGGAGAGGAGGAGGAGAGGAGGAGGAGGGGAGGAGGAGGAGGGGAGGAGAAGGAGCGGAGGAGGAGGGGAGTAGAAGGAGGGGAGGAGGAGGGGAGGAGGAGGGGAGGAGGAGGAGGGGAGGAGGAGGAGAGAAGGAGAGGAGAAGGAGGGGAGGAGGAGGAGAGGAGGAGAGGGGGAGGAGGAGAGGAGGAGGAGGGGAGGAGGAGGAGAGGAGGAGGAGAAGGAGGTGGAGGAGGAGGAGAAGGAGGTGGAGGAGGAGGAGGTGGAGAAGGAGGTGGAAGAGGAGGAAAGGAAGAAGGGAGGAGGAGGAAAGGAGGGGGAGGAGGGAGGGGGAGAAGAGGAGGAGGGGGAGAAGGAGGAGAGGGAGGAGGAGAAGGAAACGGCGAGGCTTGGTGGCTTACACCTGTAGAGGAGGAGTAGGAGGAAGAAACAGCCAGGCTCCCTGGCTCAGGTCTGTAAAGGAGGAGGAGAATGAGGAGGAGGAGGAGAAGGAAGAAACAGCCAGGCCTGGTGGCTCTCACACCTGTAAAGGAAGAGGAAGAGGAGGAGGAGCAGGAGGAAACAGCCAGGCGTGGTGGCTCACGCCTGTAAAGGAGAAAGAGGAGGAAGAAACAGCCAGGCACAGTGGCTCAAGCCTGCAAAGGAGGAGGAGGAAACAGCCAGTTGCAGTGGCTCACGCCTGTAGAGGAGGAGGAGGAGACAGCCAGGCACAGTGGCTCATGCCTGTAAAGGAGGAGGAGGAGGAGCAGGAGGAAGAAGAAACAGCCAGGAAGGGTGGCTCATGCCGGTAAAGGAGGAGAAGGAAGAGGAGGAGGAGGAGGAAACAGCCAGGCGAGGTGGCTCACGACTGTAAAGGACGAGGAGGAGGAGGAAGAGGGAGAAACAGCCAGGTGTGGTGGCGCAGCCTGTAAAGGAGGAGGAGGAGGAAACAGCCAGGCGAGGTGGCTTACGCCTGTAAAGGAGGAGGAGGAGGAGGAGGAGGAGGAAAAAACAGCCAAGCGCAGTGGCTCATGCCTGTAAAGGAGGAGGAGGAGAAGGAAACTACATGGATTGGTGGCTCAGGCCTGTAAAGGAGGAGGGGAGGGGAGGGGGGAGGAGGAGAAGGAAGAGACGGAAACTGCCAGGCACGGTGGCTCATGCCTGTAATCCCAGCAATTTGGGGGGCAGCAGTAAGGAGGAAGGAAGGAGGAGGAAAAAGAATGAGGAGGAGGAAAGAGGGAGGAAGAAAAAGAAACAGCCAAGCGGGCTTGGTGGCTCATACCCATACTCCCAGCTACTCCAGAGGCTGAGGCAGAAGAAACGCTTGAACCTGGGAGGCGGAGGTTGCAGTTAGCTGAGATCGGGCTACTGCACTCCAGCCTGGGCGACAGAGTGAGACTCCATCTCAAAAAAAAAAAAAAGAGCCAGGTGCAGTGGCTCACGCCTGTAATCCATCTATTTGGGAGGCTGAGGCGGGAAGATTGCTAGAAACCCAGGCGTTTGAGACCAGCCTGACCAACATAGTGAGACCCTGTTTTTACAAAAATAAAAATTTAAAAAAAAATTAAAAATTAGCCAGGAATGGTGGCACAAACCAGTCATCCCAGCTACTCAGAAGGCTGAGGCAAGAGGATCACTTGAGCCCAGGCGGTCAAGGCTGCAGTGAGCTATGGTCAAACCACTGCACTTGAGCCTGGGCAATGGAGTAAGACTCTGTCTCAAAAAAATAGTAATAAAGTTTGAAATACAATAAGAATTACCGAAATGTGACACAAAGACAGCGAATGAACACATGCTGTTGGAAAAACGGCACCAATACGCTACCTCAACACAGGGTTGCCACAATCCTCTAGTATGTTAAAAAATGGGCCACGCATGGTGACTCACGCCTGTAACTCCAGCACTTTGGGAGGCTGAGATGGGAGGATTGCTTGATGCCAGGAGTTCGAAACCAGCCTGGTCAACATAGCGAGACCCCCCCCCATCTAAATTGTTTTAAATATTATTATTATTATCTTTTTTTTTTGAGACAGAGTCTTGTTCTGTCGCTCAGGCTGGAGTGCAGTGGCACAATCTCAGCTCACTGCAAGCTCCGCCTCCTGGGTTCACGCCATTCTCCTGCCTCAGCCTCCCGAGTAGCTGGGACTACAGGTGCCCGCCACCACGCCCGGCTAATTTTTTTGTATTTTTAGTATATATGGGGTTTCACCGTGTTAGCCAGGATGGTCTCGATCTCCTGACCTTGTGATCCGCCCACCTCAGTCTCCCAAAGTGCTGGGATTACAGGCTTGAGCCACTGCGCCCGGCCTATTTATATTTTTAAATTTAAAAAATGTTAAGGAATGCAATATCTCTGAAGCACAATAAAGTGAAGTAAAAAAAAAAAAATGAGGCCAGGCACAGTGGCTCACACCTGTCATCCCAGCACTCTGGGAGGCCAAGGTGGGTGGGTAGCCTGAGATCAGGAGTTCGAGACCAGCCTGGCCAAACATGGTGAAACCCCATTTCTACTAAAAATTCAAAAATTAGAAGGGCATGTTGGTGCATGCCTGTAGTCCCAGCTACTCTGGAGGGTGAGGCAGGAGGATCTGTTGAGCCCCAGAGTTTGAGGCTTCATTGAGAGTTCTCATCATGTCACTGTACTCCAGCATAGCTGACAGAGTGAGACCCTACCTAAGAAAAAACTTATAAAATGGTGTATTAAGCCTGGGCTCGGTGGCTCATGCCTCTAATCCCAGTACTTTGGGAGGCCAAGGCGGGCGGATCACGAGGTCAGGAGTTCAAGACCAGCCTTGCCAACATGGTGAAACACTGTCTCTACTAAAAATAGAAAAATTAGCCAGGCATGGTGGTGCACGCCTGTAATTGCCACAGCCATCTCAACCTTCAGGAACCACTACCCTGATCAGTCAGCAGCCACCAACATCGAGGCAAGACCCTCCACTAACAAAAATGTAATGACTTACTGAAAGAAAACTCAGATGATCATTAATATTTTAAGCATTATTTTTAAGTTAAGGTATATACTTTTTTTTCTTTCTTTCTTTCTTTTTTTTTTTTTTTGAGGCAGAGTCTTGCTCTGTTGCCCAGGCTGGAGTGCAGTGGCGCATTCTCAGCTCACTGCAAACTCCGCCTCCCGGGCTCAAGCAATTCTCCCGCCTCAGCCTCCTGAGTAGCTGAGATTACACGCATGTGCCACCAGGCCCAGGTAATTTTTGTATTTTTAGTAGAGATGGGGTTTCTCCATGTTGGCCAGGCTGGTCTCAAACTCCTGCCCTCAGGTAATCTGCCTGCCTTGGCCTCCCAAAGTGCTGGGATTACAGGCGTGGGCCACCGCACCCGGCCTGTACATTGTTTTTATAGACATAATTTTATCGCATACTTAAGAGACTACAGAGGCGGGTGGATCATTTGAGGTCAAGAGTTCGAGACCAGCCTGACCAACATGGTGAAACCCCATCTCTACTAAAATACAAAAATTAGCCAGGCAGAGTGGCATGTGCCTGTAATCCCAGCTACTCGGGAGGCTGAGGCAGGAGAATCACTTGAACCCAGAAGGTGGAGGTTGCAGTGAGCCAAGATCACGCCACTGCACTTCAGCCTGGGTGACACAGCAAGACCCCCTCTCAAAAAATAAAAAAGTTAATTAATTAATAAAAGACTACAGAAGAGTGTAAACATAACTTTTTATTTTTTAAAGGAGGGTCTCACTAAAAGAGGCAAGAATGCAGTGGCATGATCATAGCTCACTGTAACCTTAAACGCCTGGGCTCAAGTGATCCACCTCCCTCAGCATCATGAGTAGCTGAGACTTTAGGTGTGTGCTGCCACATCCGGCTAATCTTTTTATTTTTAATTTTTTAGAAAGTGATTCTTGCTGTTTCCCAGGCTGTTCAAGACCAGCCTAGGCAACACAGGGAGACACCCATCTCTTAAAAAAAAAAAAAAAAAAAAAGTTTTCATTATTCTGGCATGGTGGTGCACACCTGGGGGATCTTGGCTCACTGCAACTGCCACCTCCCAAGTTCAATTGATTCTCCTGCCTCAGCCTCTCGAGTAGCTGGGATTACAGACATGTGCCACCATGCCTGGCTAATTTTTTATATTTTTAGTAGAGATGGGGTTTCTCCATGTTGGTAAGGCTGGTCTCGAACTCCTGACCTCAGGTGAGTCACCCGCCTCAGCCTTCCAAAGTGCTGGGATTACAGGCATGCGCCATCATGCCTGGCTAAGTTTTTGTATTTTTAGTAGAGATGGGGTTTTCTCCATGTTGGTCAGGCTGGTCTCGGACTCCCAACCTCAGGTGATTCAGCCGTCTTGGCCTTCCAAAGTGTGAGATTACGGGCATGAGCCACCGCGCCTGGCTGCAATTTCTTTTTTTTAATTTATTTTTATTTATTTATTTTGAGATGGAGTCTTGCTCTCTCGCCCAGGCTGGAATGCAGTGGCGTGATCTCAGCTCACTGCAAGCTCCGCCTCCCGGGTTCACGCCATTCTCCTGCCTCAGCCTCCCAAGAAGCTGGGACTACAGGTGCCCACCACCACACCCGACTAATTTTTTGTATTTTTAGTAGAGACGGGGTTTCACCATATTAGCCAGGATGGTCTCGATCTTCTGACCTCGTGATCTGCCCACCTCGGCCTCCCAAAGTGCTGGGATTACAGGCCCGAGCCACCGTGCCCGGTCGCAATTTCTTAAAATAAGACAACATTGAAGTTTGCAGCATCAATTGACTTCCACCGTCACTGTAGGATGTGATGCTGTTTGATAGCATTTTACACACGGCAGAACTTTTTTCAAAATTAGAGTCAATCTTCTCAAACCCTGCTCCTACTTTATCAACTAGGTTTTTATGTAGTATTCTAAATCTTTTGCTGTTATTTCAGCAATATTCACAGTATCTTCACCAGAAGTACATCCCATTGGAAGAAACCAATTTTTTTGCTCAGTCATAAGAAGCAATTGCTCATTCATTCAAGTTTGCTCATGGGATTGAGCAATTCACCTCCAGCTAATTTTTTTTTTTTTTTTTTGAGATGGAGCCTTGCCCTGTTGCCCAGGCTAGAGTGCAGTGGCACAATCTCTGCTCACTGCAACCTCTGCCTCCCGGGTTCAAGCGATTCTTCTGCCTCAGCCTCCTGAGTAGCTGGGAGTACAGGCGCGTGCCACCACACCTGGCTAATTTTTGTATTTTCAGTAGAGACGAGGTTTCACTGTATTGGGCAGGCTGGTCTCAAACTCCTGACCTCGTGATCTGCCCGACTCAGCCTCCCAAAGTGCTGGGATTACAGGCTTGAGCCACCGCACCCGGCCACAAAATATATTTCTTTTCTTTGAGATGGAGTTTTGCTCTTTCGCCCAGGCTGCAGTGAAGTGGCACAATCTCGGCTCACTGCAACCTTTACCCCCAGGTTCAAGTGATGCTCCTGTCTCAGCCTCTTAAGTAGCTGGGATTACAGGTGTCCACCACCATGCCTGGCTAATTTTTGTATTTTTAGTAGAGATGGGGTTTCACCATGTTGTTCAGGCTGGTCTCGAACTCCTGACCTCAGGTGACCCACCCACCTCAGCCTCCCAAAGTGCTGGGATTACAGGCCTGAGCCACCGCACCCAGCCCCACCTTTTCTTCTACAGCTTCCTCACCCCTCTTTGCCTTCATAGAATTCAGGAGAGTTAGAACCTTGCTCTGGATTAGGCTTTGGCTTAAGGGAATGTTGTGACTGGTTTGATCTTCTATCCAGACCAAACTTTCTCTGTATCAGCAATAAGGCTGCTTTGCTTTCTTCTCATTCGTGTGTTCACAGGAGTAGCACTTTTAATTTCCTTCAAGAACTTTTCCTGCCAGGCACGGTGGCTCATGCCTGTAATCCTAGCACTTTGGGAGGCCAAGGCAGGCAGATCATCTAAGGTCAGGAGTTCAAGACCAGCCTGGCCAACATGGGGAAAACCCGTTTCTACTAAAAATACAAAACATTAGCCGGTTGTTGGCACGTGCCTATAATCCCAGCTACTTGAGAGGCTGAGGCAGGACAATCACTGGAACCCCGGGAGCAGTGGTTGCAGGGAGCCGAGATTGTGCCATTGCACTTCAGCCTGGGCCACAGAGCGAGACTCCGTCTCAAGAGAGAGAGAGAAAAAAATAACTTTTCCTTTGTGTTCACAACTTGGTTAATGGGTACAAGAGGCTTTGCTTTTGTTCTTTCTCAGTCTTCAACATGTCTGCCTCATGATGTTTAATCATTTCTAGCTTTTGACATTAAGTGAGACATGTAGGACCCTTCCTTTCACTTTAACACTTAGAGGCCATTGTAGGCTTGTTAATTGACCTAATTTCAATATTGTTCTGTCTCAGGAAATAGGGAGACTCAAGAGGGCAAGAAGGCATGAGACGGAGGCACAGTTGGTCAGAGAGGCAGTTAGAACACACACATTTGTTGATTAAATTCACCATCTTAAATGGGCATGGTGTATGATGCCCAAAACAACTGTAGTAGTAATATCAAAGACCACTGATCACAGATCACCACAGCAGATATAGTAATAATTAAAAATTTGGGCTGGGCATGGTGGCTCAAGCCTGTAATCCCAGCACTTTGGGAGACAGAGGCGAGTGGATCACGTGGTCAGGAGATCGAGACTATCCTCGCTAACATGGTGAAACCCCGTCTCTACTAAAAAATACAAAAAATTAGCCAGGCGTGGTGGCCGGCGCCTGTAGTCCCAGCTACTCAGGAGGCTGAGGCAGGAGAATGGCGTGAACCTGGGAGGCGGAGCTTGCAGTGAGCCGAGATCACGCCACCGCACTCCAGCCTGGGTGACAGAGCGAGACTCCGCCTCAAAATAAATAAATAAATAAATAAAATAAAAGTTTGAAATACTGCCAGAATTACTGAACTGTGACACAGAGGTATGAAGTGAGCATGTGCTGTTGGAAAAATGCCACTGACAGACTTACCCAACACAGGGTTGCCACAAACCTTAAATTTGTAAAAAATGCAGTTTCTGTGAAGCACAATAAATCAAAGTGGAGTATAACAAGGTGTGCACATATGTGCTATGTCTGATTTATACTAAGTGTTCAATAAATAATAGTTGCTATGATTAATACATAAGGGCCTAGTGGGTCAAGATAAAGCTGGTTTGAAATAATAATAACAATTAGGACTGACATGTTTTTGTTTTTGGGATGGAGTCTCACTCTGTTGCCCAGGCTGGAGTGCAGTGGCACGATCTTGGTTTATTGCAACCTCCACCTCCTAGGTTCAAGCAATTCTCCTCCCTCGGCCTCCTGAGTAGGTGGGATTACACCAGTGTACACCACTACACCTGGCTAATTTTTTTATTTTTAGTAGAGACGGGGCTTCACCATGGTGGCTAGGCTGGTCTCGAACTCCTGACCTCAGGTGATCCCACCGCCTCGTCCTCCCGAAGTGCCGGGATTACAGAAGTGAGCCACCGTGCCTGGCCAGGACTGCTATGTTTTCAGTGTTTTTTATGTGCAAAGTACTATATGTGTCTATCTGTTGTCTTTTGCTGTGTAAGGAGACATCCCAGGTTGTAAAACAACTGTCACAATTATTACCTCTGATAATTCAGGGGGTTGAATTAGCTAGGAGGTCTTGCTTATGGTTCCTCATATGTTTACAGTACTGGCTGAAATCCTGTCTCAAAAGGAAGTGAGTCATGAAGACCAGACCATGTTTTTATTTTTATTTTTTATTTTATTATTATTATTTTTTGAGATGGAGTCTTGCTGTGTCACCCAGGTTGGAGTGCAGTGGCCCGATCTCTGCTCACTGCAAGCTCCACCTCCCGGGTTCACGCCATTCTCCTGCCTCAGCCTCCCAAGCAGTTGGGACTACAGGTGCCCACCACCACACAGGGCTAATTTTTGGTATTTTTAGTAGACACGGGGTTTCACTGTGTTAGCCAGGATGGTCTCTGTCTCCTGACCTCGTGATCCTTTCACCTTGGCTTCCCAAAGTGCTGGGATTAGAGGCATATGCCACCAAACCCGGCCTTCATTTTTATTTTTATTGTTCGAGATGGAGTCTTGCTCTGTCACCCAGGCTGGAGTGCAGTGGTTTGATCCTGGTCACAGCAACCTCCGCCTCCTGGGTTCAAGCAACTCTCCCTCAGCCTCCCAAGCAGCTGGGATTACAGGCATGCACCACCATGTGGGATCATTTCAAAAGCTTCCTCAGTCACACGTCTTGTATTTAGACTGGGAAGACTCGAATGGCTGAGGGCTGGGACAGACAGGACATCTCACAGTATAACTGTGTGATCTCTCCATGTAATCCCTCCAGCATGGTGGTGTGGAGGCAGCTGGGCTTCTTATAGGCTGGCTTCATGCTCCAAAGGCCCATAGCCCCAGAGAGAGCCAGGTGGGAGCTGCATTACCTTTTCTGACGCAGCCTCAGCAGTCATGCAGTCTCTTTGACCACATTCTACCTCTTAGAAGTGAGTCAGGGCCAGACGTGGTGGCTCATGCCTATAATCCCAGCACTTTGGGAGGCTGAGGTGGGCAGATCACCTGAGTGAGGTCAGGAGTTCAAGAGCAGCCTGGCTAACATGGTGAAACCTCATCTCTACTAAAAATACAAAAATTAGCTGGGTGTGGTGGCACATGCCTGCAATCCTAGCTACTCGGGAGGCTGAGGTAGGAGAATCGCTTGAACCCGGGAGGCAGAGGCTGCAGTGAGCCAAGATCGCGCCATTGCACTCCAGCCTGGAAAACAGAGGGAGGCTCTGTCTCAAAAAAAAAAAACAGAATTAGAAGAAGTAAGTTGGCCAGGCACAGTAACTCTCACATATAATCCCAGCACTTTGGGAGGCTGAAATCGGAGAATCATTTGAGCCTAGGAGTTCGAAACCAGCCTGGGCAATGGTGGTGAAACTCCATCTTTACAAAAAAATACAAAAATCTACCGAGAGCAGTGACTCACACCTGTAATCCCAGCACTTTGGAAGGCCGAGGTGGGCGGGTCGCCTGAGGTCAGGAGTTTGAGACCAGCCTGGCCAACATGGTGAAACATCATCTCTACAAAAAAATACAAAAATTAGCTGGGCGTGGTGGCAGGCACCTGTAATTCCAGCTACTTGGGACCCTGAGACAGGAGAATTGCTTGAACCCAGGAGGCAGAGGTTGCAGGGAGCTCAGACCGCGCCATTGCCCTCCAGCCTGGGCAACAGGAGTGCTACTCCATCTCAAAAAAAAAAAAAAAAAAAATCAGCTGGGTGTGGTGGTGAGCACCTATGGTCCCAGCTACTCAGGAGGCTAAGGTGGGAGGATCGCCAGAGCCCAGGAGGTCAAGGCTGCAGTGAGCCGTGATTGCGCCACTGCACTCCAGCCTGGGATACACAGTGAGATCCTGTCTCAAAAGAAAAGGAAGTAAGTCAGGAAGGCTAGACCATGTTCAAGGTGGGGAGGAGTTAGACTCCACTCCATGAGGGGTGTCAGAGAATTTGCAGACATGGGCTGGGCATGGTGGCTCACACCTGTAATCCCAGCACTTTGTGAGGCCAAGGCAGGCAGATCACAAGGTCAGGAGTTCGTGACCCGCCTGAACAACACAGTGAAACCCCCATCTCTACTAAAAATACAAAAATTAGCTGGGCAGGGTGGCAGGCACCTGAAATCCCAGATATTCAGGAGGCTGAGGCAGGAAAATTGCTTGAAACTGGGAGGCGGAAGTTGTGATGAGCCAAGATCATGCCACTGCACTCTTGCACTCCAGCCTGGGTGACAGAGCGAGACTCTGTCTCAAAAATAAAATAAAGAAATAAAGTAATAATAATAATAAGTGTGTAGCTCCTCCCCTCGTCTCTTGGTCCTGCTCCCCTTCACCTTTGTCATGAGTAGAAGATCCCTGAGTCCTCCCCAGAAGAAGATGCTGCCTTTCTTCCTCTAGAGCCTGTGGAACTGTAAGCTGATTAAACCACCTTTTTTTTTTTTTTTTTTTTTTTTTTTTGAGACAGTCTTGCTCTGTCGCCCAGGCTGGAGTACAGTGGCAGAATCTCGGCTCACTGCAAGCTCCACCTCCTGGGTTCACACCTTTCTCCTGCCTCAGCCTCCCAAGTAGCTGGGACTACAGGCACCCACCACCACGCCTGGCTAATTTTTTGTATTTTTTAGTAGAGACAGGTTTTCACTGACAGGATGGTCTTGATCTCCTGACCTCGTGATCCTCCCACCTTGGCCTCCAAAAGTGCTGGGATTATAGGCGTGAGCCGCCACGCCCAGCCAAACCACCTTTCTTTATAAATTATCTAGTCTCAGGTATTTCTTTTTTCTTTTTTAGTCTCAGGTATTCCTTTTTTTTTTTTTTTAAGACAGAGTCTTGCTGTGTTGCCCAGGCTGGAGTGCAGTGGTGCAATCTCAGCTCACTGCAAACTCTGCCTCCTGGGTGAAGAGATTCTCCTGCCTCAGCCTCCCCAGTAGCTGGGATTACAGGTGTGCGCCACCACGCCCAGCTAATTTTTTTTGTATTTTTTAGTAGAGACGGGGTTTCACCATGTTGGCCAGGCTGGTCTTAAACGCCTGACCTCATGATCTGCCTGCCTCAGCCTCCCAAAGTGCTGGGATTACAGACATGAGCCACCATGCCCGGCCTTCAGGTATTTCTTTATAGAAGTGTGAGAATGGAGTAATACAGAAGTCCTAAATCAGTCTCACTGGGTTAAAATCAAGGTGTTGGTAGGGCTGCAGTCCTTTTTTTTTGAGTCAGAGTCTCGCTCTGTTGCCCAGCCTGGAGTGCACGATCTTGGCTCACTGCAACCTACCCCTCCTGGGTTCAAGCAATTCTCCTACCTCAGCCTCCCAAGTTGCTGGGATTACAGGCGCCTGCCACCACACCCAGCTAATTTTTTAAATTTTTAGTAGAGACAGTGTTTCACCATGTTGGCTAGGCTGATCTCAAACTCCTGACCTCAAGTAATCCGCCTGCCTTGGGCTCCCAAAGTGATGGGATTACCGGTGTGAGCCGTGGCACCCAGCTGGGCTGCAGTCCTTTCTGGAAGCTTCACAGGAGAATCTGTTTTCTTGCCTTTTCCAGCTTCTACAGTTACCTACATTCCTTGGCTCATGGCCCCTTCCTCCATCTTCAAAGGCAGGAATATTGCATCTCTCAGATCATTCTTCCCTTCCCTAGCCACACCTCCCTTGGGCTCTGACATCAGGTGAGAATGATTTTATGCTTTTAATGATCCATGTGATTATGTTGATACCACATAGAAAATCCAGGATAATCTTTTCTTCTTAAGGTCCATACCCTTAATTGTCATGGTGATCAGCGACTATCCAGGACCAGAGGTGCAGACAGTAAAAAGAATGTTTACTCGGCTCACTGCAACCTCCGCTTCCCGGGCTCAAGTGGTTCTCCTACCTCAGTCTCCTGAGTAGCTGGGATTACAGGCGCCTGCCACCATGCCCGGCTAATTTTTGTATTTTCAGTAGAGATGAGGTTTCACCATGTTGGCCAGGCTGGTCTTGAACTCTTGGACTCAAGTGATCCACCCGCCTTGGCCTCCCGAAATGATGGGATGACAGGCATGAGCCACCGCACCTGGCCTACCGGGTATCATTCGAACACCCAGCTAACTCCCTACTCTAAGTCACACCTGAGCCATTTTATCATGGGGGCTGTCAGAGGCACTGCTGTTTTTCACTGAAGCCCATACCCAATCCCTCGGCCTCGTGTGCTTTTCCCTCACCCACTTCAAAGGCCCGTGGCTTTGGGACGCCTCTCCACCTCATTAGTCATTCCCTCCCCTGCCCATCGCGTCGAAACACAATGCATTGTGGTTATTTATGTCCAGAGCTGGTTCCTCAACTAGGCTGTCAGCTAGCCAGTGCAGAGGGTGTGTGTTAGTCACATTTGTATCATCAGCCCCCGATGGGCCATGGCTACATACTTGTTGAGTGAATAACACAAGGGGCATCTTTAGCATTTCTTTGTGGGGCCCAATCTCCTCAGCGAAGGTACAGGGAATTCTCCACACTAACTAGGCCAGCTGGGTCTGGGTGGCATTTTATGACTTTTTTGTTGTCGTTATTTTGCGATGGAGTCTTGCTCTGTCACCCAGGCTGGAGTGCAGTGGCGTGATCTGCAACCTCCGCCTCCCAGATTCAGACGATGCTCCTGCCTCAGCCTCCTGAGTAGCTACGATTACAGGCACGAGCCATCAAGCTGGTTAATTTCTATTTTTTTGGTAAAGATGAGGTTTCACCATGTTGCCCATGCTGGTCTCAAACTGGGCTCAAGCGATCCACCTGCCTTCATCTTCCAAAGTGCTGGGATTACAGGTGTGGACCACCACACTCAGCAGAGTAAAAAATGTTTAACAGCTTTATTAATATAGGATTAATATGCTGTACAATATGCCATTTAAAGTATACAACTCAGTGTCTTCAGTATATTCACAGGGTTGTGCAACCACCACCACCATCTATAATAATTTTAGACAATTTCTGTTTCCCAAAGAGAAACTCCCTACTTATTAGCAATCACTTCCCATCCTTGCCCCCAACCTAGCCTTCTGTCTGTATCCATAGATTGGCCTCTTCTTGGACATTCTATATAAAGTGAATCATACCATATGTATTCTTTTTTTTTTTTTTCTAGAAGGAGTCTCATTCTGTCACCCAGGCTGGAGTGCAGTGGCGTGATCTCGGCTCACTGCAACCTCCGCCTCCTGGGTTCAAGCAATTTTCCTGCCTCAGTCTCCCGAGTAGCTGGGATTACAGGTGCCCCCCACCACACCCAGCTACTTTTTGTATTTTTAGTAGAGACGGGGTTTCACCATGTTGGCTAGGCTGGTCTCGAACTACTGACCTCATGATCTGCCTGCCTCAGTCTCCTAAAGTGCTGGGATTACAGGCGTGAGCCACCACGCCTGGCGATTTTTGTATTTTCGGTAGAGACAGGGTTTCCCCATGTTAGCCAGGCTGGTCTTGAACTCCTGATCTCAGATGATCCACCCACCTCAGCCACCCAAAGTGCTGGGATTACAGGCGTGAGCCACCTGGCCAGGCAATATATATTATTTTGTGTCTGGCTTCTTTCACTTATTAATAGCATCATGTTTTGGGAGGTTATCCATCTTGCAGCATTTATCTATCAGTCTGTCTATATATATTTTTTGCAACAAGGTCTCTCACTCTGTAGGCTGGAGTGCAGTGGTGTGATCATAGTTCCCTGCAGCCTCTACCTTCTGGCTCAAGCGATTCTCCTACCTCAGCCTCCCCAGTAGCTGGGACTAGAGGTGCTCACCACCACACCTGGCTAACTTTTCGTAGTTAGGGGGTCTAGCTATGTTGCCCAGGCTGCTCTGGAACTCCTTGTCTCAAGAAATCCTCCTGCCTCTGCTCCCCAAAGTGCTGAGATCAAGCCTGGCCTCCTTTTTATTTTTATATTTTTGAGACAGAGTCTTGCCCTGTCTTCCAGGCTGGAGTGCAGTGGCACGATCTTGGCTCACTGCAAGCTCTGCCTTCTGGGTTCACGCCATTCTCCTGCCTCAGCCTCCCTAGTAGCTGGGACTACAGGCGCCCACCACCACGCCCGGCTAATTTTTTTTGTATTTTTAGTAGAGACGGGGTTTCACCCTGTTAGCCAGGATGGTCTCGATCTCCTGACATCGTGATCTGCCCGCCTCGGCCTCCCAAAGTGCTGGGATTACAGGCGTGAGCCACCGTGCCCGGCCAGCCTCCTTTTTAAGTAGTTTTCCATTGCACAAATGTAGCACATTTTATTCATCCACTCATCAGTCTCTAGTTAATGCATCTGTTGTATATGTTCAGATTGGCTGGGGTTCAATACCCACTGGACAACTTCCTAGATGAGTGACTTTTGGTAAATCATAATCTCTCCAAGTCTGCCTCAGTTTCTTCAATTATAAAATGTCAATAATAATGCAATGTACCTCATAGAGAGTCATGGTTGTATTGCCACAGTAATTAATAAAGTGCCAGGAACTTTATAAGGATTATTTAACACCCTTATTATTTACAAAGTAGGCAACAGAGGCTATTGTGGTGGTTCACACCTGTAATCCCAGCACTTTGGGAGTTGGAGGTGGGAGGATCACTTGAGGCGAGGAGTTCAAGACCAGCCTGGGCAACACAGTGAGACCCCCATCTCTACAAAAAAATTAAAAAATTTTGTAGCTGACTCTTTGGACAATAAAGAATTTTATTTTAGAAAATTAGCCAGGTGGCTGGGTGCAGTGGCTCACGCCTGTAATCCCAACACTTTGGGAGGCTGATGAGGGTGGATCACAAGGTCAGGAGTTCAAGACCAGCTTGGCCAAGATGGTGAAACCCCGTCTCTACTAAAAAAATACAAAAATTAGCTGGGCATTATGGCGGGCACCTGTAATCCTAGCTACTGGGGAGGCTGAGGCAGGGAACTGCTTGAATCCAGGAGGCAGAGGTTGCAATGAGCCGAGATCACGACACTGCACTCCAGCCTGGGCAACAGAGTGAGACTGATCTCAAAAAAAAAAAAAAAGAAAAAGAAAAAGAAAAAAAGAAAATTAGCCAGGTGTAGCGGAGCGCACCTGTGGTCCCAGCTACTCTGGCAGGCTGGGGTGGGAGGATTGCTTGAGCCCAGGAGTTCAAGGCTGCAGTGAGCTCTGATTGCACCACTGCATTCCAGCCTGGGCGACAGAGCAAGACCCTGTCTCTTAAAAAATAAATAAATAAACTGCAATGTTTCTGGCAGCCCAGATGCCACCAGCCTCACTACTCTCTGAGAGGTGGGATTTTAACATGCAAAGGCCCACTAACCCGATCACGTCTCACAACTTCAGCTGATTAATACTTTGTTAAAACCTAGACCACGAAAACAGACAGAGCCCGGCGAGGTGGCTCACGCCTGTAATCCCAACACTTTGGGAGGCCGAAGCGGGTGGATCACGAGGTCAGGAGTTCAAGACTAGCCTGGCCAAGATGATGAAACCCCGTCTCTACTAAAAAATACACAAATTAGCTAGGCGTTATGGCGGGCGCCTGTAATCCCAGCTACTCGGGAGGCTGAGGCAGGGAATTGCTTGAACCTGGGAGGCAGAGATTGCAGTGAGCCGAGATCGTGCCACTGCACTCCAGCCTGGGTGACAGAGCGAGACTCTGTCTCAAAAAAGAAAAAAAGAGGCTGGGCACGGTGCCTCACGCCTGTAATCCCAGGACTTTGGGAGGCCGAGGCGGGCGGATCACGAGGTCAGGAGATTGAAACCATCCTGGCTAACACGGTGAAACCCCGTCTCTACTAAAAACACAAAAAATTAGCCGGGCTTGGTGGCAAGCGCCTGTAGTCCCAGCTACTTGGGAGGCTGAGGCAGAAGGAGAATCGCTTGAACCCAGGAGGCGGAGGTTGCAGTAAGCCGAGATCCAGCCTGGGCGACAGAGCGAGACTCCGTCTCAAAAAAAAAAAAAGGTTAAAGAAAAAAAGAAAAGAAAACACAAGATAATCCTGTCCGCAAACGCTTAGCAGTCTTAAATCGGCCTGGTGGAAGGATGCAGGGACACTCCCCCACCCTGCCCCCCGAAAAAGGGGAACGCGCAGCGCGAGGTTCCGGGTCCGCCAAGCTCCCGGCATGCAGCGCGGCGATCCCGGCGAGCACCTTGGCGCGCGGAGCTGGCACCTTGGCGCTGTTGGTGGCGGCGGAGACAGCTGTGAAGTGTGAGGTTCTTTGTCTGCTGGCAGCTAGGGGCGACGAGGCGGGACGTCATGGAAGTGTAAGTCTTCTCGGGCGCGTCCCTTTTCGCCCGAGGAGCCCAACGGTTTGACCGCTGAGAGCTGAGAGCCGAGAGCCGTGGGGACTGGGCGACCCTCGTACGGGAGTGAGGGCAGCGGGCCGGCCCTGTCCGGGAGGGCCGCGGGGTGGTGACGGGGACGAACGGGACTCTCGCTTTGCCCTTCCGAACCTTCGCTTCCCCTCCACGCCGTGTCTGGTGCGGGGCCGAGCACTTCCGTGTCCGGCTGCCTTTCAATGTGCCCCCTCCTTCTCTCATTCGTTTACCAGCGTTTCTGGGTCACAGTGCGGGGGTGGAGCCCAGTCTGGTATCCGACCCCGGACTTAGAAGGCTATAAAGGCCTGAGTCTGTCCGCCCTGAAAGTAGGTGGAGGAGAGACGAATCAGGGCCGGGTAGAGCTCTGCTTGCAGCTGTAGGCCCCTGGAGAGCCCTCGGAAGAGCTGCCCTCGGAATTTGATGGGAGCAGTAAACACTGTGAGGGAAGGGGCTGGTTTTGGGGTGGAGAAGGGAAGGACGTGAACCAGGACTGGGACCAGAGAAACAGCAGGGGGTGTGTGGGTGTGTGTGCAAGGCGAGGGTAAAAGATTTTCTGACAGTTTAACTCCACGTGGTCTTTTCCATGCTTGCTCGTTGCGCCTGGTGCAAATGGAAGATTTTGCATCTACTCTGAATGTGGGCTTTATACGGTTGATATTAATTTGTAGGTATTACTATCTTGTGTTCTCTTTGAACTGATTATTTGATACAGTTTCCTTTATGTTCTTTTGCCTCATGTTTAATGGTTATATGTACTATGGCATTTCACATTTTTACATTTTTAATTAATTGTTTTTTCTTAAGAAACAGGGTCTTGCTCTGTCCCCCAGGCGGGGTGTAATCATGGTTCACTGCAGCCTCACTTTCTGGACTCAAGCAATCCTGCTTCAGCCTCTTCAGTAGCTGGGACTACAGGCCCACGCCATCACTCACCGCTAATTTTTTAAAAAAAGTTTTGTAGATGCAGGGTCTCACTACAGCCCAGGCTGGTCTCCAGCTCCTGAGCTCAAGTGATCCTCCTGCTTTGTACTCCCAAAGTCCTGGGATTGCAGGCGTGAGCCACTTCACCTGGCCTCTTCCGATTTTTTTTTAAACACAATATGTCTGTGTAACTGAAATGAAAGGCTCATGAAACAATAATGTGTGGCGTACACTCTCATATTGTCTATTTTTTATTAATATGAATGGGGCCAACCGTGGTGGCTCACACCAGCAATCCCAGCACTTTGGGAAGCTTAGGCAGAAGGATCACTTGAACCTGGGAGGTGGAGACCAGCCTGGGCAACATAGGGAGACCCTGTCTCTGCAAAAAATTAAGAAGTTAGCTGGGTGTGGTGGTTCATGCCTGTAGTCTCAGCTACTTACGAGGCTGAGATGGGAGGATCACTTGATCCCAGGAGGCTGCAATGAGCTGAGATAGAGCCACTACACTCCTGCCAGAGTGACAGTGTAAGGCTCTGTCTTAAAAAAAAAAAAAAAAAAAAATTGAACCACTGAATTAATTTTGCAACCCACTGATGGGATTTCATCTGCAACCTAAAAAACTATTCATATAATTTACTCTAGTCCAAGCCATCATTACTAATTTTTCCCTCTTTACTAGAGCATTTCCTGTGAGCATACAACCCTGCTTTAGAGAATTCATCTTAGAAAATCCTCCGTCCCCACATACATGTCCCCCTCTTACTCCATTTCTGCTTCCCATCCCAACAAAACTTCTTGAAAGTGCTGATTAGCCCCTCATTCTCTCAGCCATTCTGTTGGGCTTTCATCCTCACTGGTCTACGGGAATGACTGTTAAGATTACCTGAACCAGCGGGGCGTGGTGGCTCATGCCTATAATCGCAGCACTTTAGGAGGCCGAAGTGGGCGAATCCCCTGAGGTCAGGAGTTTGAGACCAGCCTGGCCAACATGGCATAACCTCCTCTCTACTAAAAATACAAAAATTAACTGGGTGTAGTGGTGGGCGCCTGTAATCCCAGTAACTCAGGAGGCTGAGGCAGGAGAATCGCTTGAACTCGGGAGGCAGGGGTTGCAGTGAACCAAATTGTGCCACTGCACTCCAGCCTAGGTGACAGGGCAAGACTGTCTCAAAAAAAAAAAAAAAAAAAACCTGATCCCTCCATCTTGTCAAATTCAGAGGTTGATTTTCTGGCCTCAACTTTCTTGATCTCTCAGCAGTGGTTAATACAGAAACTCTAGAAACTTTCCTTTTCTTGTGATGTATGTTCCTTTGCGTATTTCCTCCTACATCAAGGACTACTTCAGTGTCCTTCCCTGGGTCCCGTTCCTCTCTTGCTTGATGTCTAAGTGTTGAGTGGTATCTTAGGGCTCAGTCCTGGGACCCTTTCTCTCCACACTCTGTCATTTCACCCATCTATGTGCTGATGGTTCTCAAAGGTATGTTTCTAACCTTCTTCTCATCATCTATCCAATTGCATAGACCAAAAATCTAGCCCTCTCTCTTCACTCCCTAAATCCAGTCCATCAGTGGTCCTGTTGTTTCCACCCTAGAATATATTTTGAATGCAGTTACTTTTCACCATCTCCAATGTTAGCTTTGTAGTCCATCACCTCTGGGCTGGATTAAGCAATAGCCTTTGAGTGTTCACTCTTCCCCAGCCTCCATTCTGTTCTCCACATGGCAACTGGAGTGATCTTAAGTAATGATTGGAACATGTCGCTCCTGGGTAAAACCCTTCATTGACTTTCCATTGTACTTAGAGAAAATCTCCATCTCTTACCAGGACCTGCAAGACCCTGTAAAACCTCACCTACTCCCCAGCCTTACCACTTGCCACTCTCCCAACCTCCCAGACACACACTTTCCACTGACAGGTATTTCCTTCTCCTCTAACCTTCTAAGCACTTCCTGAGGACCATTGCGTTGTGGTACCCTCTGTCTGGTATACTTTCCTCCTCGCCCTCGTCCTGTTCTCTTCTTTTTATTGTTCTTTTTTTAGTTCGCTTTTGAGATGGAGTCTTGCTCTGTCACCCAGGCTGTAGTACAGTGGCGCAATGTCAGCTCACTGCAACCTGTGCCTCCAGGGTTCAAGATTCTCCTGCCTCAGCCTACCAAGTAGCTGGGATTACAGGCGTGTGCCACCACGCCCAGCTAATTTATGTATTTTTAGTAGAGACGGGGTTTCCATGTTGGCCAGACTGGTCTTGAATTCCTGACCTCAGGTGATTTGCCTGCCTCAGCCTCCCAAAGTGCTGGGATTACAGGCGTGAGCCACCACACCTGGCCACCTGTTCTTGAAGGTTGTGTCCCTTTTCAAAGTTGCCTTTCGTCTTCAGTAAGTCTAACTAACATAAGTTCTTTTTGTCTTTCATAGTACCTTGATTTACTTTCCCTCAAATAATTACAAGTTGCAATAATAAATGTATGTTTACTTGTTTGGAGGGTGGGGACCAGTGTCTGTTCACCTAGTGCTTAGCATTGCATCTGGCACACAGTAGGCATTCAGCAAATACTTGTTCAATAAAGTAATATAACAATACTTTATTAGCTTCATAAATATAGTCATCTCTCAGCGTCTTTGGGGGATTGGTTCTGGGACCCCCTGCGTATACCAAAATTCACAGATGCTCAAGTCCCTGATATAAAACGGTGTAGTATTTGCATATAATCTATGCACATTCTCCCATATACTTTAAATCATCTCTAGATGACTTATTATGATACCATGACATGTAATACCGGTTTTTGTCCATGGTTCCTGGCTCATAACTACCATAGCCTTTATTACTTCCTAAATGACTAAAACAGTAAGCATAACTTTTGTTAAAGTATTTGTCCTTTGTCCAAGGTTCCTGAAGCGGCCTTGGGACAGCTTCAGAGCAGTAAAGGTGAAAGACAGTCTTTTGTTAGAATGTTGGGGCACTCTAAGCCTCAGAAGCAGGCCTCAGAAAACAGAAGCTCTGTCTGTCTCTTGCCCTCTAATCATCCCCTGCCTTTCTGTCTTAGAGCTGGTTGTAAAGAAATTCTCTGACCTATCTCGTCTGATTGTTTCAGAGGGGGTCCTGCCCCTTACCCAGTAGGAAGGAATACCACACACAGAGGCCAGGGAGAATCTGGATGGGCCTTGCTGGGTGTCTGCACTCAGTCTTAGTATTAGATCACACTCTCTGTCCAGTCAATTACTGTGAGGTTGGCCATGCTTCAATCATCTCTCTAATGAAATCTCTACAAAACGCCCAAGAGAACTTCTGGATAGTCTAACAGGTGGAAGTTTCTGGAGGGTGGTATGCCTGGGGAGGGCATAGAGCTCTGCGCCCCCTCTCTATCCCTCACCCTGTGCACCACTTCATCTGTATGCTTGGTAATATCCTTTAAATAAACCAGTAAACCTAAGTAGGTGTTTTGTGAGCCATTCTAGCAAATTAATGAAGCCTAAAGAGGAGGTCTTGGGAACTGCAGCTTGAAGCCCGCCGTTGAGAAGTTCTGGAGGCCCTGACTTGTGTGACTGCTGTCTGAAGTAGGGGCAGTCTTCTGGGACTGAGCCCTCAGCCTGTGGAATCTCACACTGTTTTCAGATAGTGTCTGAAATGAATTGGATTGGAGGGTACCCAGCTGGTGTTGGCTGCAGAATTGATTGCTTGTTTATTGGTAGAGAGAAAACCCCACACATCTGGTCACAGAAGTCTTCTGTATTGATTGTTGTCGAGTGAGAGCAGAGGAAAAACTGTTTGATTATCAACCAACTTGTCATATCTGATGCAATGTAAAGGCTGTGTAAATAGTAGTTGTACTGTGTTGTTTAGGGAATAATGACAAAAAGCAGTCTATCCATGTTCAGTGTAGAGGCAGCCATCCTAGGCCTAACTACATAGTACATGTCAGCAACAATGTAGCATTTTCTTAAAATTTTTTTTTGCAGCCCGGTGCTCATGCCTGTAATCCCAGCACTTTGGGAGGCTGAGTGGGGCGGATCATGAGGTCAGGAGATCGAGACCATCCTGGCTAACACAGTGAAACCCCTTCTCTACTAAAAATAGAAAAAATTAGCTGGGCGCTGTGGCGGGCGCCCGTAGTCCCAGCTACTATCGGGAGGCTGAGGCAGGAGAATGGCGTGAACCCGGGAGGTGGAGCTTGCAGTGAGCCAAGATCGCACCACTGCACTCCAGCCTGGGCGATAGAGCGAGACCCCGTCTCAAAAAAAAAGAAAAAAAGAAAAAGAAAAAAAAATGTTTTTTGCATGTTTTTCATTTGAGGTTGGTTGAATCTAAGGATGTGGAACCTGAGGCTAAGGAAAGCCGACTGTATAAATTCATTAGCTAGCATCCTAGTTGCTAGGCGTGTATATTTTCTGATTTTCCTAAGTGAAATGGTTTGAATCACGGGGTTTTGTTCTTGTAACAGCCTGTCCCCTTCTGCCAAGTAGTCAGTGACTTCCTGTAACCAATCAAGAATTTTGCAGCCAGTAATTCATGGGAAAATGAGGTTTCCTGAGATAGACATGTGATTTGGGAGTGGAAGGGCCCTGGAGTGGAAAGGTCTGGAAGCCTAACTTCTGGTCCTCACCTGGTCTTCAACAGGAGGCGTGACCTTTGGAAGTCTGCTCCTTAGGATCTTTAGCAGAACCTTGAGTTGCAGATACAGTTGACCCTTGAACAACACGAGCTTGAACTTCATGGATCTCCTTATACGCAGATTTTAAAAAATAAATGCAGTTGGCCCTCCATATCTGCAGGTTCCACATCTGCAACCAAACACAGAGAATGAAAATATAGTATTTGAGGGATGAGAATATACCCACGTATGTGGAGAGCTGGCTTCCTAGCTGCTGGTTCTGCAAGGCTCTCTGGGACACAAGCATGTTTGGATTTTAGTATATGTGGGGGTCCTGGGACCAATCTCCAGTGAATACCAGGGGATGCCTGTATATTGTACCTCTATCAGACACTCCCAGAACCTGAAGTGAGGAGGCACAATGAACAGCTCCCCTAAGTTTTTGCTACTTTTTAAAATTCTGATTGAGGAAATACCTACTAAGTAACTAATACATAATAATAATAATAATAATAATAATAATAATACCTGAAATTTCTTCTTTTTTTTTTGAGATGGAGTTTCGCTCTTGTCACCCAGGCTGGAGTGCAATGGCGCAATCTCGGCTGACTGCAACCTCCGCCTCCCGAGTTCAAGCAGTCCTCCTGCCTGAGCCTACTGGGTAGCTGCCTGGCTAATTTTTGTATTTTCAGTAGAGATGGGGTTTCATCATGTTGGCCAGGCTGGTCTTGAACTCCTGAGCTCAGGTGATTCTACCGCCTCGGCCTCCGAAAGTGCTGGGATTACAGGCATGAGCCACCGCGCTGGCCCAGAAATTTATTTAAGGGGAGGAATATTTATGCTTTATTTGATTGACAATTTAAAAATAAAAATTTCTTGACCATTACTTGGAAATGTATTTTCGTCAAGTAAAAGCATACAATTTTTTTTTTTTTTTGAGATGGAGTCTCACTCCATCACCTAGGCTAGAGTGCAGTGGTGCAATCTCAGCTCACTGCAATCTCCACTTCCTGGATTCGAGCGATTCTTCTGCCTCAGCCTCCTGACTAGCTGGGACTACAGGCATGCGCCACCATGCAAAATATTTATATAGCAAAATTAGGTATTTCTATCTATAAGGTATTTGCTATTTGGCTTTGTCTATAAATGATCATTTATATGGCTGGAAAAGTTTGTATCCACTCTTTTATTCTTGAACGTAATATATATAATTGGGAAAATAGACATTATCCTCTGTACCATCTTTTTGAGGTAGTGTCAGGATTTCTTTCCTTTTACAGCTGGAAATACTCATATTTAGAAAAGGTGGGTAATAGGTACTATAACAACTCAGTAACAGGACTGGAAAGAGGATACTCATTTGCTAGCTCCCAAGAGAATGCTACAAGTTAAGTTGTTCATTGACTTCAGAAGCTGCTCCGTTTGCTTGTACCAGAGTTTAGGTTTTCAGAGCATGACTTGATAGCATAGGTTGGGCATAGGAGAATTTGAGCAATTATTTTCGTCATTGCCTGTGTAAGAGTTGACTGTGTGGCAATTAATAGGCACTGTTTGGCCGGGCACAGTGGCTCACGCCTGTAATCCCAGCACTTTGGGAGGCCGAGGTGGGTGGATCACAAGGTCAGGAGATCAAGACCATCCTGGCTAACACAGTGAAACCCCATCTCTACTAAAAATACAAAAAATTAGCCGGGCGTGGTGGTGGGTGCCCGTAGTCCCAGCTACTTGGGAGGCTGAGGCAGGAGAATGGCATGAACCCGGGTGGCGGAGTTTGCGGTGAGCTGAGATCGCGCCACTGCACTCCAGCCTGGGCGACAGAGCAAGACTCCGTCTCAAAAAAAAAAAAAAAAAAAAAGGCACTGTTTGCATGTGCCATTTGTGTATGTGTTTGCTTCTAAGGAAAGTCCACCAAGAGATCATTTTGTTCTGTTTATTTGGAATTCAGTTTCCTCAAGTAGTTGTTTACATCCACTTGACTCACCATTTTAAGCAAATTTTACAAGAAGTGTCAAATGGAAAGTCAGCTTCAGTCATCTAATTCATTACTTAAGGAAATTAAGTAACTGCCTGCCTGTAGTATAGATTTAGACAGTTGTTTTGTTTTTTTTTTTACTCAAGCATTGCTATGTTAATTTGCCAGGCTGCTTTTAGAAAGCACCAGACACTGGGTGGCTTAGACAGCAAACACTTGTTTTCTGACAGTTCGGGAGACTGGATCAAGGTGTAGCAGGTTTGGTTTCTTTTGAGGCCTCTTGCCTGAGCTTGCAGATTGCAAACTTCTTGATATGTTCTCACATGGTCTCTCCTCTGTGTGCACAAGTCCCTGGACTTTTTTCTAGACAGTCTTTAAAATGCACTTAGAGTATTTGCTTTAAACACATGTCAATAAAATGAGTACTATTCTTTCTTTCTTTCTTTTTTTTTTTTTTTTTGAGATGGAGTCTCGCTCTGTCGCCCAGGCTGGAGTGCAGTAGCCCCATCTCGGCACACTGTAAGCTCCGCCTCCCGGGTTCACGCCATTCTCCTGCCTCAGCCTCCTGAGTAGCTGGGATTACAGGCGCCCGCCACTACGCCCGGCTAATTTTTTGTATTTTTAGTAGAGACGGGGTTTCACCGTGTTAGCCAGGATGGTCTTGATCTCCTGATCTCGTGATGCGCCCGACTTGGCCTCCCAAAGTGCCGGGATTACAGGTGTGAGCCACTGCGCCTGGCGTAAAATGAGTACTATTCTAAGTCCTACAGGAGAATATGAAGTTTTGTATAGGTAAGCAGTTTCTAGAAGTCTGATTGCATGTGAATATATTACATAATACTAAAGTGTTAGCTGTAGAGCAGACAGTTCCTGCTTTGTAGAGATCAACAGCTTCTACGTTTATAATTGCTAGATGTGTCTATTAAGTTCTAATAGCTCTAAAAAACTTTTAGATGCCTGGTATGGTGGCTCACGCCTGTAATCCCAGTACTTTGGGAGGGCAAAGCGGTCAGATCACCTGAGGTCAGGAGTTTGAGACCAGCCTGACCAACATGGAGAAACCCCGTCTCTACTAAAAATACAAAATTAGCCAGGTGTGGTGGCTCATGCCTGTAATACCAGCTACTTGGGAGGCTGAGGCAGGAGAATCGCTTGAACTCGGGAAGTGGAGGTTATGGTGAGCTGAGATCATGCCATTGCACTCCAGCCTGGGCAACAAGAGCGAAACTCTTGTCTCAAAAAAAAAAAAAGGTGGGGGGGCCGGGCGCAGTGGCTGAGGCCTGTAATCCCAGCACTTTGGGAGGCCGAGGCGGGCGGATCATAAGGTCAGGAGATCGAGACCATCCTGGCTAACATGGTGAAATCCCGTCTGTACTAAAAAAATGAGCCGGGCGTGGTGGCTGGCGCCTGTAGTCCCAGCTACTCCAGAGGCTGAGGCAGGAGAATGGCGTGAACCCGGGAGGCGGAGCTTGCAGTGAGCCGAGATCGCGCCACTGCACTCCAGCCTGGGTGACAGAGTGAGACTCCGTCTCAAAAAAAAAAAAAAAAAAAAAAAAAAAAAAAAAAAAGCCATGCCCAGTGGCTCACTCCTGTAATCCCAGCACTTTGGGAGGCCGAGGCGGGCGGATCACGAGGTCAGGAGATCGAGACCATCCTGGCTAACACAGTGAAACCCCGTCTCTACCAAAAATACAAAAAATTAGCCGGGCTGATGGCGGGTGCCTGTAGTCCCAGCTGCTTGGGAGGCTGAGGCAGGAGAATGGCATGAACCTGGGAGGCGGAGCTTGCAGCGAGCCGAGATCGCACCATTGCACTCCAGCCTGGGAGACAGAGCGAGACTCCTTCTCAAAAAAAAACTAAAAATAAAAAGAATGCCACAAATACCTGTATACGCGTTACCTAGAGTCACCACTTGTTAACATTTTGATTCTGATATTTGCTGCCTTTTCCTTTTTCTCTTTTCTTTTTTCTTTTCCCTCCCTCCTCCCTCCCTCCCTCCCTTCCTTCCTTCCTCCCTCCTTCCCTTCCTTCCTTCCTTTCTTTCTTCCTTTCTTGTTTTTGATTAGAGACACTTGAGCCCAGGCTGGATTCAAACTCCGGGACGAAGTGATCCTCCTGTCTCAGCCCGGAGTAGCTGGGATGACAGGTGTGAGCCACAATGCCTGGCATTCCCTTATTTCTTTTGCACAGGCATGAGCTTTCTCTCCATACACAGGTGCACACACTTACTTTACTGAACCATTAGAGAGTTGTAGATAGCAGATCATTTCACCCCTTCTTGAAAAAGGGCATTCTATGTAGCTACAGTCGCCTTATCACACTCAGGAAACTTAGCGATGATAATCTACTATTATTAAGATACAATGTAAACTCACATTTCTTCAGTTGCCATAATAGTGTTCTTTTTCCTCCCAATTCAGGATCCAGTGAAGAACTACACATTGCATTTAGTTGTCATGTTTCTTTAATTTCCTTTCCTCTGGAAGTTTCCTTAGCTTCTTTTTGTGACATTGGCACTGTGACAGATGACATTGATATTTGAAGAGTCTAAATTTAACCCAGTTGTTTTGAAGACTGTTCCTCAATTTGGAATTCTCTGATTATATCCTCATGGATAGATTTGAATTAAACATCTTGGGGCTGGATTGCTCTGAGGGATGTGTCTTTCTCATGCGTCACATCATTGGTGCTGTGAAATTGGATAACTTGATTAAGTTGATGTCTGTCTGGTTTCACCATATCCTGTTGCCAACAACCTGTCGTTTAGTGGTGGTTACAGTAACTTCTCAAAGATAAAAACTGCCTTTAAAAAAATTCCCCAATACATACAGCTCGTTTAGGACTTCATAAAAGGTAGATAAAGTACCTCTTGACATTTTATTAAATAAGGAAAGGCCTAGCATACATTGATTGGCATTTATTCTGTGAATATTTAGCTGGGTTTTAAAAAAATTTATCTTCCTGATAAAATCAATGAATAAATCAGCTTCTGTCAGCCAGAGTCTGTTACACAGAGTACCTGTGTAAACATCAATTGGTTCTCTTGATCCCAAAACACAGATTCATTAAAACTTATGTGAAAGAGGGTTTTCCTCCTTTATATTCGTTCTAGAAGAGGCAGAGGGTGTTCTTTGGATTCTTGCATTACACTATTGACTTGTTTAGTGGGGTAGTAACTTGGAATGGCCAAGGACAAATTTCCCACGACGTGGAATATTCTGAATGACAGAGAAGGGGCCATTATTTGGAAATAAAGTTGTAACAGTGCACCTGCGATGGATCCATTGGCCCTGAAGAGAAAAAACATTCATATTTTTTCTCGAGTCAAGTATTCCAGGAAGGGATGTTTTAATGCCTCATATTTTGGAGAGCACAGGGAGTTATAACTCAATTTCAAGCAAAGATAGGAGGAAGCCAGTGGGCAGATTTCCTGATTAAGCAGGCAAAGATGACATGTGGTTTGATTTGTCATTTTCAATTTTAAATGAACTCTGTCACATGCACTAATTATGCATTGTCCTTCCTGTGTTAGATTCCTTTCAAATATGATACTCTTTGTGACTTCAGTGTGTTTGTGGTCATTTGGGCAAAGCAGCACTTTTGTGAAATCGTAGCTTGAATCACTGGTAGCATTTGGTAAGCTTCACAGAGCTGATTTGATTATAGTGCTGACATCACTGTGCTGATGACCTAAGGCCGAGGTCTATCTCTTTGTGAACCACTGTTAGTTTTGCTTTATTTATTGACTCGGAAGTCACCTATCTGGCCCATGCTTTTGAAGTCTTGGGTCATCATTTGGATCATCTCGCCACACTCCTGGTTTAAGAACATACAGAGGTCTCTGTTGCACATTACAAATCAAGTGCAGACCCCTCTACCTGATTTTTAAGGATTCTGCATGACCAGTTTCCATTCATCCAGTTCAGTCTCATTTCCCACAGTTCCATAGTTACCTTCCACTTTATTTAGACTTCTTACTGTGTGACCTTGAGCAAGTTACTTAATTTCTGAGTCTTGTGCTTTATCTCTGCAGAGTAGGAATCATACGAATAGCTCCTACATCACAGGGTTTTCAGTGAGAATTAACTGGGATAATATCTTTTACAAATAATAGCCTTCCATTATGGAGATGTTAATACAAGTACCAAGAACTATTCTAAACTTTTAAAATTTGTTGTCTCATTTTATCATAACAGTTTGATGAGGTAGGAGTTGCTGGTGGTAGTGGTAGTTGCCCAGATAGTAGTAGTGATAATGTTGGTGCTTATTGAGCACTTACTATGTTCCAAGTACTTTACATGTTTCCAGTGAACCCTGTGAACAGTCTTACAAGGTTGATACTATAGTTGCCGTTTCATAGATAGGAAATGTAAGCATAATGAGATTAAGTAACTTGCCTAGATTCACATGGCCAAAGAATTCAGGAGCTGGATTTAGAATCCAGGCCATACTTTTAGATACTAGTTTCATCCCATTTTTATTTTAGAAGGAAAACTTAAGGAGTAATTAACTTAACTAAAATTCTCACAGCACATAAGTGGCAGAGCTAGAACATGAACCCAAATCTGATTTCAAAACTATGTTCTTTGTCATACTCCACTGCCTCCAGACTGCTGAAAACAATGCTTTCTGATATGCTATTGTAGAGTGGATCGATTGTGATTTAATATATGTCACATCGTTGTGTTTCTTCACTCAGGAAAGATGGCATATTGCCTGGATTAACTGTTACACAGGGAACCAGGCTTTTGGCCACTGCTTGCCACCCTGACTGTACCTGTTGAGTTGACGTAGGTGGTGAACACCCTGGGAGCATGGCAGATATTTGGCAGGATACTTGCCCATGGCTGGAATTCCCAGTGGTGACATTGGTGTTAAGTGGGCCATTTCTGTTGATTCAGCAGGAGGACGTGGCAGCCCAAGATGTCAATAGCTGATGGGAGGCAGATAGTAATGGGGAGAGGACATGGCTGTGGGATGGGACAGCACTTTGTTCCCAAGTCTACTCTGAAATTGCCCACAGCTAGCTAAACCATGTTGGACTTAGGACATTTCTCAGTTTCAATTTTAGGTTGTAGTCCCTAAATTCAAAAAGTGGACTACTGTATCTTGACAGGAATTCTTTTACAGAATTTGATACCCAGAAAGGGGTGTGAGCCCAGACTGATGATAGCTTACTTTTCTTTTTCAGGAAGGATGCCAATTCTGCGCTTCTCAGTAACTACGAGGTAAATTGGATTGTTACATTTTCCTCTCTGATAGTTTGCCCTTCGCTCCTGAGATTGTTAAATTGATTTTGGTTAGAAATGACTGAATTCAGGCTGGGTGCAGTGGTTCACGCCTGTAATCCCAGCACTTTGGGAGGCTGAGGCTGGATCACTTGAGGTCAGGAGTTCAAAACTAGCCTGGCCAACATGGTGAAACCCAGTCTCTACTAAAAAATACAAAAATTAGCTGGGTGTGGTGGCACATGCCTGTAGTCCCAGCTACTTCGGATCCCAGCTGAGGCAGGAGGGTCACTTGAACCCAGGAGGCGGAGGTTGCAGTGAACTAAGATGTGCCACTGCACTCCAGCCTGGGCAATAGACCAAGGCTCTGTCTCAAAAAAAAAAAAAAGAAAGAAAGAAAGAAAAAGAAAAAAGAAATGACTGAATTTATTTGGATTTTCCACTTTAAAATAAGACATGGCAACATCTGGTGGACCTTGGAATAGTGTAAGCTTGACACGTTATACATAGTACTTCAGGAAAGCTGGGAAGACTCTATTTTAGAGGGGGCAACCTTCTCTAAATCTCAACGATTCCAAATCATCATTTGGGATGTAGTCATAGGATAGAAGCATCTATTTTAAGGCTGTTTCTGTCTGCAGAATTTCCCATTAAAATTTTTATGATTTTTCCTAATTATCACCTTTGATATATTTATATATTTATAATGCTTTTATACATTGCAAATAGTCTTATGGGTATTAACATCCTTATTTTGAAAGTGAGTTTAAGCCGAGCACAGTGGCTCATGCCCATAATCCCAGCACTTTGGAAGGCCAAGGCCAGCGGATCACGAGGTCAGGAGATTGAGACCATCCTGGCCAACATGGTGAAACCCCATCCCTACTTAAAAAATAAAAAAAGAGAGTGAGTTTAGTTGACTCACCTTTCTGAATAGTAGAAATTAAGAAATGTAGAATTTTTTGGGCTTAGGGTGGGATTGCTGGAGAAAGGAAAAGAAGGAAAAAGGTTGGTAAGAGAGGAGATATTCCAGCATTTTTGCCTCCTATTTGGCACTAGCAAAACCATCTGATAGGCTCACTCCAGGTGTAGAAAGAACCATTTATACCTTGACTGTGAATTTTCCATGTGCTAGAGTCTAAACTCAGAAAGACTCAGGAGGTCTAGAAGGTAGTAGGTTAAGTGCAGTGTCTCACGCCTGTAATCTCAGCACTTGGGAAGGCCAAGGAGAGAAGATTGCTTGAGGCTATGAGTTAGAGCTCAGCCTGGGAAACCTAGCAAGACCCCCAGCTCTTAAAAAAATAAATTAGCGGCCGGGCGCGGTGTCTCACGCCTGTAATCCCAGTACTTTGGGAGGCCGAGGCGGGCGGATCACGAGGTCAGGAGATCAAGAACATCCTGGCTAACACGGTGAAACCCCGTCTCTACTAAAAATACAAAAAATTAGCCGGGCAAGGTGGCGGGCGCCTGTAATCCCAGCTGCTCGGGAGGCTCAGGCAGGAGAATGGCGTGAACCCGGGGGGTGGAGCCTGCAGTGAGCCAAGATTGTGCCACTGCACTCCAGCCTGGGCGACAGCGAGACTCCGTCTCAAAAAAAATAAAAATAAATAAATTAGCTGGACATGGTAGCAAACACCTACTATGGTCCTAGCTACTTGGAAGGCAGAGGGGAGGTTCGCTTGAGCCCAGGAGTTTGAGGTTACAGTGATGACCACTGTACTCCAGTCTGGGAGACAGCTTTTGAGACCGTGTCCCCAAAAAAAAGCTCCCAGAGTGTAAGACAGCAAAAAGAAAGAAAGAAACCTACCCCCTTGTGGTGCTCCCCTCCCCCGCCCCACAAAAAAGAAGGTAGTAGAATAAACAGAGTTGGCCATATTCTTTCCTCTCTAAAGGCTCAGTCTTAAGTGGTTGCAGCTTAGAACAGGAAGGAAATGGTTGAATGGTTTTTGGCCAAGCCTTTGGCTTTTAGGAGCCTCCTTGTCCAGTTTGGACTTTGCTAGGTGTTTGGGTGTTTTATCCATTGGGGAAACATTGCATTCATTGATCTCATGCCACTATTTCTGAAAGGACCAGCAGATGAGAGGGGTCGTATTGTATCTGGTGATGGTGTGTGAGCCTGCATTTTCTTCACTTCTGTGGTAGAATCTCTAAAACAGGAATGAGACTAAGATTCCCCCCTGCCCCCAGCACTAATACATGTATGTTTTATCCTTGTGGGAAAGTTTGCTTCTAAAGATCCATAGCATTTTTTCCTTTCTTTTTTGGGGGGTAAACTCTGTCTTATCACTTGCCTCAAAATTTTTCTTTTCCAGAAAGAAATTATTATATTAGATTTTTATACTAGAGAAGCAGGATTCTTTTTTTTTTTTTTTTTTTTTTTTTTCAGATGGAGTCTCGCTCTGTCACCCAGGCTGGAGTACAGTGGCACCATCCAGGCTCACTGCAACCTCTGCCTCCCGGATTCAAGTGATTCTCCTGCCTCAGCCTCCCGAGTAGCTGGGACTACAGGTGCCGCCACCATGTCCAGCTAATTTTTTGTATTTTTAGTAGAGATGGGGTTTCACCGTGTTAGCCAGGATGGTCTTGATCTCCTGACCTCATGAACCGCCCACCTCACCCTCCCTAAGTGCTGGGATTACAGGCGTGAGCCATCATGCCTGGACCCAGAATTCTTTTTTAACAAAATATTTGCTTTAAGAAAATCTGCTTTCAAATAGTATATTTTTGAGATCAGATTAGTGATGTACATATTGATAGGAAATATTTGAAATATTTTAAGTAAATTAATGAATTTGAATTATTTGGCTTATATAAAAGAACATTTTTTAAAAATGTAATATGCCTCTGGGACTCATATTTGCTCAAATCCAAGAGTTGGAAGCTGGGTGATGGGCGGGTGAAAGGAAGTACTATACTTTCCTGTTTATCCTTCAAAACCACTGACCTTGGATAGATATATTTCTCAAATTTATTCATAAACGTCTTTTTTGTATCTCCTCCTAGGTATTTCAGTTACTAACTGATCTGAAAGAGCAGCGTAAAGAAAGTGGAAAGAATAAACACAGCTCTGGGCAACAGAACTTGAACACTATCACCTATGAAGTAAGGCTGGGCTTCTGCCAGGCCTACCTAAAGTACCATTGAGGGAGGGGGGTTTATTCTCCCAATGACTGGCAGCTGAAATTAAGATTGCTTTTTATATGATCTGAATGTTTTATTCTAACCTGATTTTTGTTTGTTTGTTTGTTTTTTGACACAGAGTCTCGCTCTGTCGCCCAGGCTGGAATGCAGTGGTGTGATCTTCGCTCACTGCAAGCTCCACCTCCCAGGTTCATGCCATTCTTCTGCCTCAGCCTCCCGAGTAGCTGGGACTGCAGGCGCCCTCCACCACGGCCAGCTGATTTTTTGTATTTTTAGTAGAGACAGGGTTTCACCATGTTAGCCAGGATGGTCTCGATCTCCTGACCTCGTGATCCGTCCGCCTAGACTTCCCAAAGTGCTGGGATTACAGGCATGAGCCACCGCGCCCAGCCTACTCTAACCTAATTTTTATTCTGTTTATAGAAGTGAGAGGAGTTTGGTCAAGTTTAGAGTTTAGCCAGCTACAAAGTTAGAAGGAATAGTGTAAAAGATTGCCCTCATTTCTCCTTGAAAGGGGATCACAGCTCACTGCAGCCTCAACCTCCTAGGCTCAGGTGATGCTCCCAGCTTAGCTTCCCAAGTAGCTGGGACTATGGGCATCCACTGCCACGCCTGGCTATTTTTTGTTGTTGTTGTCCAGGCTGGTCTCCAACTCCTGGGCTTAAGGGATCTTCCCACTGCAGCGTCCCAAAGTGCTGGGAACTTACACGCTTAAGGCTATTATTTTTCAAGTTTGAGATTCCTTCCAAAATATGTAATTATAATTCCTCCGAAATTTTATCTATATTCTTCCTCAAAAGCCACAAAATCTGTGTAATCATGAGAAAGCATCACATCATTGCAAATCAAAGAAAAAAAAGAAAAATCTTTTTATTTTGAAATCATTTTTCTTTTTTTTTTTTTGAGACGGATTCTCGCTCCTGTTGCCTAGGCTGGAGTGCCATGGCGCAACCTCGGCTCACCTCTGGCTCCCGGGTTCAAGCGATTCTCCTGCCTCAGCCTCCCGAGTAGCTGGGATTACAGGCATGCACCACCTTGCCCGGCTAATTTTGTATTTTTAGTAGAGACAGGGTTTCTCCATGTTGGTCAGGCGGGTATCAAACTCCCGACCTCATGTGATCCGCCCACCTCTGGCTCCCAAAGTGCTGGGATTACAGGCGTGAGCCACCGTGCCCAGCCATTTTTCTCTTACATAAAAGTTGTAGAGACAGTGCTGGGAGTTCTCATGTACCCTTCCCATAGTTTTCTCTGATGTTAATATCTTACATAACCATGGTACAGTGATCAAAACCAAGAAATTAACATTGGTACATACTATTAAGCTAAACTTAAATTTTATTTGAATGCCCTGTTTTCCCATTGCTGTCTTCTGGGTTCCAGGATTCAGTTCAGGATACCATTTTGTATTTAGTTAACATGTCCCCATAATGTCATTCAATCTATATCCTTACTCTTCCTTTGTCTTCCATGACCTTGACACTTCCAAAGTCTCGTCAAGTATTTTGTAGAATGTCTGTTGATTTGTGATTGCCTGATGTTTTATTATGATTACACAAAACCTATGGCTTTTGAGGAAGAGTACCACAGAGGTAATCTCCCCTTCTCGTGTCCTGATTTCTGGGGGTACATGATATTGATGTTTCTTATGGGTGATGTTGTTAACTTTGGTCATTTCGTTAAGATGGTATCTGCCTGGTTTCTCCACTGTAAATCTACTGTTTCTTCATTTCCACATTATGTTAGAAAGGATTTGGCTGGGCGTGGTGGCTCACACTTGTAATCCCAGCACTTTGGGAGGCCGAGGCAGGCGGATCACAAGGTCAGGAGATCGAGACCACGGTGAAACCCCATCTCTACTAAAAAGAAAAAATACAAAAAATTAGCCGGGCGTAGTGGCGGGCGCCTGTAGTCCCAGCTACTCAGAGAGGCTGAGGCAGGAGAATGGCGTGAACCTGGGAGGTGGAGCTTGCAGTGAGCCGAGATTGCGCCACTGCACTCCAGCCTGGGCGACAGAGCAAGACTCTGTCTCAAATAAATAAATAAATAAATAAATAAGATGAAAGGACTTACCAAGTTTAGCCCATATTCAAGGGGAAGCGGGGCGGGGGGATTAAGCTTCACCTCTTGAAGGGAGGGATATCGAAGAATTTGTGGTTGTATGTTAAAACCACCACAGTAATTAAAAAATATTTTGTGGGAGATGCTTTGCGGCTAGGAAAACAGCCTACCCTTTGCTTAAGCTTTTAACCATCAATTTTAGCATTTATTGGTGGGTCTTTCCTGCAGTAGTTATGACTATGGTACAATTGCCTAAGAGTGATTTAAAAATTTTTCTCATTCTTGGCCGGGTGCGGTGTCTCATGCCTATAATCCCAGCACTTTCGGAGGCCGAGGCGGGTGGATCACGAGGTCAGGAGATCGAGACCATCCTGGCTAACACGGTGAAACCTCGTCTCTACTAAAAATACAAAAAGAAATTAGCCGGGCGTGGTGGCAGGCGCCTGTAGTCCCAGCTACTTGGGAGGCTGAAGCAGGAGAATGGTGTGAACCCAGGAGGCGGAGCTTGCAGTGAGCCGAGATCGTGCCGCTGCACTCCAGCCTGCAGTGAGCCGAGATCGTGCCGCTGCACTCCAGCCTGGGTGACAGTGAGACTCCGTCTCAAAAAAAAAAAAAAAAAGAAAAAGTTGTCTCTTCTTACCCGTTTATCTATTCAGTCGTATATATCCATGTAGACTCATGGCAATTTATTTTATTCTTTGGGTTCCCCCTCTTTAAAAAAATTGTTCAAAATATAACACAATTGTCAGATTGAGGGTTTTTTTTTTTTGAGATCAGAAAAGTTTTCTCCTAAAATTTCATTAGTTATTCTTCCTCTTCTAGCTACTGGTTTTCTCTTTCAGAAATTCCAATTACACGAAGATTGGTTCTCCTGAATGCCTTTTTGTTTTATACAGGATTTTTTTTCTTTTTTGTTTTCTTTTTTTTTTTTTTTTTTGAGACAGAGTCTCACTCTGTCACCCAGGCTGGAGTGCCATGGTGTGATCTCGGCTCACTGCAACCTCTGCCTCCCAGGTTCAAGTGTTTCTCCTGCCTCAGCCTCCCTAGTAGCTGGGATTACAGGCGTGCACCTCCACACCCAGCTAATTTTTTGTATTTTTGGTAGAGATGGGGTTTCACCATGGTGGCCAGGCTGGTCTCGAACTCCTGACCTCAGGTGATTTGGCCACCTCGGCCTCCCAAAGTGCTGGGATTACAGGTGTGAGCCACCGTGCCCAGCCTCTACAGGATTTTTACAAACAAAATTTTAGAATTTTAATTACAGTCATTGCCTTTGTTTTTTCTCATTCAGGGTTCTTTGTCTTATGCTTGGCTTTTTTCTTTTTTTTTTTTTTTGCCAGACGTTAAAATACATATCAAAAACACCATGCAGGCACCAGAGTCCTGAAATTGTCAGAGAATTTCTCACAGCATTGAAAAGCCACAAGTTGACCAAGTAAGTAAATCTCTTAAGTAGGAAGAGCGTGACACATGGTGAAATGATAGTTGCTACATTCGTAGCAACCGTGTATTGATATTCGGCTGGGTTTGGATTTAAAGAAGGATTATAGTATTGGAGATGAAACAACTGAAAGTTAGACATAGGGACTAGAGTAAGGAACAAATCTTTTTTTTTTTTTTTTTATAAATGAAGAAAGTTCATTTATCCTAGTGATACTGTATTACTCTGCCTGCTTATTCTGCAAAATTAGCAGAGATTAATTTACATTCTCAAAAAAGACGGGTGAGGGGAAATGGAAATGCTTCATGGAAAAGAAGGCAAATTTAGGTCATAGGTAGAGATCTCAATCAAATGGGCCAAAATACAGTTTATTTATATCTGCTAACTCCCAACTGCTAGCATCTGACCACAGCATAACAAGCTTGGAATCGGGGAACCTGGGCTGTAGTCCAGTTTCTGCCCCTTATAGCACCATGACCTTGGAAAAGGTATTTGACCTCTCTGAGTTTCATTATCCTTACCACTGAATAAGGATCATCTGCTAAACTCACAAGGCTGGGGAAAGGGTGAAGGGTGGTGTCTTCATGGAAACAATATGTGTAGATGTCCTTTTTGGACTCCAGAAGCCATAAATGATGCAACCTTATTTATTAACCATTAATGTGAACAGGGCCAACCATTTCTATGTTATTAACACTGCTTCTTCCCTAATGATTCAATTCAGATAAACCTTACAAAGCACTTCACACCAAGAGCTGAGTATCAGGGCCACTTGGTTCTTACAGACGCAGTGCCTCCAAGCCAAAATTGGTAGAACCAATAGTTCTACTCTTAAAGCAGGACCTCTCTAGCCTCCCATTATCTAGATGAAAATGAGCTTACTAATTTAGAAACACAAGTGAGTATATTCTAGGCTAACCAAAGTAATTCTTCTCTAATTATTGAGAACATTAAATGTCACGAGCTGATCTCAAAATATTAGTAAAATAAGTTAAATTGTTTTGAAAGGAAGGAAATGTGATAATGTAGAAATGGGGAAAAAACAAGACAGAATTGAAATATTATATTAATCAAGTACTAACCCTGGTTTGAATGGGTAAATGCAGAAGACCTTTCTTCCTTCTTTTTTTATTTATTTATCTTTTTTTTCAAAATTATACTTTAAGTTCTAGGGTACATGTGCACAACGTGCAAGTTTGTTACATATGTATACATGTGCCATGAGGAACAAATCTTAATGGGGTTTAAAAATCTTTTCTTGGCCAGGTGTGGCGGCTCATGCCTGTAATCCCAGCACTTTGGGAGGCTGAGGTGGGTGGATCACCTGAGGTTGGGAGTTCTAACCAGCCTGACCAACATGGAGAAACCCCATCTCTACTAAAAATACAAAATTAGCTGGGCGTGCTGGCACATGCCTGTAATCCCAACTACTAGGGAGGCTGAGGCAGGAGAATCGCTTGAACCTGGGAGACGGAGGTTGCGGTGAGCCAAGATCGCGCCCTTGCGCTCCAGCCTGGACAACAAGAGCAAAACTCTGTCTCAAAAAAAAAAAAAAATCTTTTCTTGGAGTCCCAGTTTGTATGACATATCGCATCAACCCCACTCCCAGAATTCAGACCAAATTGGATGAAAAGTAGGGTTGACAAGTTAAAGTACTTTTTATAAAGTTGATCAGTGAAGTCTTTTGACATTTGTGTTTGCTTGAGGCAAAAGTGGCTTGATCATCTTCTGTGAGTTCTTGTAGTTTCCAGTTCCTTTTCTTGGTCTGGAATGAGTTCAACCTTTTAAAATTGAAAACGTCATACATCAAGAGTTTACATGAGAAGAAAACTAGCCCGTTTTTTTTTTATTGGTTTGTTTTTTTTTGAGATGGAGTTTCACTCTTGTGAGTTCATGCTGGAGTGCAATGGTGCAATCTCGGCTCACCGCAACCTCTGCCTTCGGGTTCAAGTGATTCCTCCTGCCTCAGCCTCCACAGTAGCTGGGATTACAGGCATCTGCCACCACACCTGGCTAGTTTTGTATTTTTAGTAGAGACGTGGTTTCTCCATGTTGATCAGGCTGGTCTCGAACTCCCAACCTCAGGTGATCCATCCACCTCGACCTCTCAAAGTTCTGGGATTACAGGTGTGAGTCACCGTGCCTGGCCAATTTTGTATTTTTAGTAGAGATGGGGTTTCACTCTATTGGCCAGGCTGGTCTTGAACTCCTGACCTCAGGTGATCCTCCTGCTTTGGCTGCCCAAAGTGCTAGCATTTCAGGTGTGAGCCACCGTGCCTGGCCTATGTATACATTTTTGAATTGACTTGTTGATATCTGGAACAAATCCTGCTGAGATTCTGATTGGGATTGCCTTACATCTATAGGTCAGTTTTGGGGGAGAATTGACATCTTGACAATATTAATAATTCAAGATCGGACGGGCACGGTGGCTCACACCTATAATCCCAGCACTTTGGGAGGCTGAGGCAGGTGGATCACGAGGTCAGGAGTTCAAGACCATCCTGGCCAACATGGTGAAACCCCGTCTCTACTAAAAATACAAAAAATTAGCCGGGTGTGGTGACGGGGGCGCCTGTAGTCCCAGCTACTCGGGAGGCTGAGGCAGGAGAATCACTTGAACCTGGGAGATGGAGGTTGCAGTGAGCCGAGATTGCGCCACTGCACTCCAGCCTGGCGACAGAGCGAGACTGTCTCAAAAAAAAATTTAATAATAATAATAATTTAAGATCAGTCAAAGGTTAAAAAAAAACAACCCGCCAATACTGAACCTTCTAGTCCATGAAAACAGTGTAGCATACAGGTTCTGCACAAATTTTTTTAGATTTATACCTATTTCATAATTTTGCGTGCTATTGTAAATGGTGCTCATTTCTAGTTGTTGATTGCTGATATAGAAGTACAGCTGACTTTATATTGATCTTATGCCCTCCAGCCTTGATAAATCCACTTATTAGTTCTAGGAACTTTTTTAGTGTATTCTTTAGGATTTTCTGTGCAGAAAGTCGTGGTATTTGCAAACAGAGTTTTACTTCTTTCTCATCTGTATGGCTTTTCCTTCTTTTTCTTATTTCATTGCCCTGGCTGGGGCCTCCAGGATGATGTTGAGTAGGAGTGGTGAGAGCAGACATCCTCATCTTGTCCCTGATATTAAGGGAAAACAGTCAGTCCTTCACCATTAAGTATGATGCTAGTTTAGGTTTTCCATGAATGTCTTTTACCAGGTTTAGGAAGTTCAGATTGCTGAGATTGGATGTTGAATGTTGTCACTTGCTTTTTCTATATCTATAAAGCTAAAAAGATTTGTAGCCTTTTGGCTGTATCTTTTTGTTTATTTTTGTTTTTAGTAGTTACTGAAGGGATCCCTACTAGGTTACTAGTAGGGTTAATAATATGCATGCCTGACCATTTATAGTCCAGAGTTAATATTTTACCAGTTGGTGTATATAAGTCTCTTTACCTTCTTTTTGTGTTATGGTTGTATTTATAACATATAATCTACATACATTGAAACATATAATCTGCATACTATTAGTAGTGTTTTTACATTGACTTTCTGTATTCTTACATATTTTAAAGAACTTAAGAGAACAAAAATAGTCTTTTTGTCATCATTTCTTTTCCTCTCTATTCCTGAAGTGCCCTGCGTCCTTTTTATCATTTACTTCACCAGGAAGAACTGCCTTTGGCACTTTTCTGAGAACAGGTCTCTTGGCTACAAATTCTCTTATTTTCATTTAGCTGAGAATGTCATTATTTCCTTTCATTCCTGAAGGATAATTTCACTGGGTTGATTGATCTTTTCCTTCAGAACTTTTAAGATGTCATTTCAGTGACTTCTGGCTGTCACAGTTTTTGATTAGAAATCTGTGATCAGGCTGGATGCAGTGGCTCATGCCTATTATCTCAGCACTTTGGGAGGCTGAGGCGGGAAGATCACTTGAGGCCAGGAGTTTGAGACCAGCTTGGGCATCATTGTGAGACTCCATCTCTATATTTTGAAAAATAATTAATTAAAAAAAAATTTTAATCCGCTATCACTCTAACCCTAATGTGTCATTTTCCTCTGGCTGCTGTTAAGATTTTTTTTATCCCCCTCTACTCCTACTGCTTCACTTCACTAGCCTGGGCGCGGTGGCTCACGCCTGTAATCCCAGCACTTTGGGAGGCCGAGGCTGGCAGATCACGAGGTCAGGAGATCGAGACCATCCTGGCTAACACGGTGAAACCTCGTCTCTACTAAAAAAAAAAAAAAAAAAAAAAATCAGCTGGGCATGGTGGCGGGCGCCTGTAGTCCCAGCTACTCGGGAGGCTGAGATAGGAGAATGGCGTGAACCCGGGAGGCAGAGCTTGCAGTGAGCCAAGATGCGCCACTGCACTCCGGCCTGGGGGACAGAGCGAGACTCCGTCTCAAAAAAAAAAAAAAATTTAAATAAATTTCAAAAAAGATTTTCAAGTCTTTGGTCTTCAATAATTTGATAATGATATATTTCAGCTTTTTTTTCCCCAGTTTATTTTTGCTGAGCTTCTTGATTATGTAAATTTATGTTTCTTACTACATTTGTGAAGTTCTCAGCTATTTTTGAAATATTTTTTCTATCCCAATCTCTTTCTCCTCCTTTTCTTCAGCTCCCAGAAACACAACTGGTAAACCTCTGATACTGCTGTACAGGTCTTTGAGGCTCTGTTCCTTTTTAAAAAAATTTGTAGTTCAAATGGAATAATTTCTCTTTTTTTTCCTGTCTCTTTTTTTAGTAGAGATAAGGTTTCACTCTGTTGCCCAAGCTGAAGTGCGGTGGCACCCTCAGGCTCACTGCAGCCTCAGAGTCTAATGGGATAATTTCTGTTGATCTGTCTGTATATGCACAGATTGTTCTGGCATCTTCCGTTATCAAGCCTACCAGTGAATTTTTCATTTCAGGTATTTTTCAATTCTAAAGTTTCCATTTGGTTATTTGTTATAACTTCTATTCTTTCCTGAGAACTTGTATTATTCCATTCATTTCAGGAATGTTTACTTTTTCCCCCAGTTATTATAATAGTTAGAATCTTGATAATTTTAACATGTCATCATGGGCTTGGCATCTGTTGATTATCTTTTCCCTGGAGAATGAGTCGTATTTTCGTGGTCGAGGTAATTGTAGATTGTATCCTGGACATTTGAGTATTATATTGTTTAGACTCTGGGTCCTGTTAAAAGCTTCTGGTTTGTGTTTTAGGAGGCTGTCAATCCAATTAGGTTCAGACTTCAAGTCGGTCTTGCCTTCCGGGGCAAGGATTTCAGTGTCATTTGGTTTTGAAACCCACTCTGGGTCTTTGCATATGGGACTGGACTGGCGGTGGAACTTGCTCCCTTCTCACTTGGGGTCTTTGCTGTGCTGGGTCTGTTCCATGCTTGCTGTTTTGGTGCTGTTCTGCACATAAACAGCTCAGGTGAATCTAGAATTTGTGTTGATTGATACTCAAATTTGGAGGAGTCCCCTTCTCTAGCTCTCCTCTCTGGAACTTCCCTGCTCCTACCCTCTGGCCCACATGATACCCCCTTTTGGGTCCTGTAGCCACAAGTTCCGAGTTTCTCTCAAAGGTTTGCCCACCTGTTGTTACTAGAGCTGTCCTTGGAGCAGAGCAGGGAAAGTAGAAAAGGGAAAAGGGAAAAATGACTCTTGGGCACTCTGGACAGCAAGGGCTCCCTTCCAGGCTACGCCTGTTGCTGGTCCCCACCTGGGGGGCTGCCCTTGAGTTGTGAGCTCCTCCTGGGTCTCCAGCCTTTCTCAGTCTCCTGGCGAGAAAGATTGGATTTCTCCTGGAGTTGGAGCTGCTTGTGGGGCCACCGCAGCTGCACCAGGATTGAGGCCCTGAGAGAAAAGGGGAAAAAGCCCCAAGAAACTCACATCCATCCTCCACCCCAAATGGTTCTCAGGTTTTGTTTCCCTCCCAGACCACCTGCTTTTGTTTGCTTTTCAGAGTCGGGTATTTTTTTTGTTTTTTTGTCTGGAGATTTCTTCTTTTCTTTTCTTTTTTTTTTTTTGAGTTGGAGTCTTGCTCTTGTTACCCAGGCTGGATGGAGTGCAGTGGCACAGTCTCAGCTCACTGCAACTGCCGCCTCCTGGGTTCAAGTGATTCTCCTGTTTCGGCCTCCTGAGTAGCTGGGATTACAGGTGCATGCCATCACCGCTAATTTTTGTATTTTTAGTAGAGACGGGGTTTCTCCATGTTGGCCAGGCTGGTCTCGAACTCCTGACCTCAGGTGATTCGCCGCCTCAGCCTCCCAAAGTGCTGGGATTACAGGCATGAGTCACTGCGCCCGGCTGTGTCGAAATTTTTCACTGTAATCTGTGGAGAGAGAAAGGCTTTCGTGGGCTTCCTCCATCTTCTCCTGTAGCAGAAGTGCTAACAGTTGATTTTTAAGGCCTCTTTTCATCTCTTTGGGCTAATGTATTGCTTCCTAAGCCCAACATCTTTTCTACTGTAAGTATGGACAAATACTGTTCAAAAAACCTACAAATACATAGGCATTGTCTTGCAAGCTGATTCGTGATTGGCCATGATCTATATAAATTTAAAGCAGACTGTAGTATTCAAGGAGGATTGATCTTAGCTCCCTTTTTTCCACTAATGATCCTAAAATCGAAGATTTTTTAAAATCTTTTTAAAAGGCTTTCTAATCCTTTTAACCTCAACCCTTTGATTAATTGCTTGTTTCCATGACTCTGCCAAGAGTTAACGCTTCAGGCAGCGTTGTTGTCCAACAGCCAGAAGAGGGAGCGGCAGGCTTCTTCACTGTGGCTGGGCCTGGCTCCTCTGGGAACTTGCAGCTCTTGTTATATTTGTGAGCATAACACATTCAGTTATACTCTTGTAGTTATTTTTAAATGTACAATTAAATTATTGTTGACTGTAGTCACCCTGTTGGACTATCAAATACTAGATCTTATTCATTCTTTCTATTTTTTCATAGTCATTAACCACGTGCACTTCTCCCACCTCGCCCACCCTGCTGCCCGTCCCCGCCTCTGATCTGCTCTCTGGTCCTTCTCCTCTCTCTGTCTCCAGAAAGCATGGACTTCTTGGTTACAGCCTGTAGTGGTAGCTGAGATTTTGAGGCCTGGGTGAGGACGTCAGTAGGAGGGTCAGAGGATGAAAGTCAGCACCATGAGAGTGCCAGAGCCTCTCTGGAGAAGAGAAAATCCAGAAGGAGATGAAGAAGGGAGAGTCGGATCAGGAAAGAATTGAAAGAGAAGGTGTCATGGAAGCCCCGAGGGCAGGCAGTTTTAAGGAGGGAATGATCAGCAGTGTCAGATGGAGTAGGACCGAGGAGCAGCCGCTGGATTTGTCCGTGTGGAGGCACCAGGCCCTTGAAGCAAGAACACTTTTGGTGATCACTTGGGCAAGAGCTAGGGTGCAGGGAGTTGAGAAGCAAGGGAAGAAGGTAGAGACAATGAAAGTGGCTTGGTTCTGAAGCCAGCAGGGAATGTTTGTGCGCTGACCCCCTTAATTCCACCACCCCAGACTGGAGTGTGGAGTGCATGGGGGCCTGCTGTGACCACAGCAGTGCTCAGCTCCTTGGGTGTAGGACAGGGAACTTGCTTGGTGGTTTGACCTCGAGTTGGAGTTTTTCAGGGAGCGGTTGTGAATGTCTTTGCTGATCTTCTGGTCATCTCGTTACCTATCCTCTGTAGCTTTTAGTCTTTGCGATCCCTCTTCTCCCTCTTCACGTGGAGACCTCTCAGACGGGAACTGAGAAAACTAACCGGAATGAACTCATCTCCCTTCCAGTCCTTTCCGATTGGCTGCTGGTTCCCCTCACCGTGGTCTCAGTGGAACATGAGCCCCTTTGCTGGAGATTTGGGCAGCAGTTTCTGAGGGTCTTTACTTTTCCCTCCTGGAATTTCAGCCTCTCCATGTGTTTGTCTCCCCAGCCGGTGGCCATTCTCCACTCTCCTTCCAGACCCTCCCTCCTTCGGCTGGAGCTGCTTTTTTACTTCTGTGTTATCAAGAGGTTCGTTCCTCCACAATCATTCCTCAGTCCTCAGAGTCCAGTTGTCAGCACAGCTGTCATTCCACTGAACTGCACAGGCCACCAATGACCTCTTGGTTGGCAAATACAGTGACTTCTATATTGACACAGTCAACCTATTTTTCTCGCTCTGTCTCCCAGACTGGAGTGCAGTGGTGTGATCATAGCTCACTGAAGCCTCAGACTCCTGGGCTCAAGCAATCCTGCCTCAGCCTCCTGAGTGGCTAGGACTACAGGTGTATGCCACCATGCTTGGCTAATTGTTTTATTTTTATTTTTTGTAAAGACAGAGTCTCACTTTGTTGCCCAGGCTGTTTTTGAACTCCCAGCCTCAAGTGATCCTCCTACTTTAGCCTCCCAAAGTGTTGGGATTACAGATGTGAGCCACCGTGCCTGGCTTCTCCTGGCCCGTTAAATGGAGGCACTTTATGGTGTTCTGTCCTGGTCTTCACTCACTCCACAGTTGGTCTCTGGACCCATAATATCCACTCCATGGTTTCATGTAACTCCTTGCAAATAAATCTAGTGCTGGTTTTTTTCCTTTAGTTTTAGACCAAACTAGACACACTTTTTGACAGAAGCCTCTTCAGAGTTATAAAGGTACTACAAACTCAAATTTCATGTTAAATAATGTATTTTTTTTCTAAACAACCTAACCTTGACTCTATCTGTTCCCTCACTCCTCCTCCCTGATCCTACCCAATCTAGGCAGTTGTCAAGTCCTGTTGACTTTACCTGAGGGTGA